>NC_000006.12:30969090-31272121 GCF_000001405.40 Homo sapiens
TCTTGGCCTATTACTGGGCTTTGGTGGAAACTGAACATTTGACTATCAGTCATCAAGTCACCATGTGACCTGAACTACCTATCATGAACTGGGTGCTTTCTGATCCATCTAGCTATAAAATGGGTCGGTGTGCGGCAGCATTCCATCATCAAATATAAGTGATATACACATGATCGGGCTCAAGCAGTTCCTGAAGGCACAAGTAAGTTACATGAGGAAGTGGCTCAAATGCCCATGGTCTCCACTCCTGCCACCCTGCTTTCTCTTCCCCAGCTTGTACCGATGACCTCATGGGGAGTTCCCTATGATCAGTTGACAGAGGAAGAGAAGACTAGGGCCTGGTTCACAGATGGTTCTGCACAATATGGAGCACTAACCGAAAGTGAACAGTTGCAGCACTACAGCCCCTCTCTAGGACATCCCTGAAGGACAGCGGTGGAGGGAAATATTCTCAGTGGGCAGAACTTCAAGCAGTGCACTTGGTTCTGCACTTTGCATGGAAGGAGAACGGTCAGATGTGTGATTATTTACTGATGCATAATCAGTAGGGGGTTTGGCTGGATGGTCAGGGACTTGGAAGAAGCACGATTGGAAAATTGGTGACAAAGAAATGTGGGAAAGAGTTATGTGGATGGACCTCTCTGAGTGGTCAAAAACTGTGAAGATATTTGTATCTCATGTGAGTGCTCACCAACAGATGACCTCAGCAGAGGAGGATTTTAATAATCAAGTGGATACGATGACCCGTTCTGTGGATACCATTCAGCCTCTTTCCCCAGCCAACCCTGTCATCACCCAATGGGCCCATGAGCAAAGTGGCCGTGGTGTCAGGGATGGAGGTTATGAATGGGCTCAGCAACATGGACTTCCATTCACCAAGGCTGACCTGGCTATGGCCACTGCTGAATGCCCAATTTGCCAGCAGCAGAGACCAACACTGAGCCCTCAGTATAGCACCATTCCTCAGGATGATCAGCCAGCTGATTACTGGATTACTGGCTGGACTTCTTTCATCATGCAAAGGGCAGAGGTTTGTCCTCACTGGAATAGACACTTACTCCTGATATGGGTTTGCCTATCCTGCATGCAATGCTTCTGCCAAGACTACCATCGTGAAGTCACAGAATGCCTTATCCACCATCATGGTTCCACACAGCATTACCTCTGGCCAAGGCATTCACTTTACAGCTAAAGAAGGGTGGCAGTGGGCTCATGCTCATGGAATTTACTGGTCTTATGTTCCCCATTATCCTAAAGCAGCTGGATTGATAGAACGGTGGAATGGCCTTTTGAAGTCACAATTACGACATCAACTAGGTGACAATACTTTGCAGGGCTGGGGCAAAATTCTCTAGAAGGCTGTGTATGCTCTGAATCAGTGTCCATTGTATGGTACTGTTTCTCCCATAGCCAGCATTCCTGGGTCCAGGAAGCAAGGGATGGAAGTGGAAGTGGCACCACTCACCATCACCCCTAGTGATCCACTAGCAAAATTTTTGCTTCCTGTTCCTGTGACATTACATTCTGCTGGCCTAGAGGTCTTAGCTCCAGAGGGAGGAACGCTGCCACCAGGAGACACAACAACAATGCCATTAAACTGGAAGTTAAAATTGCCACCTGGACACTTTGGGCTCCTTCTACCTTTACGTTAACAGGCTTAGAAGGGAGTTACAGTGTTGGCTGCTGTGACTGACCTAGACTATCCTGATGAAGTCAGTCTACTACTCCACAACGGAGGTAAGGAAAAGTATGCATGGAATACTTGAGATCCATTAGGGCGTCTCTTAGCATTACCATGCCCTGTGATTAAGGTCAGTGGGAAACTACAACAGCCCAATCCAGGCAGGACTACAAATGACCCAGACCCTTCAGAAATGGAAGTTTGGGTCACTCCACCAGGAAAAAACCATGACCTGCTGAGATGCTTGCTAAAGGGAAAGGGAATACAGAATGGGTAGCAGAAGAAGGTAGCCATCAATACCAACTATGACTGCGTGACCAGCTGCAGAAAGAGCACTGTAATTGTCATGAGTATTTCCTCCTTCTTTTGTTAAAAACACGTTTGTACATGTATACACTTGTACTAAGAAAATATCTTCATTTTATTTCCTTTCTCCTTTATTATGTGATGTAAGATTTATTGACTTCACATCAGCATTTAAGTATTATTAACTTTGCGTAATAGCATATGGGCTGGGGATTGGTGCGTTTCCGGTTGTATGAAGGATAGTTGTATTATGTTGGGCATAATTATGACCTTATTATTGTCTTTATTTGAAGATTATGTATAATCTCAGGAGATGCGCATGGGTTCAAGTTGACAAGGGGTGGACTTATGATGGTTAATACTGAGTGTCAACCTGATTGGATTGAAGGACACAAAGTATTGATCGTGGGTGTGTCTGCGAGGGTGTTACCAAAGGAGATGAACATTTGAGTCAGTGGCCTCAGAAAGGCAGACCCACCCTTAATCTGGGTGGCACAATCTAATCAGCTGCCAGAGTGGCTAGAATTTAAGCAGGCAGAAAAATGTGAAAAGAGAGACTGGCCCAGCCTCCCAGCCTACATCTTCCTCCCGTGCTGGATGCTTCCTCAGTTTTGGAACTCGGACTGGCTCTCCTTTCTCCTCAGCCTGCAGACGGCCTATTGTGGGGCCTTGTGATCATGTGAGTTAATATTTAATAAACTCCGCTTTATATATATTCCATCAGTTCTGTCGCTGTAGAGAACCCTGACTAATACACCCCTCTTCCAACATTGGAGATTACAATTTGACATGAGATTTGGGCAGGGACACAAATCCAAATCATATCACCTTGCTCCAGTCTAAGACCAAACAATTATGTTCATTCTCTGGCACTTTCCATCAGCAAGCCGGTTGCATCTGATTCTATCCTCTTCGTTCTGAGCACCCTCACCTCTATTCTGGTGACTGGTGCTGTTTGGGATCCTATTTTCACCACTTCTGACCTAGGCACACCCATTGCTATCAAAGCCACCACCACTGCCTCTGCTGTGTTGATTCTCACTCGCACCTGTCTGAGCCCACCCTCTCCTGTCCCTGTGAGCAGCCTTCTCCACTTGGGTCAGGTCCTCCCACATCTGCCCAAGCACACTCACCCCACCTTTGCTGACCACCACAGTGTGGTAGATGATGTCACCTCCGTCCCAGCCACGGCCACTGGCATGCCCATGAATGAATCCAATTCTGTCATCTCCTCCTCCAGCTCCCTCCTTACACCCAGTGATCACAGTCACAAAAGAAGCAGGGCCTGCCACTTTGTATACAAGCCCGCCCTCTTCTATTTGGGTGGCCACTTCCGAAGTCAAATAGATCTTCCACTTCCATACCCATCACGGTCACGTTTCCTCAACCTTCTGCCTCCTCCATCACCAACTCCACCAGGTGACACATTCTACCTCCTCCTCTGTACGACACCCACCTCTATTGTGAGGACACGGCCACAGAGGAATGGCTTTCTACCATCTCTCCTCCCCCACCACCCCTCTCCTGAGCTATTCTCACCATAGACATGTTAGATTCACCCCGCTCTGCTCTAAGCGCTCCCACTCCCCTTTAATTATCTCTGCTATGAATGCATCATGTTGTGTGACCCCTGGAACCAGTCCTACCGCCCCTAGCTCTGTCACCATGGCCCCTGGAATGGACTCCATGGCCTCTGCTGCAGCCATCCTGTGACGGGAATAGTCTCAAACACCTCTGACCTGGGTACATCCACTATGGGAGCATCATCTACCACCTCAGCCCCCAGCTTCAGGACCACTACAGGATCCACCCGTGAGCCAACCAGCAACACCTCCCAGTAAACAGGCCCAATGTCCACAGGCACAAATACAGTTAGCGTGAGCCACACATCCAAACATGTGATCAAACTGAGTGGACATTTACAGCCCCAGGCCATCATGCTCATTTCCCTGGCTGTAGTCATGGTTGGTGTTGGATTGTCAGTAGGACTGAGGTTTTGCCTGTGAGTGACTGAGCATGGAAATGGGCAGAGCTTTCCTGAGAAGATAGATCACGAGGAGGATTAGAATTGACGGAAGAAGGGCCACTAGACTATTAGCATGGAGAGGGGTCTGGAGAGTCACTTGTACCCTAGTCCAATCGACCAAGAGTGCAGGAGCAAATGTATAGTCCCATGAAGTCAGATTTATCAGTTAGTTGCAAAATGGGAGGCTGTATACCAGGGAGCTGAGGAGCTTCTCACCAAACAACGGAAATGTCATTACAGTATTGGGGGAAATGTCATTATAGTATTGGGGGAAATGTCATTATAGTATTGGAGGAAAGTGTGGATTTTTGGTGAAATTTAAATGAAAGAATTTTAAAAGGCTCAAAAGAAAGCAGGGCTGTTTGTAAAGGGGTCACCGGCAGCTTGAAACTGTGAAATAGATTGTTTCCTTGGAAACTACAGTTAAAATGAACGTGGAATGTTGTATTCAGAGAAACCCCTTATCTGTACCCCAGTTGGAATTGGAGGCTGCTTCTCTGTGTCAAAGTCACTTAGAGTTTCCAGACAAGAATGGGATATTTCCTTCTCACTGATTTAGAATCAAACAGCAAATTTGTAATAGTCTGCGATTTTAGAGAATGAAATTTTTCATTGGCTAAATCACTGCAAGTGAGTAGGTCACTGGAAGTGAGTAAGGGCTGTGATACTTCACAGCTGCAGTGCGCCCTGGGGAAAAATATTCCTCTCAGTGCCCCTCACAGCTGGCCACCTATGCTGTTATGCATCTACCTCCTGATGGACAGCGGCCGACTGCTGCTTTCGCAGTCTGATTTTTACTGTCTCACATAGTGTAGTATAAAGACCAGGGAGAAGGAGAAAGACAGAAAATATAAACGATAGATATAGCAGGAAGAAAAAAAGAAGAAGAAGAAGAAGAAGAGGCCGGGCGTGGTGGCTCACACCTGTAATCCCAGCACTTTGGGAAGCCAAGGCAGGAGGATCACTTGAGGTCAGGAGTTCGAGAGAAGCCTGACCAAAATGGTGAAACTCCATCTCTACTAAAAATACAAAAATTAGCCGGTGTGGTGGTAGGCACCTGTAATCCCAACTACTCGGGAGGCTGAGGCAGGAGAACTTCTTGAACCCGGGAGACAGAGGTTGCAGTGAGCCGAGATCGCGCCACTGCACTCCAGCCTGGGCTATAAGAGTGAAACTCCATCTCAAAAAAAAAAAGAGGAAGGGGGCCCCAAGTGAGAGGAAAGTGTCTGGGTATGAATAGGAGAGCATTGAGAATATGATGGAAAATGTGTCTTATAAAATAGCTGGGAATGTAACACTAGAAAAAACATCTTTGGAAAGTGATGAACATTTAGGTCCTCAACAGGTTTTTCACTTTCAAGACAGACAAAATCATAAGCTCCTTCCAGGGTGAGAGTGGGGCATGTCCCACCTCATGCCTTTATGATTTTACCCAAGTGAAAACAAATTCACTTTTCTAGGTACCTCTTAGCACAACTCAAATAGGCTAGAGATTTCAAAACTTCATGAAACACTAAGGGAAGTTGACAAAGAAATGCCCTTCTGGAGAATGGAGGCTGTAGAAACGCTCCCCCTGGTGTAGGGGAGGGTTTGACGTTCCAGAGGCCCCAGCCCTCCGCAGTTCTTGGTGCCAATGTGACAGCCACTGGCCAGCAGCAGACTGTGTTCTATTGTCCATCCTGGTCTTAATCTTCTATTCAAATGTATTTCTCTTGTTCTATTTTAAGAAATAGAACATTTATATTTTCCCATTTTGGCTTTATGTATTCCTGTATGCAGTCTTGTAAATTTGTAGGAGGAGCCAGAGTGAGTACACAATACATAAATGAGAAATTCACACAAGCCACAAACAGTTAACATAATTTACAATCAACTTACCTGAGTTTCTTATTTCAGAGTCTCTGACCCCTCCCTAAGGGAAGAACAATATGTGACTCACCAGCCATGAGCAACCCCCTAAATGTTTAAGATAAAGATGTAATATTAGTTAACTAGCATTTTATTAGCTATCTACTAGGTATGAGGTCCAGGGCCCAGAGTGCTTAGAGGGCATCATCTCTCCTTTGCTCTGCTCAACCACCCTTGGGGATGCGTACTCCTATTATCCCATTTTATAGACTAGAAAACTGGAAGCAGAGACATAAGTAACTTGCTGAAGACCACAGGACAAGGCCACGCAGAGCTAGGCTCTAATTCTGGTCCGCTTGACAGCAGAGCCTGTGTTCTTAGCCAGAGTGTTTGTTTGTTTTTTTGAGCCGAAGCCTCACCCTGTTGCCCAGGCTGGAGTGCAATGGCACAATCTCGGCTCACTGCAACCTCCACCTCCCGGGTTCAAGCAATTCTCCTGCCTCAGCCTCCTGAGTAGCTGGGATTACAGGCATGTGCCACCATGCCCGGCTAATTTTTTGTATTTTTAGTAGAGATGGGGTGTCACCATGTTGGCCAGGCTGCTCTCGAACTCCTGACCTCATCATCTGTCCACATCGGCCTCCCAAAGTGCTGGGATTACAGGCGTGAACCACCGCACCTGGCCCACAGTGTTTTTTAGATAGTTCTCCAACCTTTAGCTCTTTATGGCCTGTCTCTTATTTTTCTTTATCTTTAAAAATTGAGGTGTAATTCTTACCAATAAAAAATGATAAGTATGCAAGGCAATAGATATGTTAATTTGATTTAATAATTTCAAAATGTATACATATATCAAAACATCACATTGTACACCATAAGTATATGCAATATTTATTCACCAGCTTTGAAAGTGGGAAAAACACAAACTGTGTTTCCTCTGCTCTCACACCACCACCAACACAAAACACTTCTGGTGACCAAATTAAGAGGGGAAGTTCTTCCCACACTAAGCAAGCAATCAGTTCTGCAGCAGACACCAGCTCGGTGTCCTCCGATTCAGTGCTGGCACTGCCTACCTGGAGATAGCATCAGATCCACAGACTAAGCGCGCAGTCCCTCAACACCAACCGCTCCTTCCCACAGGCTGCCAAGTCCAGGCCTCTGGAACTTCTGACCAACTGGAGCAAGTTGGAGTTGGCTACTCCTGTTTGGTTTCGATTAATTTGCAGGAGTGGCTGACTGAACTCAGGGAAACACCTTTACTGGTTTATTACAAAGGATATTACAAAGGATACAGGTGAAGAGGCGTGGAGGGAGAAGGAGCAGGGAGCTTCCATGCCCTCCCCAGCACTCCATCCTCCAGGAACCTCCATATGTTTTCTGAGCCCTGGCCTTTGGGGTTTTTACAGAGGCTTCATTATGTAGGTATACCTGATTAAACCATGGCCACTGGTAATCAACTTAACCTTCAGTCCCCTCTCCTCCCTGGAGGTTAAGGGTTAAGGGGTGGTGCTTTGGTCTTTCCGGTGATTAGCCCCCATCCTGTAGCCAACAGTTGACTCATTCGCATACAAAAAAAAAAATCACTTTTCAGTACCTAAGGATTTTAGGAGCTGCATGCCAGGAAATGTGCAGAAGTCCAAATATATGTTTCACGTATCAACTTAATACAGTTGGGAGAAAGGTTAAAAGTTAAATTACACTTAAAAATAAAAAGAACAGCCGGGCGCAGTTCTGTAACCTCAACACTTTGGGAGGCTGAGGCGGATGGATCATCTGAGGTAAGGAGTTCAAGACCAGCCTGGCCAACATGGGGAAACCCTGTCTCTACTAAAAATACAAAAATTAGTCGGGTATGGTGGCTTATGCATGTAATCCCAGCTATTCTGGAGGATGAGGCAGGAGAATTGCTTGAACCTGGGAGGCAGAGGTTGCAGTGAGCCGAGATCGTGCTACTGCACTCCAGCCTGGGTAGCAGAGAAAGACTCTGTCTCAAGAAATAAAAAAAAAATAAAAAGAACAATATTAATTGAAAAAAATAAATACTGTTCACAGATGAAAAAATTTTGAACTATAATTTACAAAAGTACACAAATATTATTTGTACAGCTTGATTAATTTCAAAATGTGTTAACACTTGTACAACCATTACCCAACTTAAAATGTAGAATATTTCTACCATCTGAGTAGTTTATTTTGTGGCCCTTCCCAGATAATACCCACTCCATCAAAGGTAAGCACTATTCTAGCTTCTATTTTATGAACTTTAAAAAAAATTTTTCATTTTAATTTTTGGATGGGGTCTCACTCTGTCACCCAGGCTGGAGTCCAGTGGTGCCGTCTTGGCTCACTGCAGCTTCTGTCTACCCAGAGATAGAGCTGGGTTCAAGTGATCCTCTCGCTTTGGCCTCCCAAAGTACTAGGATTACTGGCATGAGCCACTGTACCTGGCCTTATGAACTTTTATTTATTTTTACCTGACCTCATAGACATGCAACCTTTTTGGTTGATTTACACAATAAAAGATTCCCTACTCTTAGCTGACTCTGTTCCCAGGTACAGGATGCAAATTTACCTTGTCTTGTTTTTTTTATTTTTGTAGAGATGGGGTTTCACCATGTTGCCCAGGCTGGTCTCTGGAATGCCTGGGCTCAAGCAATCCACCTACCTCAGCCTCCAAAAGTTTTGGGATTACAGGCACGAGCCACCATGCCCAGACTTATCTTGTCTTGAAAGTTGAGCAGCATAGATCCCTACCAAGGTACAAGTATACTAATTAGGAAGACTGTTTTCTCCAATAAATAAATAAATAAGAGGAAGAGAGTCCTAAATATCATCCACACACACACACACACAGGAAGACTTGATGAGAAAATAGACAATATTGAAAAGTGAAAATTTATGAATTTTGATAATCCAAGGTTTAATGATAAGAAAGAAAAGGAGTTAACTACTAATATATATATTTTTCTCTTTTAGAAGGATCTTTCTTTACCCTGACAAATAGAGGCATTTATAACCTCCATGACAACAGCCTTGACCTTGGTTTATACCTGGACTCAGTCCTGGGCTCTGGGACATTCCACAGCCTGGGAAATGCACTCATTCATGGAGGGGGACTTGAGATGGGACACACAGGAACACATGGCTTTGGACATGGAGTGGGCCATGAGCTGAGCCACAGCCATGGAGATGGCTGTGGAGTGAATCATGGTGGGCGTTATGGACTTGGAGGAGGCTACAGCAATAATCATGAAATGCATCACAGAGAAGGTCGCCAAGGCAAAGGAGAGTATAGACATAGACTGGATAATGGAAGGTGCTATGGAAAAGAAAATCTTGGGGAAGAAGGGGGATCATGGAGGAGAAGGTAGTGACCATAAAATGGGTCAGGATGGGCTTCTCTGAGGTCTCCAAGGGATTGGCCATAGAGATGGTCATGATCAAAATCAAGAAAAGAACCAGAGAAAAGAGCACAGAGGGTTTGGCCAACGGGACAGTCAGAAAAATAGGGAGTGGTTCTGGAGGAGACCTGCAGCCTCACCAGCTTTGGGTGTGAGCTCAAGTGAAAATATCCCCTGAGCATAACCATGGTTCCAACTCTTGTGGGGAGGAGGGGTCACGATGATCAAGCTCAGAACAATTTCTCTTTGATCTCTCAACACACAAGTCAGAACTCTTTAGGCTT
Organism: Homo sapiens; assembly: GCF_000001405.40. Taxonomy (NCBI): domain Eukaryota; kingdom Metazoa; phylum Chordata; class Mammalia; order Primates; family Hominidae; genus Homo; species Homo sapiens. The sequence goes on from NC_000006.12 coordinate 30,978,640, forward strand.
TGGCTTTCTATCGTTTCCTCAGGATGGAACCTGACCAGTAGGAGGAAGAATAAGATTATCACAGTTTATAATAATGGAGTGGGTAAAAAATTTCCCCTGAGAATTTGTAATTACACAACTTTCTTTATTTGGATTTGTAACTTCAAACTCTACAAACTGAGTAGATCAGAAAATCCTGTTAGACTCACTCAGTGCCCTCCAGTTCTTCATCTTTGGGAAGAGTCTCCCTCCCTACTTCTTTGCCTCTTTCAAATGCTATGTGATAAGTTAGAAGAAATTTACTGGGACAGTGCTACAAATTAAAATCTCAAAATACACCTGGCATCTATGTATTTATGTATTTATGTTTGTCTTTTTTATTTTCCCTTTGTCCTTTATTATTGCATGCTTATTAAGTGCCAAACACTATGCTAGTGCCTGTAAATACATCACCATTTATTTCTCAAAACAATCCAATGACAACTTAAACTTCTTGCTATATAATGGACTACGTGCCCTGACTGAAAATACACTGTAAAGCTAAGTTATGGACTTCAAAATCTTCTTAAAAGAGTCAGTGAATTGGCATGAAAGTATGGAATGCTAAAATTAAAGACTAAATAGGACCCAGGAGGTAAGGGAAGTACTGAAGCCAACTTTTGCAAAACCCAAAGAACTTAAGCTTCGGGTATTACAGCTTCAGCTGGATCAGCCCAAGGTCATGGGTGGGGAGGAATCACATAAATCTGTAACTTTCAGTGAGAATGTAAACTAAAAATAAACCTGCCCCTCCTCTAAGGAAATGTAAGCAAAATTGCCTGTCTCTAAATTTGGTGCAGAGGAGGGTAGAGGGAGTATCCCTTGAGAAATAAATTGTAACCACAACAACCAACAATACCTTACTTACATGGTTTGTAGCCACAAATCATGCAGTCTAGGTAATTCAAAAGACCGCAATCCTATAGTTTAGCTTAAAATAATCATCAAATTATACAGCATATATATGTATTAAAACATTAAATTGTACCCCATAAGTATATACAGTAACAATGTTAATAAAATATTTTAATTAAAAATATAATAATAAAATAATCCTCAAATGGTAATGTCTCCATATGCTTGGAAAAAACATGCAAATTCTCTGTGAAAGATCGTAGCTTAATCTGTAATTCCAGAAATTTGGGAGGCCGAGGCAGTAGGATTGCCTGAGCCCAGAAGGTCAAGGCTGCAGTGAGTTATGCTAGTGCCACTGCAGCCTTGATCTCGACAGATAACATTCCAAGAAAAATAAATTTATAGTCATGATTCTCAAATCATAAGTGAAAACAGACACCCTGAGTGAAAACCAGCAAGGAAGAAAACAAAACCAAAAAGCTAGACAGCAGTATCAGATCCTCAAAGACTTTAGGTATTGAAATTATTAAATACAGAATATAAGGTAAGTAGGTTTAAATGTACGTCCTGGCTTTATTTTTAATTTTTTTTATTTTTACTTTTTGTGGTACATAGTAGGTGTATATATTTATGGGGTACATGAGATGTTTTGATACAGGTATGCAATGTGAAATCAGCACATCGTGGAGAATGGGGTATCTATCCCCTCAAGCATTTATCCTTTGAGTTACAAAAAATCCAATTACACTCTTTATGTTATTTTAATATATACAATTAAGTTATTATTCACTATAGTTACCCTGTTGTGCTATCAAAGAGTAGGTCTTATTCATTCTTTTTAATTCATTTGTTTTTTTAAATTAATTTAATTCATTTAATTAATTCATTCATTAACCATCTCTACCTCCCCCAGTCCTCCCCACTACCTTTCCCAGCCTCTGGTAACCATTCTTCTAGACTCTATGTCCATGAGTTCAGTTGTTTTTGATTTTTAGATCCCACAAATAAATGAGAACATGCAATGTTTGTCTTTCTGTGCCGGGTTTTTCACTTAACATAATGATCTCCATGTCCAGCGATGTTGTTGCAAATGACTGGATCTCATTCTTTCTTTATGGCTGAATGATGCTCTACTATGTATATGTACCACGTTTTCTTTTCTTTTCTTTTCTTTTTTTTTTTTTTTTTTCCGAGATGGAGACTTGCTCTGTCATCCAGGCTGGAGTGCGGGCAGTGGCTCGATCTGGGTTCACTGCAACCGCTGCCTCCCAGGTTCAAGCAATTCTTCTGCCTCAGCCTCCCGAGTAGCTGGGATTACAGATGCCTGCCACCACGCCCGGCTAATTTTTGTATTTTTAGTGGAGATGGGGTTTCACCATGCTGGCCAGGCTGGTCTCGAACTCCTGACATCATGATCTGCCCACCTGTGCTTCCCAAAGTGCTGGGATTACAGGCATGACCGTGCCTGGCTCTTTTTTTTTTTTTTTTTTTGAGATGGAGTCTCACTCTGTCGCCCAGGCTGGAGTGCAATGGCACAATCTTGGCTCACTGCAACCTCCGTCTCCCAGGTTCAAGCAATTCTCCTACCTCAGCTTCTCGAGTAGCTGGGATTACAGGCGCCCGTCACCACACTGGGCTAATTTTTGTATTTTTAGTGGAGATGGGATTTTGCCATGTTGGCCAGGCTGGTCTTGAATTCCTGACCTTATGATCCACCCACTTCGGCCTCCCAAAGTGCTGGGATTATAGGTGTGAGCCACTGCGCCCGGCCTGTACCACACTTTCTTTATTCATTCATCCATTAATAGACACTTCCAAATCTTAGCTATTGCAAACAGTGCTGCAACAAACGTTGGAGTGCGGATATTTCTTTGATACACTGATTTCTTTTCTTTTGGCTACCTCCTCAGCAGTGGGGTTGCTGGATCATGTCACGGCTTTATGGTTGTCTGCTAACACCCATTCTCCACCTTTAGCAACAGATCTCTCAAGTGTCAGCTGAGCACACGTCTACCCAGCTAGAGACAGTCTTTCTCAGTTTCTCTTGCAGCTTAACATGGCTGTGTGACTGCGTTCAGGCTGAGGGTGTGTAAGCAGACAACAATAATTTTTTTTTTACAATAATCTTTCATGAAGTTAACAAACAAGAAGGAATTAAAATACTTGATGATATTAGGGTATGATTTGGGAGATGGGTAATACGAATTAAAATGTTCTGAGGTCTTTGTGTTATTTTGATAGCGAGTAAAGATATTAATTACATTAGGCTCTGATAAGTATGCGCGCTACAATTTTCAGAGTACCCTCTAAAAGGTGAAATTTGGACTTGAATCCAGGATCTCAGTTTCTAAATAATTCTGGAAGAAGAAAATTCTTAGAGTGCTATTGGCTTTTCAGCTGCAGAATACTGGCACATCAGAAGAATTGCTGGGAGTCCAGGACCCAACCTGTCACTGAGCGTTCCCGCATACCTGACCCTCTGGAACTTCCCATCACAGCCACTAGGCAGACTCACTTCTGAGCCTTTCCCAGCACACCGCTGACCCTTTCTGTTTCTCCAGCTCACTCATTCAGAGCTCCTTCATGTCTTCAGCCACCTCCTGCTTGCCAGCTTCCTTCTAACAGAACTTGCATGTCAGGAAAGCTCGTTCGCCTACAAATAAACTATCTGAGAGACTGTGTCTTCCAGGAAGCTTCTCGTCATTGTTGGGGGAAATGCAGACAACTCACTTTGGTCATTGCAATGGTTTGGATGTGGTTGTTAAACCCTGCCAAGTCTCATGTTGAAATTTGATTCCCAATGTTGGAGGTGGAGCCTGGTGGGAGGAGTTTGGGTGGTTGAAACAGATCCCTCATGAACAGCTCGGTGCCATTCTCAACCAGTGAGTTCTCACTCTTAGTTCCCACAAGAACTGGTTGTTGAAAAGATCCTGTCACCTCCTCCATTCCTTCTTTCCAGCTTCCTCTCTCTCGCTATATGATCTGTGCAAACCGGCTCCCCTTCTCCTTCGGCCACGAGTGGAAGCTTTTTGAAGCCCTCACCAGTGCAGACGTTGGTGCCATGCTTCTCATACAGCCTGCAGAACCGTGAGGCAAATAAGCCTCTTTTCTCTATGTCACCCACAGTCAGGGATTCCTTTATAGCAACACCAATGGACTATGACAGAAAATACAGACTGTATATTGGAACCCCATCAGCCTGGTCACAGATGCCATCTCAGACCTCCCCAAACCCTCTGCTCATTTGGGTCTCTTCAGTCACGCTCTTTTAGCTGACTGTTTCCCCTCTGCTGGCCATACCCAAGTGTCCAGACCAAATTCAAGCCTCCTCCAGGACTTGGACTGTTGATCTCCCTCCTCCCATCAGACTGTGTCCCGATATGGCACTGTGTCTCTCCCTAAGGTGTGTACTCTCCTGAGAGACGCTTCCTTGGAACTGATGCTAAGGCACATCAGAAGGATCTCAGGGTGGAAAGGCTCCTATACAGCCGTCTGAAAACAAAAACAAAACAGAGGGGAGCTCCTATGGTTGAGGGTCAGAAGGAGACCCTACCTTCCTTCTCCTGCTATGAGTCTGACAGGGGGCGTATTCAATACTCTCCCACACCCTCAGTTCTCATGCCCCAGAGACCCCAAACATGTTTTCATTATCTCTCTTCATTATGTCTTCTGGATCTCTCTTCCCCTGTTCCTTCAATGTGCATTGTTGAGTGCTTACTGCATACTCAGTAATACTCCATTTGTCTTCTGCCCATAACCCAGGAGCCCAGAGTCCTAGTTACTGGTCTCTTTTGCGTCACCTATTACTGTTTGCTGTAGAGATGTGAGGTCCTACTCTCTTGGCTCAGTTCATTAGGGCTTCTTTCATGCTAAAGCAGGCCCACAGGACTTCCTGACCAGAAAACAAATTCTTGAGCTGCAACAGGTTTCTAACCCGATCCCTGCTTCAAAGGGTGGGTCCCTTCCACTCTGACAACCATGATCTCCTCATCCCATTCTACTTCCTGCTGCAACCCAGCCAAGCACCCTGCCTAGTGTGGTCATGTCATTCTCCTTTCTCACCTTCCTCTTGACCCCTGCTCTATTCCGTCCCAGGCTTGGTATCGTTCTCTCACCTGCCTGTAGTTGGCAGACTGTCAGGTCAACTGCCCCACCCCTCCTCAGACCATATGAAGCTATAAAGGCCCCTGCAGCTCTTTCACAACAGAGAAAGAGGCAACTACATTGCCTGGAGGAAGCCTAAGGAACCCAGGCATCCAGCTGCCCACGCCTGAGTCCAAGATTCTTCCCAGGAACACAAACGTAGGAGACCCACGCTCCTGGAAGCACCAGCCTTTATCTCTTCACCTTCAAGTCCCCTTTCTCAAGAATCCTCTGTTCTTTGCCCTCTAAAGTCTTGGTACATCTAGGACCCAGGCATCTTGCTTTCCAGCCACAAAGAGACAGATGAAGATGCAGAAAGGAAATGTTCTCCTTATGTTTGGTCTACTATTGCATTTAGAAGCTGGTGAGTGATTTTATTTAAAATCGGGTGGTCTGAGAACCTTTGAGGAGTTGGGAGAGAAATGTGACCACTACTGGGGCCAGCTCTGCTTCTCTTCCATAGAGTGAGGATCATCATTTTACTCGAATCACTTCAGCCTAACAAGGTATGTCATGCAGGAAGCAGTCAGACACAGTGGTTAAAATTGGGCTCTGGTCTCACATTGCCTACATTTGAATTATGGCTCCATCTATTAACTGTGTACTTTAGGTCAGTTGCTTCTCTGCGCCTCGATTTCTGCATCTGTAAAATGGTAACAACCTGTGTAATATGGTTGGGGTTTTAAATATTAAGAACAAGAAGAGTCGGCTGCTTTTAAAATGTCACTCTTCTGGCGGGGTGCGGTGGCTCATGCCTTTAATCCCAGCACTTTGGGAGGGTGAGGCAGGCAGGTCATTGAGGTCAGAAGTTCAAGACCAGCCTAGCTAACGTGGCAAAACCCTGTCTCTACTAAAAATACAAAAATTAGCTGAGTGTGTTGGCTTGTCCCTGTACTCCCAGCTACTCAGGAGGCTGAGGCAGGAAAATCGCTTGAACCCGGGAGGCGGAGGTTGCAGTGAGCCAAGATGGTGCCACTGCACTCCAGCCTGGGTGACGGAGTGAGACTCTGTCTCAAAAAAATAAAATAATAAAATAAGGCCAGGCTCAGTGGCTCACGCCTGTAATCTCAGCACTTTGGGAGGCCAAGGCGGGTGGATGTCTTGAGGCCAGGAGTTTCAGACCAGCCTGGCCAACATGGTGAAACTCCATCTCTACTAAAAGTACAAAAATTAGCCTGGCGGGGTGGCTTATGCCTGTAATCCTAGCTACTCAGGAGGCTGAGGCAGGAGAATCGCTTGAACGTGGGAGGCGGATGTTGCAGTGAGCTGAGATTGCTCCACTATACTCCAGCCTGGGCGGCAGAGCAAGACTCCGTCTCAAAAACAAATAAATAAATAAGCAATAAAATAAAATAAAATAAAATAAAATAAAATAAAATAAAATACCACTCTTCTATATTCTACAAACTCAATTTCTCTCCTACCCCTACACCTAATTCCTCGTCAGCTTCCCACGTACAGGCTGGGGAGGTTGAATGTCTTCATCCTTCTGGGAAATCAAGGGCAAAAATTTGACATAACCTTAACTCCAGCCAAGCCTCCAAGAAGTTAAAAGCCTTCCCTCTACCTTTAGACGTTGGTTTACAGCCCTTATTCCTGGGAGCTCTTATGTATTTGAGCTACATATAACTCGTTCTTCTCTAGCCTTGGCCATAGTGATCAAGGGCCCCTGGAACTTGAATGCATATAGTCACCTGGCTTCTTGTTGTACATGCAGACTCCTGGGCCCCATCTCAAATTCTAATTCATTTAGTCTGGAATGATTTGCTTAAGAATATTTTCAACATGCTCCCTTAAGTAATTCTGAAATAAGTGTGTTCTGAATATTATTCTGAGAAATATTTTCCAAGAAGGAAGCAATACTACTTAAGAAAAAAATTGATCAGTATATACTAGTTTCACCTAGTCCTATAATTCTTTTATAATACTTTATATCTGTATTGTATCTTGCATAGCAGAATGTGGAAAAAGGTTAGCTACCAGTGAAACTAGATGATGTAACTCTGGCATTGTGGGTGGGTGGTTGACTTAGCTTAGTCTCCACAAGTGCAGATTTAGTAGCCTGGGTTCAGTTTCCTGTTCCACCACTCACTAGCTGTGTAAACTTGGGCCAGTGTCAACTTTTTTTTATTTTTTATTTTTGAGACGGAGTTTTGCTCTTGGCACCCAGGCTGGAGTGCAATGGCTCGATCTCGACTCACCGCAACCTCTGCCTCCCGGGTTCAAGTGATTCTCCTGCCTCAGCCTCCCGAGTAGCTGGAATTAATGCCCGGCTAATTTTGTATTTTTAGTAGAGATGGGGTTTCTCCATGTTGGTCAGGCTGGTCTCGAACTCCCAACCTCAGGTGATCCGCCCACCTTGGCCTCCCAAAGTGCTGGGATTACAGGCGTGAGCCACCGTGCCCAGCCCAGTATCAACATTTTGAAGCCTCAATTTCTTCATCTCAGCTGGTGATAATAATAGCATCTATGTTATAGCACCATAGTGAGCATTAAATAAAATTATGTAATGAATTTAGCCAAGCAATAAGCAGAAAGTATATACACACAATATATATTTGTCATTATATGATTTCTTCAGCAACAAATTCCAATGAGACTAGCACCTCTGCCAACACTGGATCCAGTGTGATCTCCAGTGGAGCCAGCACAGCCACCAACTCTGGGTCCAGTGTGACCTCCAGTGGGGTCAGCACAGCCACCATCTCAGGGTCCAGCGTGACCTCCAATGGGGTCAGCATAGTCACCAACTCTGAGTTCCATACAACCTCCAGTGGGATCAGCACAGCCACCAACTCTGAGTTCAGCACAGTGTCCAGTGGGATCAGCATAGCCACCAACTCTGAGTCCAGCACAACCTCCAGTGGGGCCAGCACAGCCACCAACTCTGAGTCCAGCACACCCTCCAGTGGGGCCAGCACAGCCACCAACTCTGACTCCAGCACAACCTCCAGTGGGGCTAGCACAGCCACCAACTCTGACTCCAGCACAACCTCCAGTGAGGCCAGCACAGCCACCAACTCTGAGTCCAGCACAACCTCCAGTGGGGCCAGCACAGCCACCAACTCTGAGTCCAGCACAGTGTCCAGTAGGGCCAGCACTGCCACCAACTCTGAGTCCAGCACAACCTCCAGTGGGGCCAGCACAGCCACCAACTCTGAGTCCAGAACGACCTCCAATGGGGCTGGCACAGCCACCAACTCTGAGTCCAGCACGACCTCCAGTGGGGCCAGCACAGCCACCAACTCTGAGTCCAGCACACCCTCCAGTGGGGCCGGCACAGCCACCAACTCTGAGTCCAGCACGACCTCCAGTGGGGCCGGCACAGCCACCAACTCTGAGTCCAGCACAGTGTCCAGTGGGATCAGCACAGTCACCAATTCTGAGTCCAGCACACCCTCCAGTGGGGCCAACACAGCCACCAACTCTGAGTCCAGTACGACCTCCAGTGGGGCCAACACAGCCACCAACTCTGACTCCAGCACAACCTCCAGTGGGGCCAGCACAGCCACCAACTCTGAGTCCAGCACGACCTCCAGTGGGGCCAGCACAGCCACCAACTCTGAGTCCAGCACAACCTCCAGTGGGGCCAGCACAGCCACCAACTCTGGGTCCAGCACGACCTCCAGTGGGACCAGCACAGCCACCAACTCTGAGTCCAGCACAGTGTCCAGTGGGGCCAGCACAGCCACCACCTCTGAGTCCAGCACGACCTCCAGTGGGGCCAGCACAGCCACCAACTCTGAGTCCAGCACAGTGTCCAGTGGGGCCAGCACTGCCACCAATTCTGAGTCCAGCACAACCTCCAGTGGGGCCAACACAGCCACCAACTCTGGGTCCAGTGTGACCTCTGCAGGCTCTGGAACAGCAGCTCTGACTGGAATGCACACAACTTCCCATAGTGCATCTACTGCAGTGAGTGAGGCGAAGCCTGGTGGGTCCCTGGTGCCGTGGGAAATCTTCCTCATCACCCTGGTCTCGGTTGTGGCGGCCGTGGGGCTCTTTGCTGGGCTCTTCTTCTGTGTGGTGAGTGCCTAATATGTAAGAAAATGCCTGGGGGAAGGAGCAGCAGAAACACAAGGAAATGGGTGTGAATAGAAGGGGTCTCAAGTCAGGGGTGGGTAGGGAGGAAGGGAGATCAGGAAAGAGTAACACAGAGACATGGTAGGTCAATGCAGAGGAAGCTGCTGACCTGCGGGAAAAGGGGGCCACAGAAAGGACTGGAGAAAGGAGAACTAGGTAAAGAGTGTGGTTGGAAGTGGGAGAAGATTCCAGAAGGCGTACGTGGTAAAGGCGTGGGAGACAGGGATGCAATTCTGAAACTATTGACTCTTCTTTTTTTAGAGAAACAGCCTGTCCCTGAGAAACACCTTTAACACAGCTGTCTACCACCCTCATGGCCTCAACCATGGCCTTGGTCCAGGCCCTGGAGGGAATCATGGAGCCCCCCACAGGCCCAGGTGGAGTCCTAACTGGTTCTGGAGGAGACCAGTATCCTCGATAGCCATGGAGATGAGCGGGAGGAACAGCGGGCCCTGAGCAGCCCCGGAAGCAAGTGCCGCATTCTTCAGGAAGGAAGAGACCTGGGCACCCAAGACCTGGTTTCCTTTCATTCATCCCAGGAGACCCCTCCCAGCTTTGTTTGAGATCCTGAAAATCTTGAAGAAGGTATTCCTCACCTTTCTTGCCTTTACCAGACACTGGAAAGAGAATACTATATTGCTCATTTAGCTAAGAAATAAATACATCTCATCTAACACACACGACAAAGAGAAGCTGTGCGTGCCCCGGGGTGGGTATCTAGCTCTGAGATGAACTCAGTTATAGGAGAAAACCTCCATGCTGGACTCCATCTGGCATTCAAAATCTCCACAGTAAAATCCAAAGACCTCATTCTTATCTGTGTGTCTGCATTTTCTAATCCTTTTTGCCCCAGGCAAGGTCCCTGTATCTCTGAGACACCCCGATTGGCTGGAGAATTGACTTGGGAGAGATAAGGAGGGAGGGCGGGTGCCAGCATGCTATGGGCTCCTGCGTGAGGCCTGTGGTACACAGAGATTAGGTTGTGATACATGAAGAGCCAAGAGCAGGATGAGGTGGAGGCGTTACAACTACCTGCTCTGTGTGTGGGGGGGGAGGGGGGAGGGGGGTACGCATATTCACTTGAAGTCGAGGTTCCCAGGGCATTTCCATGTGCTCCAGGCCTGACTACCCATCAGGGTGGAGGAGCTGGTGACACTCATCTCCCTGAGTGCTCCCTGGTTTCCCAAGGGAAAGACTTTCTGGCCTGCTGAGGTCGAATCTTCCAAGAGGCTCTTGCAAAGACCCGAGATTCTCATAAATCCCCGCCCAGAAGAGCTGCACGTATCCCTTTCATGAGTCCAGGGAAGAGGGTCCTCCAGGTCTTGGAAGACAGAGGGGAGCTGCTTTAGAGGCTAAGTTGCTTTGAGCCCACAAGGTAATGGAGGGCTCCTACTTGGGACAGAGCCCTCAGCAGAGAATTAGCAGTCTGTTGGTGGGTTCACCCCAACTCACAGCAGTAGAAACTGCTCCATCTTCCACCACTTATTGGGTTTCTCCAGTGTCAGCAAACCAAAGAATTGGATCTTACCAATGCGGCTATAGGAAAACAGCCTGTTGCATGGTAAGAGTGATACCATCTTGAAGTGAAACCACCACAATGGCCATTTTTTTTTTAGATGGAGTTTTGCAGTGGTGCAATCATAGCTCATTGCAGCCTTCAATTCCTGGGCTCAGGCAATCCTCCTGCCTCAGCCTCCTGAGTAGCTGGGACTACAGTTTCGTGTGCCACCATGCCTGGCTAATTTTTAGAATTTTTTGTAGGGACAGGGCCTCACTCTGTTGCACAAGCTGGTCTTGAACTCCTGGCCTCCTTGAACTCCTCCTGCCTTGGCCTCCCAAAATGCTGAGATTACAGGTGTGAGCCACTGCACCTCGCCAGATGTCCAATGTCTGACTCCTGCATACCAAGGTGTTCTGTATCAAGGGCTTTAAAACAATGCCTGTAGCGTAATTAACCTCTCACAAAGATGCTTATCTAACCTCCCCAGCAGTCATGGGTTTCAGCAAGAAAGTCTGTGATGTGACCAGTTGCACATGTTTTCCCCTAAAAGCTTACTCTAGAAAGGATATTTTTTGGAGAGGGAGTGTGGGAATCCACCATCTTGTGGCCACCTCAGACATCACTTCTCTTTGGAAGACTCCATTAAATATTTCTCTGTGAGAAACTGGATTTGTCAGTCTCTTTCTTTGATCTCTTTTCCCCTCAAAATTTAGGGGTAGGTTTGTGTAGACCTGTTCATGGTAGAACATTTGGTGATCCCCCAGCCAGTAGCTGGGAGAACAAGGAATGGGTAAGGAGAATGAAGCATCTGTAAGGAAACCCCAGGGCGGCAGCCACGTCTGTGTAGGGTTGGATGGCACAACTGTTCGATACCTGTGTACCTCTGTGTGAGTGCAGGGATGCCTTGAAAATGCCAGGTGGCCTAGAGCAGTTATTAACTGAAAGCCGCATAGTGCACTGGGGTACGGAAGGTCGGCCAATAGCCACTGCAGAGGGTTGGGTGCTTCTTTTGGCAATGAAGATCCGGCTAGCAGCAGAAGCCAAAATTAAATGTCTAGAGAAGGAATTGCAACTAGAAAAAGACGTGTACCTCTCCATGTCTCTCCTCACATCCAACTTAGCAAACAAAATTGAAGACCAAGAGACAAAAATTGAAATGTTAGCATGTAGATTTGTCCACCTAGGGCGAAAGATATGGAAATGACCAAAAATCAGAGCTCTCATGAGAAAGCCCAACCGGGATGTGAAAACTTGGAATCCCTGGGATTGTTATGAAGAGGAAGACTGATGACATAGAAGTCACAGGTGTGGAGGGGGATGGGGATCATTGGCAAGCTCGCTGTCTCATGCAAAGGAAAGTGAAACCTAACATTGGCAGCAAAACGGGGGTCAGCTGATACAGGAGACTCTCACTGTCAGGGAACCTACCGCTGCAGAACTCTTAGAGATTGCAAAGGCCTTTAAACAACTACCGAGGAAATCCCTGGCTGCTTGGATGGTCTGATTGTGGGACACAGGGGCTGATGATATTTCCTTAACAGGAGAAGCAGAAAAAATGAGTAACATCACCACCCATGCAGCCCTGCAGAAGCATCTTTGCTAAGGCAAGGCAGACGCAAGGGAGTCATAGCTTATGGACTGGCTCATTCTAGCTATGAGGGAGGCTTGACCTAATGAGGGAAATTTACCGGGAAGGATGACCTCCTGGCAGTCAACAGAAAAGGCCCAAGGGCTTCTCCAAGAATTAGGAATGAGTCAAGTCATCTATGTTTGGGTTCTCACAGGACTTAAAACAGTTTTTTCCTGCAGGGATGAAAAATAAATTGCTGAAGGGTGCACCAGGAGAATGGCACAACCCTTGGCTCATGTTATTGAGTCCTATAAATGGGACAAGAAGTATATGATGTGGGAAGGCCAGGCACAGGGGCTCACACCTGTAATTCCAGCAATTTGAGAGGCCGAGGCAGGCGGATTACTTGAGATCGGGAGTTCGAGACCAGCCTGGACAATATGGTGAAACCCCATCTCTACTAAAAATACAAAAATTAGCTAGGTGGTGTGCCTGTAACCCCAGCTACTTGGGAGGCTGAGGTAGGAGAATTGCTTGAACTCAGGAGGCAGAAGTTGCAGTCAGCTGAGATTGGGGCACTGCACTCCAGCCTGGGCAACAGAGTGAGACCCCGTCTCAAAAAAAAAAAAAAAAAAAAAAAAAAAGGGCTGGGCACGGTGGCTCATGCCTGTAATCCCAGCACTTTGGGAGGCCGAAGTGGATGGATCACCTGAGGTCAGGAGTTCAAGACCAGCCTGGTCAACATGGTGAAATTCCTTCTCTACTAAAAATACAAAATTAGCCGGGCATGGTGACAGGCGCCTGTAATCCCAGCTACTTGGGAGGCTGAGGCAGGAGAATAGCTTGAACGTGGGAGGCGGAGGTTGCAGTGAGCCGAGATCGTGCCATTGCACTCCAGCCTGAGCAACAACAGCGAAACTTCGTCTTAAAAAAAAAAAAAAAAAGATGTATATGACGTAGGAGAAGCCATCACAGATTTGGGAGCTACTGAGAAAGCTAGGGACGGGGTGTGCTTTGTAACCCGGCAAGGGCTGACAAAGGGGAAAGATAATGCTCCACAGGAAGAAGGGGGAAAATAAGGGAAAGCGACCAACTAGAGTCAAGAACAGGCAAATGTGGCATGACTTATTGGGAGCAGAAAAATTCTGAGAAAAAAATATGTAAAAAATGTTAAAATATGGAAAATATGAAAAATGCTGTGTTAGTAGCCTTATGGAGGGAAGTACAGACTGAAGGGCTGTTTTGTCCCTTCATTTCTGCCCCTCTAGCAGAAGAGGAAGATGACTCAACCCCTCATTCTAATACTCCAGCCTATCAGAGGGGGATTCCATGCTGGGCCCAAGATTAGCAGTGGGACCAAGGTCAACCCCACGTTGCAGGTGACCAGAGGCCCCATATTGAGCTCACCATTTACTGTTCCTCTCAAAAAAATAAGGAGAAGACTATTTCCTTAGTAGATACTAGGGCAGAATATACTTTAATTCATGGAAATCCATAAATACACCCTGGTCAATGGTCTGCCATCACTGGTTATGGGGACAAACGATCTGGATGAGAAGGACTTTAATACATCTAGGTATTGGGGAAGCTCCCCTGCCCCATATGTGGTGTTTATTTTTCTTATTCCAGAAAACATTTTAGGCACAGGTATTCTGTTAGGAAAGACTTAGCAAACTTCAGTGGAAAAATTCAGATCGAAGGTGCATGTAGTGAAGACTGTTTTTTTTTTTTTTTTTCTTTTTCTTCTTTCTTTTTATTTATTTATTTATTTATTTTTTATTGATCATTCTTGGGTGTTTCTCGCAGAGGGAGATTTGGCAGGGTCATAGGACAATAATGGAGGGAAGGTCAGCAGATAAACAAGTGAACAAAGGTCTCTGGTTTTCCTAGGCAGAGGACCCTGAGGCCTTCCGCAGTGTTTGTGTCCCTGGGTACTTGAGATTAGGGAGTGGTGATGACTCTTAACGAGCATGCTGCCTTCAAGCATCTGTTTAACAAAGCACATCTTGCACCGCCCTTAATCCATTTAACCCTGAGTGGACACAGCACTCGTTTCAGAGAGCACAGGGTTGGGGGTAAGGTCACAGATCAACAGGATCCCAAGGCAGAAGAATTTTTCTTAGTACAGAACAAAATGAAAAGTCTCCCATGTATACTTCTTTCTACACAGACACAGCAACCATCCGATTTCTCAATCTTTTCCCCACCTTTCCCCCCTTTCTATTCCACAAAACCGCCATCGTCATCATGGCCCATTCTCAATGAGCTGTTGGGTACACCTCCCAGACGGGGTGGTGGCCTGGCAGAGGGGCTCCTCACTTCCCAGTAGTGGCGGCCAGTCAGAGGCGCCCCTCACCTCCCGGACGGGGCAGCTGGCCGGGCGGGGGGCTGACCCCCCCACCTCCCTCCCGGACGGGTTGGCTGCCGGGCGGAGAGGCTCCTCACTTCCCAAACGGGGTGGCTGCCGGGCGGAGGGGCTCCTCACTTCTCAGACGGGGCGGCTGCCGGGCGGAGGGGCTCCTCACTTCTCAGACGGGGCGGTTGCCAGGCAGAGGGTCTCCTCACTTCTCAGACGGGGCGGCCGGGCAGAGACGCTCCTCACCTCCCAGACGGGGTCGCGGCTGGGCAGAGGCGCTCCTCACATCCCAGACGGGGCGGCGGGGCAGAGGCGGTCCCCACATCTCAGACGATGGGTGGCCGGGCAGAGACGCTCTTCACTTCCTAGATGTGATGGCGGCCAGGAAGAGGTGTTCCTCACTTCCTAGATGGGATGGCGGCCGGGCTGAGACGCTCCTCACTTTCCAGACTGGGCAGCCAGGCAGAGGGGCTCCTCACATCCCAGACGATGGGCGGCCAGGCGGAGACGCTCCTCACTTCCCAGACGGGGTGGCGGCCGGGCAGAGGCTGCAATCTCGGCATTTTGGGAGGCCAAGGCAGGCGGCTGGGAGGTGGAGGTTGTAGCGAGCCGAGATCACGCCACTGCACTCCAGCCTGGGCACCATTGAGCACTGAGTGAACGAGACTCCCGTCTGCAATCCCGGCACCTCGGGAGGCCGAGGCTGGCGGATCACTCGCGGTTAGGAGCTGGAGACCGGCCCCGCCAACACAGCGAAACCCCATCTCCACCAAAAAAAATACGAAAACCAGTCAGGCGTGGCGGCGCGTGCCTGCAATCGCAGGCACTCCGTGAAGACTGTTCTTGAGAGAGGAAGAAAATGGGAGCCCCTACAACTTCCTGCCCCTACATGGCGTTGTCAACATTAAATGATTCATATTGTCCAGGGGGTATGCTGAAATAAGTGCAATTATTATCCTCCCAATAAGTGCAACTATTATCCACCCAGCACAAAGCCCATGAAAGAGTCTTGTCTTTTTTCGCATTCCCGTCTTTTCTTCTAGTTTTGTTATCTTGTTGGCATTATGTCAGCCGCTGAAGCTTTTACTGTGCTGCAGCCATGGCTTTTCTTTTTTTAACTTTTATTTTAAGTTCGGGGGTTCATATGCAGGTTTGTTACATAAGTAAATGTGTGTCATGGGGGTTTTTTTGTACAGGTTATTTCGTCACCCAGCTATTAAGCCTAGTACCCATTAGTTATTTTTCCTGATCCTCTCCCTCCTCCCACCCTCCACCCTCTGATAGGCCCCAGTGGGTGTTGTTCCCCTCTATGTGTCCCTGTGTTCTCATCATTTAGCTTCTACTTATAAGCGAGAACATGCGGTATTTGGTTTTCTGTTCCTGCATTAGTTTGCTAAGAATAATGGCCTCCAGCTCCATCCATGTCCCTGCAAAGGACATGATGTTGTTCTTTTTGTATGACTGCATAGTAGTCCATGATGTATATATACCACATTTTCTTTATCCAGTCTATCGCTGATGGGCATTTAGGTTGATTCCATGTCTTTGCTATTGTGAATACCACTGCAATGAACACATGCATGCATTTTTTTTTTTTTTTGAGATGGAGTTTTGCTCTTGTTGCCGAGGCTAGAGTGCAATGGTGCGATCTCAGCTCACTGCAACCTCTGCCTCCCGGGATCAAGCGATTCTCCTGCCTCAGCCACCCCAGTAGCTGGGATTACAGGCATGTGGCGCCACGCCCATATAATCTTGTATTTTTAGTAGAGACAGGGGTTTCTCCATATTGGTCAGCCTGGTCTCGAACTCCTGACCTCAGGTGATCCACCTGCCTCAGCCTCCCAAAGTGATGGGATTACAGGCATGAGCCACCGTGCCTGGCCACGTCCATGTGCTTTTATAACAGAATGATTTATATTCCTTTGGGTATATACCCAGTAATGGGATTGCTGGATCAGATGGTATCTGTCTTTAAGTCTTTGAAGAATCACCACAGTGTCTTCCACAATGACTGAACTAATTTATACTCCCACCAACAGTGTATAAGCATTCTTTTTTCTCCACAACCTCGCCAGCATCTTTTATTTTTTGACTTTTTAATAATAGCTGTTCTGACTGGCGTGAGATGATATCTTATTGTGGGTTTTTGTTTGTTTGTTTTGAGATGGAGTTTCGCTCTTATTGCCCAGGCTGGAGTGCAATGGCACAATATCATTGTGGTTTTGATATGCGTTTCTCTAATAATCAATGATGTTTAGCTTTTTAAAATATGTTTGTTGGCCACATGTATGTCTTCTTTTGGGAAGTGTCTGTTCATGTCCTTTGTCCACTTTTTGATGGAATTGTTTGCTTTTTTAAAATAAATTTGTTTAAGTTCCTTATAGATGCTGAATATGAGCCCTTTGTCAGATGCATAGTTTGCAAAAATTTTCTCCCATTCTGTAGGTTGTCTGTTTACTCTGTTGATAGTTTCTTTTGCTGTGCAGAAGCTCTTTCGTTTAGTTAAATCCCATTTTCAATTTTTCCTTTTGTTGCAATTGCTTTCAGAATCTTCGTCATGAAATTTTTGCCCATGCCTATGTCCTGAATGGTATTACCTAGGTTGTCTTCCAGGGTTTTATAGTTTTGGGTTTTACATTTAAGTCTTTAATCCATCGTGAGTTAATTTTTGTGTAAGGTGTAAAGAAGGGGTCCAGTTTGAATTGTTTGCATATGGCTAGCCTGTTATCCCAGCACCGTTTATTGAACAGGGAATTCTTTCCCCATTGTTTGCTTTCGTCAGGTTTGTTGAAGATCAGATAGTCGTGGGTGCGTGGTCTTATTTCTGTGTTTTCTATTCTGTTCCACTGGTGTATGTGTCTGTTCTTGTACCAGTACCATGTTGTTTTGGTTTGCAGTAATGTCTTATGGTATTGGGTGCTCATCTATGGAATGGAGATGGGCCATCAATCCTCAGAAGATGCAAGGCCCAGAGCCCACAGTGAAGATTTTTTGTTTGTTTGTTTTGTTTTGTTTTGTTTTGTTTTGAGACGGAGTCTCGCTCTGTCACCCAGGCTGGATTGCAATGGTGCGACCTTGTCTCACTGCCACCTCCGCCTCCTGGGTTCAAGCGATTCTCCTGCCTCAGCCTCCCGAGTAACTGGGACTACAGGCACCTGCCACCATGCCCAGCTAACTTTTGTATTTTTAGTAGAGATGGGGTTTCACCATATTGGCCAGGCTGGTCTCGAACTCCTGACCTTGTGATCCGCCCACCTTGGCCTCCCAAAGTGTTAGGATTACAGGTGTGAGCCATTGCACCCGGCCCACAGTGAAGTTTTTAGGGGTTACATGGTTGGGTAACACTCCTTTGATACTGGGTGCAATAATTGACAAAGCCCAACAATGTCAACTCCAGAAACAGTCAAAGAAATCCAAACATTTGTGGGTCTTTTGGGTTATTGGAGAGTATGCATCCCATACTTAGCACAGTTTTTGAGATCCCTATACAGACTTATCAGAGAAAGGGCACATTGGGCCTGGGACACACCACAGCAGGAAGCTTTGAACAGGCTGAAGTGTTGGTACAGCAGGCACAGGCCTTAGGCACCCCTTTGGAGGGTACAGCTAGGACTTTGGATGTTACTGCTGCTCCTGAGGATATGAGTGGGGCCTTATGGCAACCGCAGTCTAGGGAATCAGTCCTTTTAAGAAAGGAGCCAAAACCAGATACTCTCCTGTTGAACAAGAAGTGCTAGTAGTAGAGAATGCTTTACAGCAGGTGGAATTGCTAACAAAGACCCTTCCCATGACTGTGAGAATAGGTCTACCAATCAAGGGATGGTTAGAAGGATTTTTAAACAACCCACCTCCGCTGTAGCCCCAACACCTACCTTGAATAAATGGCATGATTATTTGCAACAAGGAAGAATGCTAGCAATGAGTCCCTTAAGCCCAGAATTACATACTGCATTAGGCTCTGTTATGACGTGAACAAACAAAGGATACCACCTGACCCTCTCCAACTCCAGCACCTGACATGGTAAGCATCCAGATGATGCTTGGTGTACAGAGGACTCCAGCAGGGGAAACCGCTGTTCTTGGACCGCTGTTGCTACACAGCCACAAACTGATACAATCTGGTTTGATACAGGTGGGCATCAGAGGAGCCACTGGGATGAGTTGCAAGCAGCCTGGTTAATAGTCACATATGAGCCTGGCCCCTGGTTCTTTGCACTGATAGCTGAGCTGTATTCAAAGGCCTAATTATGTGGCTGGCTCAACAGGAACTAGAAAAGTGGATGATTATGCACAAACCTATATGGGGCATGAACATGTGGCAAGACATACGGAAAAAGCCGCAAAGCCTTGTGGCTGATTTAACTGTATTTCAGGTGACTGCACATAAAAACCACTCAGTTCCACAAAACATGGAAGCTAAAACCCTAAAAAAAATTAGAAGCATCATGCCAGCTCAGGCCTCTGAACTATTGACCTGGGTACATAACAAAAGTGGTCACAGAAGTGCAAGAGTAGGCTGGGAGACAGTCAAGGAAGCAGGATTACTCTTAAAATGTAGTGACCAGGCTGGGCACGGTGGCTCATGCCTGTAATCCCAGCACTTTGGGAGGCCGAGGCGGGCAAATCACCTGAGGTTGGGAGTTCGAGACCAGCTTGACCAACATGGAGAAACCTGTCTCTACTAAAAATACAAAATTAGCTGGGCGTGGTGGCATGCACCTGTAATCCCAGCTACTCAGGAGGCTGAGGCAGGAGAACTGCTTGAACCCGGGAGGTGGAGGTTGTAGTGAGCCGAGATCACGCCATTGCACTCCAGCCAGGGCAATAAGAGCAAAACTCCGTCTCAAAAAAAAAAAAAAAAAAAAAAAAAAATATATATATATATAGTGACCTAGTCCTGGTACAGTGGCTCACACATGGGGAGGCCATGGTGGGACGATTGCTTGGGGCCAGGAGTTTGAGTCCAGCCTGGGCAACATATCGAGATCCCATCTCCACAACAACAACAAAAAATATATAGTGCCTTCCCAACAGCTCTTACAAATTGTTTACCATGTTCTCTATTGTAGATCATATTGAGCAGGACACATTCAGATATTCAGAAGGCTGTCCACCATGTAACAGATTGGCAAGTGGATTATTTAGATACTGTCCCTGTAAGCCAAGGAAATAAATACATGTTAACCTGCATGGACACCGCTACTGGACTGCTGCAAGATTCTCCCTATAAGCAAGCTAATCAAGCCAGTACTATTAAAGGCTTAGAGGCTCTCAGTACTATGTATGGATATATCTGGCACATTGACAGTGACCGAGGGACCCATTTCGCTGGATATGACATGCAGGACTGGGCCAGGAAACATGATACACTATGGCACTTTTATCTCCCATAGAACCTCCAAGCAGCAGGGTTAATTGAAAGAAATACCAGTCTGTTGAAAGCACAAATTCAAACTCTAATTTGGGAAACCTACCTTGCATAGGCAGATGAATGTGTTATCTCCAACCTTTATTTCTTTAAATTCAGCCAAAGCAGGGACGCCTGCCCCATGTGACCGTCTAGGACAACGGTCCCCCAAGCCTACCACTGTTCCCATAGGGGTAATTGAGACGACTGCTTTGCTTGCTCCCAGACCTCATTGACAACCAGTGTCTTTTGCACATGAAGATGCCAGCAGATATACTACCGAGGAGGAAACACACCGAGCTTGGAACGACAAATAGCCCCAGGCTGGATAGGCTATTTCCTGCTAGAGAGTGACAACACCCTAAATAAAGAACAAAACAACCTGATACCCAAAAACAGGCTGGGTTTATTTGGTTAATTCCGTCTTTTGGCCATGTTAGTCAACTTGCTCCTCAGTCTTGGGAACAAATGAATCATTCTAAAGATACTTGGCCAAATTGCACAAGGGATATGTGATGGATAGCAAGAGACTGATTTTTATATACTATGCTATAATATAATAAAATACTCATTGGGCATGTTACAGAACGGACACTGTGTGCAGGAATCTTTTGGTTGGCCCCAAATGGAACTTCCTGGATATGTGGTACCAATTTATGGCCTTGGTTACCCCCTGCATGTTTAGGAAGATGTTCTTTGGATTATACACGGGCACAGACTGAATAGTTCACACACTACAAAGCCTATCAATCTCCCTCATTTGAAATCCCACTGGTTCTGATCTGTTTTTTATTGGTATGATTGTTTGGCCTCCATTTGTCTTCCTCATCCGGTTATTGAAGATATTATCTGGCATATAGAAACTCTATAAAGCCTGTAATCCCTGCACTTTGGGAGGCCAAGGCAGGTGGATCAGTTGAGGTCGGGAGTTCGAGATCAGCCTGGCCAACACGGTGTAACCCCATCTCCACAAAAAATAACAAAATTAGCTGGGCGTGGTGGCGCATGCCTGTAATCCCAGTTACTTGGGAGGCTGAGGCAGGAAAATTGCTTGAACCTGGGAGGTGGAGGTTACAGTGAGCCAAGACCGTGCTACTGCACTCCTGCCCAGGTGATAGAGCGAGACTCTGACTCAAAAAATTAAAAAAACAAACTCTACAAAAAATAAAAAAAAAGAAAACTTTAAATGATAGCTGCATGGGAATCTCTCTTTTAAACATGGAAGTCACTGTCATGAGAAAGTCTGTCCTCCCAAATTACCAGGCTTTACATATACTCACGCTGCACAACGGGGCACTTGTGCAATTGGAAAAACTGCTGTGTTTATATTCCTGATGAATCAGTTAATATCGCTAAATTAATGACTGATATAAAAGCCCACATAACCAAGCTCTCAGACCCCTACTTTGAATAATTGGCTTCACAGCTGGTTTGGGTCCTGGGGCACCTGGTGGCATAAGCTGCTTCTTGGTTTAGGTGCTGTACTCGTACGTTCCTTACTGTCTTGTTTGAGCCTTTACTGCTGCTGTGTTATCTGCCTCCAGTGGAGCCAACGCACTGCTGCTAAAGCTATGCACTATCAAGGGTCCTCCCTTTAGGCCCAGGGACTATCATGGAAGAGATGAGCACGTGAAATTGTCAGGGCCAGTTTTGAGAGGTGGAGTGTAGGAATACAGCCTGTTGCACGGCAACAGGGACGCCATTTTGAAGCAAAGCTGCCATTGAGAGGTGACAGGGTGCTGGAAGTCCGCACAGCCCTTGCTCGCTCTCAGCGCCTCCTCTGCCTGGGCTCCCACTTTGGCGGCACTTGAGGAGCCCTTCAGCCCACCGCTGCACTGTGGAAGCCCCTTTCTGGGCTGGCCAAGGCCGGAGCCCACTCCCTCAGCTTGCAGGGAGGTGTGGAGGGAGAGGTGCGGAGGGAGAGGTGCGAGCGGGAACCGGGGCTGCACGCGGCGCTTGCGGGCCAGCTGGAGTTCCGGGTGGGCGTGGGCTTGGCTGGCCCTGCCGGTCCTGGGCAATGAAGGGCTTAGCACCCGGGCCAGCAGCTGCGGACGGTGTACTGGGTCCCCCAGCAGTGCCAGCCCGCCGGCGCTGCACTCGATTTCTCACCAGGCCTTAGCTGCCTTCCCGCGGGGCAGGGCTTGGGACCTGCAGCCCGCCATGCCTGAGCCTCCCACCCCCTCCATGGGCTCCTATGCGGCCCGAGCCTCCCCGACGAGTGCCACCCCCTGCTCCAGGGCGCCCAGTCCCATCGACCACCCAAGGGCTGAGGAGTGCAAGCGCACGGCGCAGGACTGGCAGGCAGCTCCACCTGCAGCCCCGGTGCGGGATCCACTGGGTGAAGCCAGCTGGGCTCCTGAGTCTGGTGGGGATGTGGAGAACCTTTATGTCTAGCTCAGGGATTGTAAATACACCAATCCGCACTCTGTATCTAGCTCAAGGTTTGTAAACACACCAATCAGCACCCTGAGTCTAGCTCAGGGTTCGTGAGTTCACCAATCGACACTCTGTATCTAGCTGCTCTGGTGGGGCCTTGAAGAACCTTCGTGTCCACACTCTGTATCTAGCTAATCTGGTGGGGACGTGGAGAACCTTTGTGTCTAGCTCAGGGATTGTAAACGCACCAATCAGCACCCTGTCAAAACAGACCACTCGGCTCTACCAATCAGCAGGATGTGGGTGGGGCCAGATAAGAGAATAAAAGCAGGCTGCCCCAGCCAGCAGTGGTAACCCGTTCTGGTCCTTTTCCTGACTGTGGAAGCTTTGTTCTTTTGCTCTTTGCAATAAATCTTGCTACTGCTCACTCTTTGGGTCCATGCTGCTTTTGTGAGCTGTAACACTCATCGTGAAGATCTGCAGCTTCATTCCTGAGCCAGCGAGACCACAAACCCACCAGAAGGAAGAAACTGTGAACACATGCGAACATCGGAAAGAACAAGCTCCAGACGCGCCACCTTAAGTGCTGTAACAGTAACCGCGAGGGTCTGCGGCTTCATTCTTGAAGTCAGTGAGACCAAGAAGCCACCAATTCTGGACACATCATGATGACCAGTGGTCCACTTTTGCATAGCAAAGTGCACTGCAGCACAGTCTTCAAACAATGCCTGCTGCATAAATAACCCTTCACAAACATGCTTCTTTAACCTCCGGAGTGGTTATGGGTTTTGGCAAGAAAGTCTGAGATGTGACCAGCTGCATATATTTTACCCTAAGACCTTGCTATAGAAAGGATGTTTTCTGGAGTGTCCATCGTCTTGCAGCTCTCCCAGACGTGGCTTCTGTTGCTTAGTCCTTGTTCAAAATTTCTTTTGGAGAAACTGGATTTGTTAGCCACTTATTTCATTCAGCCTTTGTTCCATAAAAGGGTCATACATGTAAAGTGGCTCCCAAACGCTGAAGGAGCCGAGAAACCAAAAACAAGGCAGATAGATCCAGTTTGTCAGTAAATGGTGATTTGCTGGGGAATTTACAGACAGAAGTGTAGTCTTGGGTGGCAGCAAGTCAGGTAGATCTCCACACCTGTTACCCCCAGACCCAGGGCTTACCCCGGAAAGGGTGTATACTTCCTGTAGAGACAATTAAAAGCAACCTTTCAGAACAGGCAGGAATGCTATGTGCGTCGTAGCCTGTAATTTATGCCATAATATCAAGGTTGCTTTGATCTAAAGGCAGGGGCTGGATGTGGTGGCTAATGCCTGTAATCCCAGAGCTTTGGGAGGGAGAGGAGGGAGGATTGCTTGGGGGCAGGAGTTTGAGACCAGTCTGGGAAACAAAACAACACCTCATCTCTACAAAAAAGAAAACCAAAATTAGTTGGGAGTGGTAGCATGTGCCTGTGGTCCCAGCTACTTGGGAGGCTGAGGCAGGAGGATCACTACAGCCCAGGAGTTAGAGGCTGCAGTGGGCTGAGATTGCACCACTGAACTCCAGCCTAGGTGACAGAGCAAGACCCTGTCTCTAAAAACAAAACAACAAACAAAAAACGAAGACAGGATTTACAGTAAGTACATGTCCTTACCAAGAACAGTAAATAAAGTAGGAATGAGGCCCATGTGACTCATGGGACCTGGGTTAATCAGAAGTCAACATGGCAGATTAGCATCCAAGATGGAGTCACTTTGTCTCCACAGCCTCTCAGCTCCCTCAGTCTTTGGGGGAAGGTTTGCATGCCCCTGCTCACTGAGGAACAGAGAGGCCACGCTGAGCCATATGCAGGCAATCATCATCATCTGCTCACTTAAAGGGATCCAGAAACCAGAAGGGAAAGACAAGTTGAACACCCTGAAAAGGTGCCTCCCACTGATAGGAACTGTGGAAACCCTTATGTGGAAAAGCATGAAAAGAAATAAGATCAGGCAAGGGTGTCCAGCTAGATCATTTTTTAAAAAAATAGTAAAACATGTATTTTCAAATTTTAATAGACAAATTGAAAGAGGCTGGCCATTATAGAGAATTATGCTAGTAATCCGGAAGAGCAAGCGCGAAAAATAACTCAAACAGACACAATTATACAGGAATAAAAATCACCCGGCAAATATAATACATTTGGAGGATAGATCCAGGAAGACTAACGTGCAAGTAATAAGGCTCAAAACAGAGAAAAAGAGACGAAATGGAAGAGAAGAATTAGAAGGGAAAAAAGAAGAGCTGGAATAGAGAAAAAAGATTTGAGTCTGTCTATGAAAAGCTTCACCAAGTACAACTCTGTAAATATACTAAAAAACACTGGTTTATTTATTTATTTATTTTAGACGGAGTCTTGCTCTGTCGCCCAGGCTGGAGTGCAGTGGCGTGATCTCAGCTCACTGCAACCTCCACCTTCCAGGTTCAAGTGATTCTCCTGCTTCAGCCTCCCGAGTAGCTGGGATTACAGGTGCGTGCCACCACACCCAGCTAATTTGTGTGTGTGTGTGTATTTTTAGTAGAGATGGGGTTTCACAATGTTGGCCAGGCTGGTCTCGAACTCCTGACCTCAGGTGATCCACCCACCTTGGACTCCCAAAGTGCTGGGATTACAGGCATGAGCCACTGCACCCGGCCTAAAACCACTGGTTTATATACTTTATTTTATTCTTATTATTTTTTTAAATTTGAGATGGAATCTCACTCTGTCACCGAGGCTGGAGTGCAGTGGCGCAATCTCGGCTCACTGCAACCTCTGCTTCCTAGGTTTAAGAGATTCTCCTCCCTCAGCCTCCCAAGTAGCTGGGATTATAGGCGAGTGCCACCATGCCTGGCTAATTTTTGTATTTTTAGTAGAGATGGGGTTTCACCACTGTTGACCAGGCTAGTCTTGAACTCCTAACCTCAGGTGATCCACCCATCTCAGCCTCCCAAAGTGCTGGGATTAGAGGCATGACCCACCTTGCCCAGCCAGGTTTATATACTTTAAACAGGTGAACTATATGGTATGTAAATTATAGCTCAATACAGCTCTTAAATTTTTACCAGGCACATTATGTAAATAAAAATTTTTATTTCCTGGCCGGACATGGTGGCTCACACCTGTGATCCCAGCATTCTGGGAGGCTGAGGCAGGCAGATCACTTGAGGCCAGGAGTTTGAGACCAGCCTGGCCAACATGGCAAAACCCTGTCTCTACTAAAAATACAAAAATTAGCCATGCGCGGTGGTGCGCGCCTGTAGTCCCAGCTACTTGGAAGGCTGAGGCAGGAGAATCACTTGAACCTGGGAGGTGGACGTTGCAGTGAGCTGAGATCATGTCACTGCACTCTAGCCTGGGTGACAGAGTGAGACTCTGTCTCAAATTTTAAAAAATTATTTCCAAAAATAAACAACAAATGACTCAAATGAATGGGCATTTTGAGCTAGAGGAAGGAGAAAAGGGGGGAGTCCCTGGTGAGCAATTTACCTTGTGATTGATTCACATAGTTGTGCTGTGAGTATCTCATTACTCCCAGCAACTGGGGTGTGCAGGTAGAGTTTGGAAGCATCATTACCCAGCTTTCGTCATGGAATACACCTACTCCTGTAATGTGACAAAGCCCCAGCCCACCAAGCATGCGTGACCCAAGCAAAAGTCCAGGAAGTGGACAGGGTTAAAGGGCTGCCCATCTAGACCTGTGCCTTTGCACTGTGGATTTAGCACAATGATCTTCACGTGGCATCTGTGCCCCCACATCTTGGGCGTACATAAAGACTTCCTGAAGAGTATTATGCAGGCGTGGGTTGTTTGATGGGAACCATTTTCCAGATCTTCAACTTCCGTATGTGCTTGTGGCCTAGAACTGATCTGTCTGAGGGCACCTCTGTGGTCAGGGCTACACTTTTCTGACTCTTCTTTGATGAACATCCAACATTTCCTCTGTAGCTCCCATATTATTATTACCACATTTCCGCAGGGTGTAGAACATTTCAGGGTGTCAAATAAAGCCTTTTAGTGAAGGGATACCTCAAAAACCACCTCTAATTTAGGGATCATATACCCAGAGTAGGACTTCCTGTTTTCTCCTGCCTCATATAAATTCCTGTGAAGGGCTACGTGGAGTGTAAGGAACTGGTAATTTTGGCATGTGTTAAGGTGTTATTTACGCAGATACACTGTAGAATGAAGTAACAGGAGTAATAAAAACTTCTTTTTTTCCTTTCTTTTTTTTTTAACAATCTCTTCTCTTCCATCCACTCTTTAAAAATGCATCCCTCTTGAGGGAGTATCTCATGAGATTGGAGCAAGAGCAGAATCAGCAGAAAGAATAGAGGAGGCAGTGGCTTATTTAACCAAGGAGAAAAATCCCATGGCAGCCAACCCACCTTATCTGTCTGTCTGCCTATTTTAGAATATTCAAGATTTGTCAACAACTTGCTGGGACAAAGCAATGTGCTATGAAGCACACTTCCCTGAATTGTACACCATTTTCTGTAAGGGGAAAGAGCTTCCTGTTCACTAGTTTCTTGGTTTAGGTAACAATTGTGTATTTGGCATGATTTCAAGGAGAAAGATGTTGTAAGCTCCAACTGATTAATGTTACACCTTAAGATAAAAGACACTTAGAGAGGCCATACGGCATGTCAGCTAAGAGCACAGATTGTGGAGCTCGAATTTCTGGTTTCAAATCCAATTTCATTGTGACTTTCCACAAATTCCTTAATTCTTCTGGGTCTCAGTTTCCATATTTGTAAACATGAGAGTGAAAATAGTACCCACTTCATGGGGTTATTGTGAAGGCTTAGAATAGTCCTGCATTTCGTAAGCGCTCTGTAAGTTGTGTTATTTTTAAAATGTTAGGTAAGTGGGCCAAGCGAGGTGGCTCATGCCTGTAATTTCAGCACTTTGGGAGGCGGAGGCGGGTGGATCACCTGAGGTCAGGCTTTTGAGACTAGCCTGACCAACATGGTGAAACCCCATCTCTACTAAAAATACAAAAACTAGCTGGCGTGGTGGCAGGCACCTGTAGTCCCAGCTACGTGGGAAGCTGAGGCAAGAGAATAGCTTGAACCTGGGAAGTGGAGGTTGCAGTGAGCCGAGATTGCACCACTGCACTCCAGCCTGGTCGACAGAGCGAGACTCCGTCTCAAAAAAATGAAAAATAAAAAATGTTAGGTAAGTTAATGATTCATATTTTCTTGAAAATATGGAAAGACGTATCATAAGAGAAGCATTTTTGCTTAATTCACCAAAAAGTTACTGGGGGCTATAAATTGAACACAGAGTCTTACAAGGCACAGGAAATTTTTTAGACGTTTATAAACATATCTTTTGATGCAGAGGAGTATGACAGGGTGATCAATAAAAGCTTTTCAAGCAAAAAATTATTACAGACCATATGACATCCCAGAAAAGACAAAACTATAAAGGCAGTCAAGAGTCAATGGTTGCCAGGGGTTACGAGGGTGGGGTGATGAATAGGTGGAGCACAGAGGATTCTTAGGGCGTGAAACTACTGTATATGATACTACAATGGTGGATGCCTGTCATTGTACATTTGTCAAAACCCATAGAATATACAAGAGTAAACCCTGACGTCAACGAGGTGGGGAGGTTGTGCTTGCGTAGGGGCAGGGAGTCTATGGGACCTCTGTACTTACCACTTAATTTTGCTGTGAACCCAAAACTGCTCTAAGAGATAAGGTTTATTAATTAGACATACTGTGATATATGTATAGCAGTAGAATATTTATGTTACTGGTATTTAATATGATATATGGAGAGAGACCAGTAGAATAATATGGGGAAAGTAAAATGGAACTATAAGTTCGTAGAGCAGGAGGAACCATTTAAAAACCTAGACTATTGAGGAAGAGCTTGCTTATATGTTATTCAAAAGGATAATGGAAGCTAGGTGCAGTGGCTCACGTCTGTAATCCCAGCACTTGGGGAGGCTGAGGCGGGAGGATTGCTTGAGCCCAAGAGTTCAACACCAGCCTGAGCAATATAGTGAGACCCCCCACATCTCTTAAAGTAAAATAAAATTTAAAAAAAGGATAATGATGAGTATTGAGATGCTGCTAGTGTTTAGAGTCTACTGGAAACATTTTAAAGAGTAGTAAAAACTTTTATTATTTCAATGTCTACATTTACAATATGGTAGAAATTACATTCTTTGCAATAATTAAATGTATGATAAAAAATTTAGATTAAACATAGACAGAGGAGGGAAAACAGCTTTTCAAAATTGTTTTTGAACGTATACACAACAGAAAATTTGAAGATGGGCACTCAAGCACATAGGACATTTCTACACAAATGGTGGCTCCAGATAGCTGAAGAAGCTTAAGCAGCTGTAGGAGAGATCTCCAAATCCAGGGACAGTGGCTGCCATCAGAGTGGTCCGTTTGTGGGAAAATGGGTCACAGACATAGACCATATCAGGCTATATTTCACAGAAAATCTTCTTCTTTTTGTTACTTTCTGATGAACTATATGCTATATGGAAGGTACCATTGAGACTCCTTGTGATGAAAATAACTCTACTTGAATTGGGGGTAAACTAAAATTAGAAGGGAAAGCAGACCCCTTGTCCAGCCAGGTTGAAGAAAATCTAAGCCGGTACAGGGTGAGGTTGAGAGAGATGGCAGCGAGAATCTGGAACACAGGCCTTTCCTAAATCAAACTTTCAGCACAGGTCATTCAAGGGCGAATTTCAAATCTATGCTATGTTTATAAATTGTGTACTCTACGTAATTGCCGGGTCCCTGGAATTCCCTACTCTGTGCGAAACTAATCTCTTACTCTCTAAAACAAACCCAAGTCCTAAGCCCACAACCCCTGTTTGCTCTTTCCTTCCTAGTCATCAGAACCCTCATGACTCAGACTCTCCAAGGAGGCATTTAAAAAAATGTTCTCGGACCAGTCAGCTCCACTCGAGCAACCTGCTCTTAACTCATTAATTTTCCCGACATGTCCCTTATGATGACTCGTCCATCTGTTTTTCAAATTCCACATAGCTGGGCCTCTGTAGCTTTGTGGTTTTATATTCCGCATACTTTCTAACAGTGACAGCTCCAGAATTTCTATGTCAGATGAAGTTGGGAACAGGCAGTCTGGTTGGAGGAAGATATTCAGGGGCCAGACTCAAAGTCCTGTTTGGACATGACAACCTCCTTTTATAATGGCGAAGAGCACAGGCTCTGCAGCTGGACTGATAGTTTAATTCCTGACTCCATCACTTACTAACTTTGTGAGTTTGGCCAAATTACTTGACTTCTCCATGGTTTAGTTTCCTTATTTGTAAAATGAAGACAATGGTAGTACTGTGTCTCAGAGTCGTTGGATGCCAATGCAGGATCCCAGTGACCAGATGGAACGAGAGGGAGCTCAGGAGAGACCAGCTTGAAGGGCCGAAGTCTTGTTCCCACATTGCCAGTAGGAGGCATAAATTCCCCCTCAGAGGACGTGCAGGAAAGAAGTGGAGGGGAGAGCCCTTGAAATGGGGGGAAAACAGTCCTGAGAGGGGCATTAAATTTCATATGGCCAAGTATTTACCCAAAAGAGACCTGAAACATTGTTTTCTTTTTCTTTCTTTTTTTTTTTTTTGAGACGGAGTCTCACTCTGTCACCCGGGCTGGAGTGCAGTGGTGCGATCTTGGCTCACTACAACCTCTGCCTCCCGGGTTCAAGCAATTCTCCTGCCTCAGCCTCCCAAGTAGCTGGGATTACAGGCACCCGCCACTACGCCCAGCTAATTTATTTTTATTTTTATTTTTATTAGAGATGGGGTTTCACCATGTTGATCAGGCTGGTCTCAAACTCCTAACCCGCCCACCTTGGCTTCCCAAAGTGTTGGGATTACAGGCGTGAGCCACCAAAATTTTTTTCTTTCTTATTGTTTTTAATTCTCCCCCCAAGCTTACTGAGGTAAAATAGACAAAAATTATATGTTTTCAGCGTGTACAATGTGTTGATTTGATGAGTATACATTGTGAAATAATTACCACTATCAAACTAATGAACACATCACCAACACATATTTACCATTTCTTTTCTGTGTGTGTTAGCAAATTTCAGATAGACAATACAATATTGTTAATTATAGTCTCCATGTGATTAAAGTTCCAGAACTCATTCTTCTTATAACTGAAAGTTTGTACCCTTGACTGTTGTTTTTAATCTTTAAATTGAGGCTTAAAATATATGCAGTAAAATGTGCAGAGTGGACACATAAGTGCTCAAGTCGTTGAATTTTATTTAATTCTTTAATGTATTTATTTTAAAGAAATAGAGACAGGGTCTTGCTATGTTGCCTAGACTGCTCTTGAACTCCTGGGCTCACACAATCCTCCCACCTCAGCCTCTCAAGGTGTTGGGATTACAGGCATGAGCCACCGCACCCGGCCAATTGTTGAATCTTAACACATGCATACACTCACCTACCCGCTTTCCAGATCAAGATGTGCCACATTCTTATCACCCCAGAAGCCTCCCCTGCCTCCTCCCCATCAGTGCCACCCTAGAGGTAGCCAGTATTTTGACTTTAATCATCATCAGTTGATTTTTCCATGTACTTGACTTTCATATAATTAGAACCATACAGTATGCCTTCCAAAAGAGACACTTTTAAAAGAAAATGAAATTTCATCACCAATATTTGGCAAGCTTATACCCGTATCCTCATTTCCAACCCCAGGCTTCCCTGCCATTGGTGGGAAAGAGAGTCTGGAAACTGAGTTGGGTGAGTTATAGCAAGCCAAACTACATTTTTCCTTGCATATCTGAATTACACGGGGTAAATTTCAATCAACTGCTAGTTGTGAGCCTAGAAATAGGGACGCAGGTGAGTCAGGGTCCCTGACCTATGCTTAAGAGCCATTGCCAAAGATTGACTCAGGGAAATGGGTAGTTCCGTGCCCCATCCTCTTCCCTACTCACTTCCGCTTGATACTAGAAGTGAGACTCACTCAGTGTCCACTTTCCCCACCCTTGGAGAGCTCACAGGGAGTGGAGTGTATCACTCACGTAGCCATGTGCTGCTCTGCAGCTGGGAAGGAGCACTCTGGAGAAAGCCGGGCGTGTGTCCTGATGCTCTTATCACCCTCCAAATCCCCAGCTTCCCCTAGATAGACTGCTATTGACCTTTACCATCCATTTGTTTCCTTTTCTTCTCTTCTTCCTTCTTTCTTCTACAAAGGCCTCCTGCTTTGAAAATGAGGCATACCCAGGGAAAACAGGTTTCAGGTCAGCTCTGGTTCAAAGGGTGGGTCCCTTCCACTCCGACAAGTTTGATCCCCTCATTCTGCCTCCCTCCCTGCCCCTCCTCATGTGTGCGCCCTCTGGTCTTGCCGACTCTGCTCTCTCCTCCGCCTTGATTCCTGTAGGGTACATCTCTCCAAACGGCCCTGCAGAAAGCACAGCGCAGAAATGCCCCTCCCTGGGGAGGGAGGACCCAAAGTTCTGGCCTCCCCTACTCAGTATCAGCTATAAATGCCACAGACACGTTTGCGAGGAAAAAAGAAGAAAAATAAGAAGCCAAACTGTGGAGCAATTTGGGGGCTCCCCCCAACCATGCCATCTGCCTACAAGGCTTACCCTGGCACTGGCTGGCCTTTGGGTCTTTTTGTGCAACTTTATTTTCTATCAAGGCCCAGGGGGTTTGCCCCTTGTCTCTCTGCCTCTTTGACCTATCCTTCCTTTGGAACCCAGGCATCTAAATGACAACTTCTATGTGCATCATTTAGAGATGAGAAGAGGAAATATCTCTCCTGCTTTCTGGTTCCTGTGGCTGCTTCTCTTTGGACTTCTGGGACCCAGTAAGTGACTTAGCAGTTAAGGAGGGAGAGGGGCATGGAGGCCACATAAGCCCTGAAGGAGATGGGGAATCCCCTGCCCAGGCATGACTCTTCTTCCAGAAACAATGATGATTCATTTTTTTTTTTTTTTTTTTGCCCATTTCTGCAAAAGCCAGTACTGATCCCAATTCCACTGACCATGATTCTGATGCTGTCTTAGAAGCAAATCTGTATTAGTCTCCCCCAGCTGTGGTTGTGAGCACATGTGGTGGGGCGGTGGGGCGGTGCTGGGGAAATGGAGGGGGGTGAGATTTTACTTTCCTTTGTATCTTGGATAAAAGTTTTTTTTTTTAACCGGAAAACTCTAGTTCCAATAGCATTCTTAATTCCAAATTAAAACCAGGATCTCAGTCTAAAGTCAAGTAAAAATCCTTCAATCCTTCTTTGTTTTTTTTCCATAGGTTATTTGGGTACAGGTGATATTTGGTTATGTAAGTGCTTTATTGGTGAATTGTGAGACTTTGGTGCACCCGTCACCAAGCAGTGTACACCGCACCCACCCTATCTGTAGTCTTTTATCTCTCGTGCCTCCCCCGTCCTTCCTCCCTAGTGCCCAAAGTCCACTGTATCATTCTCATGCGTTTGAGTCCTCACAGCTTAGCTCCCACCTATCAGTGAGAACATACGATGTTTGGTTTTCCATTCCTGAGTAACTTCACTTAGAATAATAGTCTACAGTCTCATCCAGGTCACTGCAAATGCCATTAATTCATTCCTTTTTATGGCTGAGTAGTATTCCATCGTATATATATGCCAGTTTCTTTATCCACCGTTGATTGATGGGCATTTGGGTTCCATGACTTTGCAATTGTGAATTGTGCTGCTATAAACATGTGTGTGCAAGTGTCTTTTTTGTATAATGACTTCTTTTCCTCTGGGTAGATACCCAGTAGTGGGATTACTGGATCAAATGGTAGATCTACTTTTAGTTCTTTAAGAAATCTCCACACTGTTTTCCATAGTGATTGTACTAGTTTACATTCCCACTAGCAGTGTAGAAGTGTTCCCTGATCACTGCATCTACGCCAACATCTACTGTTTTTTGATTTTTTGCTTCAACCCTTCTTCGGATGCTGCCTGATTCCAAATCCATGTATAATCCCCTGAGAACTTCCCTGGTAGAAACAAACCGGAGTTCGGCCACTGAGGGGTTGGCTCTGACATTGGATCAGCAATGGCTGTGAAAGGAAACAGCCCAGGGGAGAAGTGAATTGGGCTCCGTGTGACTCCAATGGGCTGTCTGAGATAGTACTGTTCACTCCAGTCTTTGATTTCTTACATCAACATATCTTCCCTAATTATGAGACACCAGGTTAATTGGCTCATCCATTCCATTGCCTTTACTGTAGGATGGCTCGTCAAGAAGTGGGAGGTGCGGTTGAAAGAGAAGGTATAGGTTGGATGATGTGGAGGATTTGGAGTGCTTCCCCCTTCTTCCTCAGTATGCATCTGTTTCCTGCACCCCACTCTGGATTCGCTCCCTCGCCCGCTTCAGCACTTCCCTCGGCGTTCTTTTTCTTCTCTTTCCCCTTGCCTTCACCCTGAATGCTTCAACTGTTCTCTACCTACCCATGCCTTCCAGATCTGCCCGTCGCCTGTCCTAATCCTGAACTCCAGTCCTATCTGTCTGATTTTAAACAAGAGTCCCCTTACCTCAGAAGAAACTGTCATTCATGTAGTCATTCAACAAACATTTATAGAGCTCCTCCTCTGGGCCAGGCACTGCTGCGTGCTAGGCCATGGTGAGGAATGGAGTGGGAAATGCCATGGTCTTGACCCCCATGGAACACTTGGTCTACTGTAAAACATAGACTTAAATAATATTTCCTAACAAAAGGGAGCAAGTGTGCAAGGGCTGAAAGGCCCCTCCTCTTTTCCTACCACTAGATCTATAAAGTAACCAACAGTGTCTCCTGTAGCCCCATTACAGTGGATTAGCAAGGACCAACTCCTCCATCTGAATGCTGGGCGCCGTCTCACCCTCCTGCCGTCTCAGGGGCTTTGCTCAGTGCATTTCTCCTTCCCCTCCCATCTCACTTTACCTTTCTTGGGTCCTTTCCATCAGCATCCAAACAAGCTCAGTTCTGTATGCACAAGTATCATCCAAGGAGACGATTAAAAACTTGGGTTTCCAGGCCCTGACACCCCACCAAGCAAGATCTTGATTCAGTAAGCTTGGTGGGATGGCGTGGGTTCTTCAGACAGTGTGATCCCAGAGGTCCCTGGACCAAACACTGAATGATGTCCATCCTAACGTCCCCGCATCACTCCTCAGCCACCACCTCTCCCTCCACTCTCCTCCTCACCCCCATTCTTTTTTTTTTTTTTGGAGATGGAGTGTGGCTCTGTCGCCCAGGCTAGAGTGCAGTGCTGCAATCTCGGCTCACTGCAACCTCTGCCTCCCAGGTTCAAGCGATTCTCCTGCCTCAGCCTCCTGAGTAGCTGGGACTACAGGCGCACACCGCCACGCCCAGCTAATTTTTTGTATTTTAGTAGAGACGGGGTTTCATTGTGTTGCCCAGGCTGGACTCGAACTCCTGAGCTCAGACAATCTACCCACCTTGGCCTCCCAAAGTGCTGGGATTACGGGTGTGAGCTACCGGGCCTGGCCCCTCACCCCCATTCTTGAAGGACTTCCCCACACTTGCTATGTCACTTCTCACCTCCCACTCACTTGTTTATTTTATTTTATTGTATTAGGTAATGGATGTAAGCAGTTCTGAAAAAGAAATACTTGTAGTCCTACAAGGCTTCTCATAAAACTTCAGCCCCTGATTCCCTTGCCCCAATTGCTTCTTATTCTGAGTCCTGCTTCCCAGGGTTCCTGTTGGCATTTACGTTCATACTGCATTTATCTATTTATTTAGAGACAAGATCTCACTCTGTCACCCAGGCGGGAATGCAGAGACACCATCATAGCTCACTGCAGCCTGGTACTCCCGGGCTCAAGGGATCCTCTCACCTCAGCTTTCCAAAGCACTGGGATTACAGGCGTGAGCCATTGCACCCGGCCATAAATTCTCTTACTACCATTACTTCTTTGTTGGTTGAGGTTTTTTGGGTTTTTTTTCCTGCTTTGGGCATGATTTATTGTCTTCCTTCTAATGAAAAGAAAGATTTAGGTTAGACCACTCCCCCTACACACTTACTGTCTCACATTCCCGCTCACAATTCTCCCCAAATGACTGTATCAAATTTTTGGTGTTAAACTAGCATTTAGTGTTTACATTATGATAACTATAAATTTTACCTCTAGTAACATTTATAACTGGGTCATATAATTGCATTGTGATGACATTATAATAAGTATAAATGACCTCTAGTAACATTTATAACTGGGTCATATAATTGCATTGTGATGACCATCCGTTCTTGTAATTTTTGTTTTTCTAGATATTAATAATAGCCTCATTTTTAAAATGTCCATAGTTTTCTTCATATATGTAATTAATTCATCCCAAAACCTCCACCAGAAGTATCCCTGTCTTTTCCAAACACATGAGGCAATCTATCAGTTTCACTTTTTTCCCTTGAGCAATCCCATTTGGAAGCCTCTGTCCAACCAGAGCAATCCCATTTAGAAGCCTCTGTCCAACCAGTACTGGTTGCTTGCTAGATCTCTTGTCCTGCAATCTGTATTCAGCAACATTCTGGAAATTCCCTTTTTTCCCTTGTAAATTCTTATCTTTTTTCTGGCTTTATTTTTCCATCTTGGAGCATCACTTTCTCTAGAAGCTTCCTGAGAGAGAGAGTTTATGGTGGGAAATTATTTTAAAACCTTATGCACTGTTAGGGTAATGCTAAGCTGCTGTAACAAGGAGATCCCGAAAGTGGCTTTGAAAAACAAGTTTATTTTTCTCCCTTGTACCAGTCCTAAGGTAAGTATTATAGGATGGTGGGAGCTCTGCTCCATGCAGTCATTCAGGGATCCTGGGTGAATATGGTTCTTCCGTCTTCAACATATGGTTTCCAGTGTCATCATCATTTCAGCCCAAGGAGAGGGAAGAAAAACAGTATTTTGTATTATTTTATGATACAGTCAGTCAAAGTGCAGCCACAAGAGGAGAGGCTTACAGGCCCTAGAGACAGGAGGCATGGCACTGCCATGCGGGACCACCTGAGAAAGACATCAAGGTAGTCAGGAGGCAGAAGACAGGAGTGAAGGAAAGATTTATGTCTTTCCTTTTATTGGGTTTCTGTGGGAAAGGCAAGGAAAGGCAGGGTGAACAGTTTAGGATTGGCTGGTTTGAATAATTCCTGTGTTCTTTGAGCTATATGGCTGATTACCACCTAGTTGCCTAGTACTTGACTTTGGAATGACTAAGGCAGATAAATATTGTTTCCTGGAGTATATGGGCCAGATAGAGGAGCTATGGCTCTGGAATGGTTAGTCTGCATATCAGCTCATGCTCCTGGCTGGACCCTTTGCTACTTTTAAGAATTGGCTAGCCCTGGAAGGTCCTGTCTCTCCCTAGCTAGAAAAGTTTGTTAAGATGTCAAAACATGATAATATACAGAAATTAAAAATATATATACAAGCAGAAATCAAGGAATAGGTATTTACTCTTAAAGAAATGAAGTGGAAATTAATATGTATTCCTTCCCTTCAGGGGCCTCTGACTAGGGCTTAGACATGTAGCCCTACCTAGCTACAAGAGAGGTTGACAAATGTAACTTAGCCATGTGCCCAGGAAGAAGAGAAAAATGGGCCCAGCTGTCCATAGACCTTATACATCTGAAAATGTCTTATTCCACCCTCACATTTGACTCATAGTTTAGCTGGTTATAGAATTCTAGGATGGATATGATTTTTCTCAGGATTTTAAAGGCGTTGATCCACTATTCCTAGATTCTAGATTGTGAAGTCTGATATTTAGATTACTGACCTCTTGTAAAAGACCCATTCTTTTTATTCTGGAGGATTTCAGATTTTTAAAACTACTGTTCTAAAATCTCATGATATGGTGTCATAGTATGGATTCTTTCATTGTGTTAGGAATTTGCACAGTAGAAAGTTGTATCAGTCAGTTCTGGGAAATTTTATTGCATTTTTTTCTTTGATAATTGCCTCTCGTCCATTTTCTCTGTTCTGTCTTTCTGAAAAAATCTTATAATTTGGATGTTTGACCTCCTGGGCTGACACTCTAATTTTCTTATATTTCTTCTTCTGTCTTCCAACTCTGTCGTTTTATTTTTCTTCTGGGGAGATTTCCTCAGCTTCTAAAGTCTTCAAATCCTTCTAGTGAATTTTGAGGTTTTTTTTTTTCAAAGAGATCTTTTTTTTCTCTACAACCATTTTTAAGATGGCATCTCTTACTTTTTTTTTTTTTTGTGGGTGCTATACTTTCTCTTATATTGCTGAGGACATTTGAAGTTGGTTTTGCTGTTTGCATTGTCTCAGTTCTCTCTGGCTTTGCTTCATAGGGATATTTGTTTTGGTCTCTATATTTCAAGCTAGAGATTTTTCTCAAATATCTGGTAATCCCAGAATGTCCTTTGCATTTGAGTGAGGCACTAATATGATGCCTGGAAGCTCTGTGAGCAGGGGTAGGGCCTGTCAACTGGTGGACTTAGCTTTAGGGTAATTTAGCAGAGACGTGGCAGTTTAGATTGGGAAGATCCTCAAAATGTCAGTATCTAGTGTTGGCTAATTTCTTTCCACAAGAAGAATTCTCCAGATCCTGTCTAGAGCATACTAGCATAGCTGCTGAAGTGCTGGAAGCTGAGCAAGGGAATAGGTAATGTGGGTTTTACATTTCAGGGTGTAAGCATTTCCTTAATTGCATAGTTTCAGTAAAACCTTTTGAGAGGTGACAGGGTGCTGGCAGCCCTCGCTCAGTCTCGGAGCCTCCTCGGCCTCGCCACCCATTCTGGCTGCGCTTGAGGGGCCCTTCAGCCCCCCGCTGCACTGTGGGAGACCCTCTCTGGGCTGGCCGAGGCCGGAGCCAGCTCCCTCAGCTTTCAGGGAGGTGTGGAGGGAGAGGCACGGGCGGGAACCCGGGCTGCCTGCGGCACTTGCGGGCCAGCACTAGTTCCAGGTGGGCGTGGCCTCGGGGGGCCCCACACTCTGAGCCTCGGGCTGGCGTGGCCAGCACAGCTGGCCCCAGGCAGTGAGGAACTTAGCACCCGGGCCAGCAGCTGCGGAGGGTGCGCCAGGTTCCCCAGCAGTGCCAGCGGGTGCTGCGCTCCAATTCTCGCCGGACCTCAGCTGCCTCCCTGAGGGGCACGGCTTGGGACCTGCAGCCCGCCATGCCTGAGCCTCCCCCACGCCGCCATGGGCTCCTGTGCAGCCAGAACCTCCCAGACGAGCGCTGCCCCTTGCTTTGCGGCACCCGGTCCCATAGACTGCCCAAGGGCTGAGGAGTACTGGCGCACGGCGTGGGACTGACGGGCAGCTCCATCTGCGGCCCAGGTGCGGGATCCACTAGGTGAGGCCAGCTGGGCTCCTGAGTGTAGTGGGGACTTGGAGAACCTTTATGTCTAGCTAAGGGATTGTAAATACACCAATCAGCACTCTGTGTCTAGCTCAAGGTTTGCAAATGCACCAATCAGCACCCTGTGTCTAGCTAATCTGGTGGGGACTCGGAGAATCTTTATGTCTAGCTAAGGGATTGTAAATACACCAATCAGCACTCTGTGTCTAGCTCAAGGTTTGTAAACACACCAGTAAGCACCCTGTGTCTAGCTAATCTGGTGGGGACTTGGAGAATCTTTATGTCTAGCTAAGGGATTGTAAATACACCAATCAGCACCCTGTGTCTCGCTCAAGGTTTGTAAACATACCAATCAGCACCCTGTGTATAGCTCAAGGTTTGTAAATGCACCAATCAGTGCTCTGTGGGGACTTGGAGAACTTTTGTGTCTAGCTCAGGGATTGTAAACACACCAATCAGCACCTTGTCAAAACAGACCAATCAGCTCTCTGTAAAACCAATCGGCGCTCTGTAAAATGGACCAATCAGTAGGATGTGGGTGCCACCAGATAAGGGAATAAAAGCAGGCTGCCCTGAGCCAGCAGTGGCAATCCGCTTGGGTACTCTTCTATAGTGTGGAAACTTTGTTCTTTCACTCTTTGTGATAAATATTGCTGCTGCTCACTCTTTGAGTCCACACTGCGTTTATGAGTTGTAACACTCACTGCGAAAATCTGCAGTTTCACTCCTGAGGCCAGTGAGATCACGAACCCACCAGAAGAAACGCCGAACACATCTGAACATCAGAAGGAACAAACTCAGGACACACCACTTGTAAGAACTGTGACACTCACGGCGAGAGTCCACGGCTTCATTGTTGAAGTCAGACCAAGAACCCACCAATTCTGGATACACTTTCACTCCTGCCTTCAGCAGTGCCTGGGATTACTGATCTAGA
The DNA here is from genome assembly GCF_000001405.40 of Homo sapiens. Lineage (NCBI taxonomy): Eukaryota > Metazoa > Chordata > Mammalia > Primates > Hominidae > Homo > Homo sapiens. Next base: position 31,018,187 of record NC_000006.12, read on the forward strand.
GTTTCTTTGGTTTCAGTATCTCCAGAGATAAAACCCTAAGCTGTTAAAAGGAAGAGAGGTGTATTCATCCAAGTGCTTGAGTGGAAGGAGTGATCTGGAGCTGAGAGACAGTTCCTAGCTACATTGTATTTCAACTATCCTTCCTGTATTTAGTCACATGCCACACCCAAATCTTTAGAGGAACCCAGTTGCAATTCCCGAATCTTTCCAGGATTCCACAGAATTAATAATCTACCAGTAGTTGACTTACTCTCACCCCCAATGGAGGCCTGTATGTTGAAGCTTTCTCTGTTGTGTTGGAGAGTTACCACTCATCTGCCTATTACCTTCAAAAAAACAAAAATATCTCCTCTGCTGTTATCTCTCCATCGTTTGTCCTTGTGGAGGTATGTGTTTTGTTATTTCTCTACTTTTTATTCTTCTATGAAATCCGTAAGCCTCCATATATACTTATTCTTTTATTCATTCCAATTGGGGTCTACCCCATCATGCAAATCTGTTTTCAATAAACTAAACTCACTTCCATATTGTCTCTGAATCCAATGGACATGGCCCAGGCCATATCTTACTTGATCTCTCTGCAAAAATCAATTCAGTTAACTGCCATATTTTTCTAGAGCCTCTCTATTCTCTTGACTTCCTTGATTCACTTTTTAGAGTTTTCTTTCTGCCTTAGTGGATGCTCCTTCTCAGTCTCATTCATTTGCGTCTCCTCCTCTATCTGAGTGATGCAGTGGCCAGAGCTTGGTCCAGCGCCCTATTCTCCAACATACTCTCCCAGACAAGCGATCTCAGTCAGCTTCATGGCTTTAAATACAATGTATATTTAAATGACTTCCAGTTTCACGTCTTTTGATCTGATTTCTCCTCTAAGAACTAAGTGCAGGTTTCCAACTGCCAACAGTCTCCTGGATATCTAATGGGCACAAAAAGTTCAAAGTCTAATATTTCCAACTTCCACTTCATCCCTATTCATTCAGATAAATAGAACTAATTTCCAACTCTGCGTAAGCCCCAAAGCTAGAAGTTGTTCTTGACTTCTTTTCGTGTCATCCACCACATGCAGCCTTTCAACACTTCCTATTGGTTCTACTTTTCTAATTTCAAAACATAGCTTGTATTCATCCACTGAAAGGTATCTCCCCTGCTACCATCCTAGTTCAAGCAATAATTACTGCTCTTAATTTTTTCACTCTTGCCCTCCTACATGCCCGTTTTCACACAGCATCTTTTAAAAACATAAATCAATTTTGTTTTCTACTTTCTCTTCCCTTCCTGAATGATTAAGCCCCAGATCATTAGGTGAGGCAGAGCAAAGCAGATATCAGGGTTGGACAGGAGGGGAGACAGCAGTGGCCCAGAGAAGGATATAAGAAACTGAACTGGGCCGGGTGCGGTGGCTCACGCCTGTAATCCTAGCACTTTGGGAGGCTGAGGTGGGCAGATCACCTGAGGTCAGGAGTTCGAGGGCAGCCTGGCCAACATGGCAAAACTCTGTTTCTACTAGAAATACAAAAATTAGCTGGGTGTGGTAGCGCATGTCTGTATTTCCAGCTACTCAGGAGGCTGAGGCAGGAGAATCCCTTGAACCCGGGAGGTGGAAGTTGCAATGAGCCGAGATAGCACCACTGCACTCCAGCCTGGGTGACAGAGCAAGAAACTAAATTGGATGAAGTGGACTTCTCCACAGAGTGGCAGCCTGGCATGTTTTGTCAGAATCTTGTGAGGGTGAGAGGGAGTATGGGGTGGAGGGAGTATGGGCTGAAAATGAATGAATAGAATACCAGTGATTTTGTGAGACAATGTTTTGTCTGCAATATGTATTATTGAAGTTCCAGAAAAAAAGGGAACCGAAAACATGTTTAAAGAAATAGTAGCTGAAAAAATTAAATTTGATGAAAACTATAAACTCACAGATCCCAAGAACTCAACAAATATCAAGCAAAATAAACTTTAAAAAATCATACCAAAGTACAACGTAATCAAATAACTAAAAATCAGTGATAAAAGGGAAATCCTAGAATGAGCTAGAAAAGACACATTGTATAGAGAGGAGCAAAGACAAGCATAACAGACTTCCTGTGAAAAACCATGACAACCAGAAGATAAAGAAGCAACATCATTAAAATACTGAAAGAAAAAAATACTTTATCAACCTAGAATTACACGGAGTAAGAATATTTTCAATATGAAGATGAAATGAAGGCTTTTCTAGACAAGCAAAAACTGGAAGACCTTGCCTCCTGGAAATTGACTTTTTTTTTTTTTTTTTTTGATACGGAGTTTCGCTCTTGTTGCCCCAGGCTGGAGCGTAATGGCACGATCTTGGCTCACTGCAACCTCTGCCTCCCGGTGAGAGGTGACAGCGTGCTGGCAGTCCTCAGAGCCCTCGCTTGCTCTCAGCACCTCCTCTGCCTGGGCTCCCACTTTGGCGGCACTTGAGGAGCCCTTCAGCCCACCGCTGCACTGTGGGAGTCCCTTTCTGGGCTGGCCGAGGCCAGAGCCGGCTCCCTCAGCTTGCAGGGAGGTGTGGAGGGAGAGGTGCGAGCGGGAACCGGGACTGTGCGCGGCGCTTGCGGGCCAGCTGCAGTTCCAGGTAGGCGTGGGCTTGGCGGCCCCGCACTCGAAGCAGCCAGCGGGCCCTGCAGGCCCCGGGCAGTGAGGGGCTTAGCACCCGGGCCAGTGGCTGCGGAGGGTGTACTAGGTCCCCCAGCAGTGCCGGCCCACTGGCGCTGCACTGGATTTCTCACTGGGCCTTAGCTGTCTTCCCATGGGGCAGGGCTGGGGACCTGCAGCCCGCCATGCCTGAGCCTCCCACCCCCTCCATGGGCTTCTGTGCGGCCGGAGCCTCCCCGATGAGCGCCGCCCCCTGCTCCAGGGCGCCCAGTCCCACCGACCGCCCACGGGCTGAGGACTGTGAGCGCATGGCGTAGGACTGGCAGGCAGCTCCACCTGCGGCCCCGGGGCGGGATCCACTGGGTGAAGCCAGCTGGGCTCCTGAGTCTGGTGAGGACGTGGAGAGTCTTTATGTCTAGCTTAGGGATTGTAAATACACCAATCAGCACCCTGTGTGTAGCTCAGGATTTGTGAGTACACCAATGGACACTCTGTATCTAGCTGCTCTGGTAGGGCCTTGGAGAACCTTTATGTCTAGCTCAGGGATTGTAAATACACCAATCGGCACTCTGTATCTAGCTCAAGGTTTGTAAACACACCAATCAGCACCCTGTGTCTAGCTCAGGGTTTGTGAGTGCACCAATCAACACTCTGTATCTAGCTGCTCTCGTGGGGCCTTGGAGAACCTTTATGTCTAGCTCAGGGATTGTAAATACACCAATCGGCACTCTGTATCTAGCTCAAGGTTTGTAAACACACCAATCAGCACCCTGTGTTTAGCTCAAAGTTTGTGAGTGCACCAATCGACACTCTGTATCTAGCTGCTCTGGAGGGGCCTTGGAGGACCTCTGTGTCCATATTCTGTATCTAACTAATCTGATGGGGACGTGGAGAACCTTTGTATGTAGCTCAGGGATTGTAAACGCACCAATCAGCACCCTGTCAAAACAGACCACTCGGCTCTACCAATCAGCAGGATGTGGGTGGGGCCAGATAAGAGAATAAAAGCAGGCTGCCCGAGCCAGCAGTGGCAACCTGCTTGGGTCGTTTTCCACACTGTGGAAACTTTGTTCTTTTGCTCTTTGCAATAGATTTTGCTACTGCTCACTTTTTGGGTCTACACTGTTTTTATGATCTGTAACACTCACCGTAAAGGTCTGCAGCTTCACTCCTGAAGCCAGCGAGCCCACGAGCCCACTGAGAGGAAGGAACAATTCCACACGCATGGGCTTAAGAGTTGCTAACACTCACTGTGAAGGTTTGCAGCTTCACTCATGAGCCAGCGAGAGCACAAACCCACCAGAAGGAAGAAACTCCGAACACATCTGAACATCAGAAGGAGCAAACTCCAGACATGCCACCTTAAGAGCTGTAACACTCACTGTGAGGGTCTGTGGCTTCATTCTTGAAGTCAGTGAGACCAAGAACCCACCAATTCCAGACACACTGGGTTCAAGCGATTTTCCTGCCTCAGCTTCTCGAGTAGCTGGGATTACAGGCATGTAATTAGCCACACCATGCCTGGCTAATTTTGTATTTTTAGTACAGATGGGGGTTCTCAATTTTGGTTAGGCTGGTATCGAACTCCTGGTGATCTGCCTGCCTCTGCTTCCCAAAATGCTGGGATTACAGGCGTGAATCGACAGGCAAGACTGACATTTTTTTTTAAATGTAAAAGTTCTTCAGGAAGAAAAAATTTAGATCTATGCAAAAAAGAATGAAGTGTGCTGGAAATGATAAATATATGGGTAAAAATAAAATTTTTTTCATTTAAATTTTAAAAGATAATATACTTGAGTAATAATGAATTATGAGGCTTATATGTAGACATAAAATGTATGACAACAGTGGTACAAGGGATAGAAAAAGGAAATGGAAGTGTACTGTGTTGAGACTCTCATGCCTTTACAGGAAGAGGAATGAGCTCACTGGGAGGTAGACAGTGATAAAGGTGTATATCGTAAATCCTAGAGCAAAGGCACACAAATAAGAATGATATTTAATAAGCTAATGGTGGAAATAAAATGGGGTCAAAAATGACTCAGGTCATGGTGCAGCGGTTTATGCCTGTAATCCTAGCCCTTTGGGAGGCTGAGGCAGGTGGATCACTTGAGGCCAGGAGTTAGAGACCAGCCTGGGCAACGTGGTGAAACCCTGTCTCTACTAAAAATACAAAAATTAGCTGGGCGTGGTGGCGCATGCCTGTGGTTCCAGCTACTCAGGAGGCCGAGGCAGGAGAATCACTTGAACCTGGGAAGTGGAATTGGCAGTGAGCTGAGATCCCATCACTGCACTCCAGCCTGAGTGACAGATCAAGACGCTCAAAAAACAAAACAAAACAAAAAACAAAATACTGGGTTAATTAAAAAAAAAAAAGGCGAAAAATGGAGGAAAAGGTAAGAAGATCAGACGAGAAAAATAGAAAACAAATATGAAGACTATTAAATTCAGGGCCAGCTACAGTGGTTCACACTTGTAATTCCAGCACTTTTTGGGGCTGAGGCAGGAAGATTACTTGAGCCCAGGAGTTCGAGACAAGCCCAGGCAACATAGGGAGACCCCATCTTTACAAGAAATAAAAATTAAAAAGTAATTAGCCAGGCATCATGACTCGTGCCTGTGATCCTAGATAGTTCGGAGGCTGAGGCAGGAGGATTTCTTGAGCTTAGAAAGTCAAGGCTGCAGTCAGCCGTGATTGTGCCACTGCATTATAGCCTGAGTGACAGAGCAAGACTCTGTCTCTAAAAAAGAATCAGACCCAACGTATTTATAATTACATTAAATGTATATGGTCCAGACACCACAATTAAAAGGCAGAGATTGACACATTGGTTAAAAAAGAAAGCCCCAAATAAATAATATTCAACCAAGAAATACATTTTAACTAACTATAACTACAAATAGGGTAAACAATAGGATAAAAATAAGAGGAAGAAAGATACGGCCATACTGTATGTTAGCCATGCTAACATCAATTTAGAAAAAAATTGAGTGACTATTTCAAAATCAGACAAAATAGGCTTAAGAAGAGGTATATTATTAGGGATAAAGAGAGACATTTCATAATTATAATCACAACACAATATTTACTAACTACAAAGGGAGAAAAACCAGCCTGGATACACCTTCTTAATCAAGTAATCCAAGAGAACATCATCAATGATGGGACACATTGATATTATCTGTCACCTGATAGTATGCAAAGAGAAGAATACAGCATCACTTCAGTGGTTTTCCTGGCAAAGATTAATAACATGAGCCTAATCATGATGAAACATTACAAAAACTCAGTTTAAGGAAAATTCTATAAAATAATTGACCTGTAATCTTCAAAGGTTAAAAGTTATGAAGATCAAAGGAAGACTGAAGAACTGCACCAGACTGAAGAAGACTAAAGAGACAGAACAACGAAAAACAACACACGATTCTGAATTGAACTGGTTTACTATTAAAGACATTATTAGAACAACTAACAAAACTTGAAAGGGATCTAAGGATCAGGTGGCAGCAATATATTCATGTGAATTTCTTGATCTTGATGGCTGTATTATGGTTGCGTATGAGAATATATAAAGTATTGAAGGATAATGAGACAGATTCAGGGAAAAGGGTTCTTTGTGTTATACTTGTTACAAAAGAATTTGTGATTTTTTTTTTCAAAATAAAAACAAAGAGAAATTAACCAGAGTATGTTATTCCAGTGGGTCTTCATTGTATTTGAGATGAAATTTAACCTTTCTACCATGGTATTTTGCTAAACTCTGAGTATACCCCTGTCAGCAAAAGAAATGTGGGCTTATGTTCTTGTAAAGAAGAGTTTAGAATATAAAGAATGTAAATACACCTTTGGGTTATGTGTTGTTAAAAAGGCAGGGGTCCTGCTTCAGAGATTATGGTTAGAAAAGGTCTCTCTACCGCCTCGTTTTCTCCTTCAGTAACTACATTCCAGCCACCCTGGTCTCCTATTTATTCATGAATCACATCGAGCTCATTAACAACTCAGGGTATTTGTACTTATGCTATCAATCTGTGATGTCCTTCTCCTGGCCTTTCAAATTGCTGCCTTCTTTTTTTTTTTTTTTTTTAAGATGGAGTTTTGCCCTTGTTGGCCAGGCTGGAGTGCAGTGGTGCAATCTTGGCTCACTGCAACCTCCGCCTTCCGGTTCAAGTGATTCTCCTGCCTCAGCCTCCTGAATAGCTGGGATTATAGGCATGCGCCACCATGCCTGGCTAATTTTGTATTTTTAGTAGAGATGGGGTTTCTCCATATTGGTCAGGCTGGTCTTGAACTCCCGGCCTCAGGTGATCCGCCTGGGATTACAGGCTTGAGCCACTGCGCCCAGCCCAAATGGCTGCCTTCTTATCCTTCAGATCTCAGTTCATATGTCAGTTCCTCAGAGAGACCTTTTCTGACTCCAGTATCTAAAGCAGCACCACTGCTTTCTTTAACAGCACTTAAGCCAATGTGTATTTATATTTTATGTTGTAGCTCTCTTCTTTACTAAATTATAAGCCCATATCCCTTTTGCTGACAGGAGTATGCCCAGAGTTTAGTAAAATACCAGGTACATGTTAAGCCCTCAATAACTGAATAAATAAATGAATAAGAAGTACTGAGTATATGTGAAAGTAACACTATACTAAACCTGCAAATTCATCTTTAACCCATTCCCACCACCTTATTTGTTCTCCACCTCAGGCTCTGAGAATACCACAGCCTTCACAAAAGGCTCCGACACCACCACAGCCTCCATCACAGGCTCTGAGACCACCATGGCCTCCACCATGGCCTCTACTTCGGCCTTAACTACAGGCTCTAAGATCACCACAGACTCTACCACAGGCTCTGAGACAACCTCAGCCTCCACCATGGCTTCTACTGCAGCCTTCACCACAGGCTCTGAGACCAACACGGCCTCCACCACAGACTCAGGGACTACTATAGCCTCCACTAGGACCTTCACCACAGGCTCTGACACAACCACAGGCTCCACTGCAGGCTCTGAAACTATCGTGGCCTCCACCACAGTCTCTGGGACCACAACAACCTTTACTATAGCCTCCACTACAGTCCCTGAGACTACCATGGCCTCCAGCACAACCTCCACTGCAGGCTCTGAGAAAACGATGGCCTCCTCCATAATTTCTGAGACCACCATGGCCTCCACCACAGGCTCTGAGACTGCCACAGTCTCTACCACAGGCTCTGAGACCACCACCACCTCCACTGCAAGCTCTGAGGCCACTAAAGTCTCTACCACAGGCTCTGAAACCACCACAGCATCTACTGCAGGTTCTGAGACCACCACTACCTCCACCTCCATGGCAGGCTCTGAGGCCACCACAACCTCAACTGCAGACTCCAAGGTGATCACGGCATCCAGCATGAGCTCTGAGACCACTGTGGCCCCCGCTGCAGGCTCTAACACCACCACAGCCTCTACCACAGGCTCTGAGACCACTACAATCCTGATTAAAGCCTCTGAGACCACCACAGCCTCTACAGCAGGTTCTGAGACCACCACCCCCTCCCCCACAGGCTCTCAGACCACCATAGTCTCTATTTCAGGTTCTGAGATCACCACCACCTCTACGGCAGGATCCGAGAACACCACAGTCTCTAGTGCAGGCTCTGGGACCACCACAGCTTCTATGGCAGGCTCTGAGACCACCGTCTCCACTGCAGGCTCTGAGACCACTACAGTCTCTATCACAGGCACTGAGACCACCATGGTCTCTGCCATGGGCTCAGAGACCACCACAAACTCTACTACAAGCTCTGAGACCACCGTCACCTCTACTGCAGGCTCTGAGACCACCACAGTCTCCACCGTGGGCTCTGAGACCACCACAGCCTATACTGCAGATTCTGAGACCACTGCAGCCTCTACCACAGGCTCTGAGATGACCACAGTCTTCACTGCAGGCTCGGAAACCATCACACCCTCTACTGCAGGCTCAGAGACCACCACAGTCTCTACTGCAGGCTCTGAGACCACTACAGTCTCCACCACAGGCTCTGAGACCACAACAGCCTCTACTGCACATTCTGAGACGACTGCAGCCTCCACCATGGGCTCTGAGACCACCAAAGTCTCAACTGCAGGCTCTGAGACCACAGTCTCCACTGCAGGCTCTGAGACCACTGCAGCCTCTACTGAAGATTCTGAAACCAACACAGCATTTACTGAAGATTCTAAGACTACCACAGCCTCTACTACAGGGTTTGAGACAACCGCAGCCTCTACTACAGGCTCTGAGCCTACCATGGCATCCACCATGGGCTCTGAGACCACTATGGCCTCTACCATAGGCCCTGAGACCACCAAGGTCTCCACTGCAAGCTCTGAGGTGACCACAGTCTTTGCTGCAGGCTCTGAGACAATCAGAGCCTCTACCGTAGGCTCTGAGACCACCACAGTCTCTACCACAGGCTCTGAGACCACCACAGCCTCCATCATGGGCTCTGAGACCAGCACAGATTCTACCACAGGCTCTGAGACCACCACAGCCTCTACTGAAGGCTCTGAGACCACCACAGCTTCCACTGAAGGCTCTGAGGCCACTACAGTCTCCACCACAGGCTCTGAGACCACTACAGTTTCTATCACAGACTCAGAGACCACCACCACCTGTACTGAAGGCTCTGAGATGACTGCAGTCTCCACCACAGTCTTTGAGACCACTACAGCCTCTACTGAAGGCTCTGAGATCACAATAGCCTCTACTTCAGACTCTGAGACCACCACAGCTTCTACTGAAGGTTCTGAGACCACTACAGTCACTACCGCAGGCTCTGAGACCAAAACAGCCTATACTACAGGCTCTGAGACCACCACAGCCTCTAATACAGGCTTGGAGACCACCACAGTCTTTACCATAGGCTCTGACACCACCACAGCCTCTACTGAAGGCTCTGAGACCACTGCAGTCTCTGCCACAGGCTCTGAGATGACCACAGTCTCTACTGAAGGCTCTGAGAACACTACAGTCTCCACCACAGGCTCTGAGACCACTACAGTTTCCACCACAGGCTTGGAGACCACCACCACTTCCACTGAAGGCTCTGAGATGACTACAGTCTCCACCACAGGTGCTGAGACCACCACAGACTCTACTGAAGGCTCTGGGACCACTGCAGCCTCCACTGCAGGCTCTGAGACCACCACAGTCTCTACTGCAGATTCTGAGAACACCACAGCATCTACTGCAGATTCTGAGACCACCTCAGCCTCTACTACAGGCTCTGAGACCACCACAGCCTCTACTACAAGCTCTGAGACCACCACAGCCTCTACTGAAGGCTCTGAGACCACTACAGTCTCCACCACAGACTCTGAGACCACCATGGTCTCTACCACAGGCTCTGAGAGGACCATCACCTCTACTGAAGGCTCTGAGACCACTACAGTATCTGCCACAGGCTCTGAGACCACAGTCTCTACTGAAGGCTCTGGGACCACTACAGTCTCCATCACAGGCTCTGAGACCACTAAAGTTTCTACCACAGGTTCAGAGACCACCACCACTTCTACTGAAGGCTCTGAGATTACTACAGCCTCCATCACAGGCTCTGAGACCACCACAGCCTCTACTGAAGGCTCCGAGACCACCACAGCCTCTACTGAAGGCTCCGAGACCACCTCAGCCTCTACTACAGGCTCTGAGACCACCACAGCCTCTACTACAAGCTCTGAGACCACCATGGCATCCATCATGGGCTCTGAGACCACTATGGCCTCTACCATAGGCTCTGAGACCACCAAGGTCTCCACTGCAAGCTCTAAAATGACCACAGTCTTCACTGAAAACTCTGAGACCACCATAGCCTCTACCACAGCCTCTGAGACCACCACAGTCTCCACTGCAGGCTCTGAGACCATCCCAGCCTCTACAGCAGGCTCTGAGACCACCACCACCACCTCTACTGAAGGCTCTGAGACCACTACAGCCTCTACTGAAGGCTCTGAGACCACCACAGCCTCTACTGAAAGCTCTGAGACCACTACAGCCACTACCATAGGCTCTGAGACCACCACAGCCTCTACTGAAGGCTCTGAGACTACCACCACCTCTACTGAAGGCTCTGAGACCACCACAGCCTCTACTGAAGGCTCTGAGATCACTACAGTTTCTACCACAGGCTCTGAGACCACCACAGCCTCTACTGAAGGCTCTGAGACCACCACAGCCTCTACTGAAGGCTCTGAGCTCACTACAGTTTCTACCACAGGCTCTGAGACCATCACAGTCTCTGCTGAAGGCTCTGAGACCACTACAGTCACTACTATGGGCTCTGAGACCACCACGGCCTCTACTGCAGGCTCAGAGACCACCACAGTCTCTACTGCAGGCTCTGAGACCACCACAGCCTCTATTGAAGGCTCTGAGACCACTACAGTCTCCTCCACAGGCTCTGAGACCACCACAGTCTCTACCACAGGCACTGAGACTACCATCACCTCTACTGAAGGTTCAGAGACCACTACAGTCACTACTGCAGGTTCTGAGACCACAGCAGTCTATACCACAGGCTCTGAGACTACCACCACCTCTACTGAAGGCTCTGAGACAACCACAGTCTCTACCACGGGCTCTGAGACCACCACAGCCTCTACCGCAGATTTGGAGACCACCACAGTCTCCACCTCAGGCTCTGGGACCACCACAGCCTCTACCGCAGGCTCTGAGACCACAACAGTCTATATCACAGGCTCTAAGACTACCACCGCCTCTACTGAAGGCTCTGAGGCCACTACAGTTTCTACCACTAGCTCTGAGACCACCACAGCCTCTACCACAGGCTCTGAGATGACTACAGTCTTTACCACAGTCTCTGAGACCACCACAGTCTCTACCATAGGCTCTGAGGCCACCACATCCTCTGCTGCAGGCTCTGAGGCCACCACCACCTCTACTGAAGGCTCTGAGACCACCACAGCCTCCACTGCAGGCTCTGAGACCACCACAGCCTCCACTGCAGGCTCTGAGACCACCACAGCCTCCACTTCAGGCTCTGAGACCAACACAGCCTGTACCACAGGTTCTGAGACCTCCACACCCTCCAGTGCAGGCTCTGAGACCAACACTGCCTTCATCATAGGCTCTGAGAGCACCATAGCTTCCACTGCAAGCTTGGAGCCCACTGCAACTTCCCTCACAGGCTCTGAGACCACCACAGTCTCTATCACAGCTTCTGGGGCCACTGCAGCCTCCACCACTGTCTCTTCCACCACGTTTGTACTCACCAAGGCCACTGACGTTTCTATCCAGCCCATCACCAACACACCTATGTCAGGTACTAACCCCCATGTCTTCTTTGAGCCCACACATTTTAACTCCAGTGGCAACCACCAGCTGTTCACCTGTTTCTATCATCTCTGCCCTGGTTCAAGTCAAGCCAGCACACAGTTAGATATAATTTCCTCTTCTAGGCTGGGCGCGGTGGCTCATGCCTGTAATCCCAGCACATTGGAAGGCTGAGGCGAGCGAATCACGAGATCAGGAGATTGAGACCATCCTGGCTAACACGGTGAAATCCAGTCTCTACTAAAAATACAAAAAATTAGCTGGGCGTGGTGGCGGGCACCTGTAGTCCCAGCTACTCGGAAGGCTGAGGCAGGAGAATGATGTGAATCCGGGAGGTGGAGCTTGCAGTGAGCAGAGATCGCGCCATTGCATTCCAGCCTGGGCGACAGAGCGAGACTCCGTCTCAAAAAAAAAAAAAAAAATGTCCTCTTCTGGAATCCTAATTGCCTCTACTCTGGTCTCACCTCTTTTTTTTTAAGTGCCCACCACTTCCATTGCAATCAGAACCACAATATAGTAAACCACAAGTGCATCATATCTGTCACATCTTCCTCCAGCAAGCCCGCCTCAACTCTACTGGCCCATCACAGTTTTGTGAAATGCTCCCACTTCGGTGCCAAGTAGATTATCTCTATTCAACCAACCATCTGTGACACTGCCACCTCCTATCAATGTATTGACTCTAGACCAGAGGCTGGCAGACCACATTTCATGGGTCAAGTCTCACCTGTTACCTGGTTTTGTAAAGTTTTACTGGAACATAGTCATGCCCATTCATTTATGGTTTGTCTCCAGCTGCTTTTCTGCTTTTCCGTGTATTTGCAACAGAGACAGCCTGGCCCAAAAGCCTAAATTATTTGCTGTTTGGACCTTTACAGAAAAAATTTGGCAACCTTTGCTCCAGTCTGAGACCAAACAATTTTGTTCATTCTCTGGCACTTGCCATCAGCAAGCCGGTTACATCTGATTCTATCCTCTTGGTTCTAAGCATACTCACTTCTATTCTCATGACTGGTGCTGTTTGTGATCCCATTTTAACCACTTCTGACCTAGGCACACCCATCGCTACCTAAGCCGCCACCACCGCCTCTGCTGTGTTGATTCGTGCTCACACCTGTCTGAGCCCACCCTCTCCTATCCCTGTGAGCAGCCTTCTCCACTTGGGTCAGGTCCTCCTACATCTGCCCAAGCACACTCACCTCACCTTTGCTGATCACCACAGTGTGGTAGATGATGTCACCTCTGTCCCAGCCACGGCCACTGGCATGCCCATGAGTGAATCCAATTCTACCATCTCCTCCTCCAGCTCCCTCCTTACACCCAGTGATCACAGTCACAAAAGAAGCAGGGCCTGCCGCTTTGTATACCAGCCCACCCACTTATTTGATCTGCTTTGATTTATTTATTTTCAATTTTTTCCATAAGTTATTGGGATGCAGGTGGTATTTGGTTATATGAATAAGTTCTTTAGTGGTGATTTGTGAGATTTTGGTGCACCCATCACCCTAGTAGTATACACTGCACCATATTTGAAGTCTTTTATCCCTCGCCCCCTCCCACTCTTCCCCCAAAGTCCCCAAAGTCCATTGCATCATTCTTATGTCTTCGTATTTCCATAGCTTAGCTCCCACATATCAGTGAGAACATACGATGTTCGGTTTTCCATTCCTGAGTTACTTCACTTAGAAGAATAGTCTAAAATCTCATCCAGGTCACTGCAAATGCTGTTAATTCATTCATTTTTATCAGCCCACCCTCTTCTATTTGGGTGGCCACTTCTGAAGTCAAATAGATCTTCCACTTCTGAACCCATCGCGATAACGTTTCCTCAAACTTCTGCCTCCTCCATCACCAACTCCACCAGGTGACACATTCTACCTCCTTCTCTGTATGACACCCACCTGCATTCTGGGGACATGGCCACAGCAGAATCGCTTTCTACCATCTCTCCTCCCCCACCACACCTCTCCTGAGCCACCTCCACCATAGGTTTGTTAGATTCACCCTCCTCTGGTCTAAGCACCCCCATTCCCCTTTAATCATCTCTGCTACAAATGCATCATCTTGTGTGACCTGTTTCATAGGCACCAGAACCACTGGAACCAGACTCACTGCCTCCAGCTCTGTCACCATGGCCCCTGGAATGGACTTCACGGCCTCTGCTGCCAGCCATACTGTGCCAGGAATAGTCTTAAACACCTCTGGCCTGGGTACATCCACTATGGGAGCATCATCTACCACCTCAGCCCACGGCGTCAGGACCACCACAGGATCCACCCGTGAGCCAACCAGCAGCACCTTCCAGGAAACAGGCCCGGTGTCCATGGGCACAAACACAGTTAGCATGAGCCACACACCCACAAACGTGATCAAACCAAGTGGATATTTACAGCCCTGGGCTATCATCCTCATTTCCCTGGCTGCAGTTGTGGCTGCTGTTGGATTGTCAGTAGGACTGAGTTTTTGTCTGGTGAGTACCCAGGGTGGGTTCATAGGGGAGCCTGGCAAGAAGGCAGGGGGGAATCATGTCAGCAGTGCTTTGGAAAAATCCAGAATGAGAAAGGGGAGTAAGTTGGTGCGCTCAGAAGGAAAGAATCACCTAGCCTGATATAAGGACCAGAGAGAATGCTTAAGTCAGAGAAAGTGAGAAGCAAAGTAGAAAAAGAGGAGGGAAAAGATGGAGTTGGGGCCAAAGTGAAGGGAAATACTGACAGAACAAGGGAAATACTGAGAGAGAACAAGGAGGACATAAACATAAAGAAAGCAAGAAGCAGCTGGGCGCAGTGGCTCACCCCTGTAATTCCAGCACTTTGGAAGGCCAAGGAGGGCGGATCACTTGAGTCCAGGCATTTGAGACCAGCCTGGCCAACATGGTGAAACTTGTCTTTACTAAAAATACAAAAATTAGTCGAGAGTGGTAGCATGGACCTGTAGTCCCAGCTACTTTGGAGGCTGAGGCACGAGAATTGCTTGAACCTGGGAGATGGAGGTTGCAGTGAGCAGAGATCGTGCCACTGCACTCCAGCCTGAGTGACAGAGCAAGATCCTGTCTCGAAAGGAAGGAAGAAAGAAAAGAAAGGTAGGAAGGAAGGAAGGAGAGAGAGAGAGAAAAAGAGAAAGAATGAGGAAGAAAGGAAGAAAGCAAGAAAGAGAAAGAAAGGAAGAAAGAAAGAAAGAAACTGAGAGAGAAAGAGAAAGAAAAAAGAAAGAAGGAAAGAAAGAGAGAGAGAAATAGAGAAAAGAAAGAAGCATAAAAATGTTCAGCCATCCAAAATGCGGGCTTCCGATTGTCTCATGTATGACAAATTTCTGGTCCTCACAGCAATTCCTTGTGTGGCCTGTGACTGTTACTCTCTGACCTCCCACTCCATCTCTGCTCTCTGGTCTTGATTGTTCTTTGAATACATATTTTTCTTACATCGATTTCACATTTATTGATGTTCTTCCTGTTTTCTTGTGATCCTGCGGGTAAGTTACCATTTGAGGAGTGAAGCAGAGTATAAATCAGTGGTGTGCTGGAGCTGGCTCATCCTGGCCCACAAGAGATTGTGCAGTTCTTCCCAATTCTGAGCTGAGTGATGTGACACTGGTAGCTTAAAATATGCTGGGTTGGAAATACTTACACCACAGCAATTGTCAAACACTACAAATCAGCACTTTTCCCTCGGAGAGCCTGTTATTAAGTGTTGGACAGCATACCACTGGTAAAAATGGACAAAATGAAAAATACGGAAGTCACAAAAGATTTGGATAATATAGTCAATTTGCTGAGGTTCTTTGTTTTAGAATTCTCAGCCTCTCTCCGTATGTGGACTACATAATAAATACCAGCATCTAAGAATTACTCCCTAAATTACTTTATTATTTCATTTGCAAGATCAAGAGAGAATAACGAAAGTGAACATTGAGTTTTTACTGCCTGCTAGGCTCAAGGCTGAATGTTTAAAATGCATAATGTTATTTAATCTGGCCTACAATCCCGTGGCCATATTATATTCATCTTACAAGTAAGGGATCTGGAGCTTCATGATCTTAGCTATTTGCCCCAGCACATGTAGTGAGTGGCAGATATAAGACTCTAACTCAGGTTAGTTGGATTCTGGAGTTCATGCCTATAATCTCAAGGCTCTGTGTAGACAGCTTTCTAGAGCTCTCAATTCCACGTACCTGTTCTGAGCTTTCTTAGCTGACTAACAAAGAGAAAGACTGTCTGTAAAGTGAGTCTCTGTGCCTTTCACATAGGGGTATGGATTTACCTTTGTCTTGGAAGTCCAAAAACACATAACCTTATGATCTGCAGAGCTAGGGCCTGAGTACGCACATAAAGATGATATGTTAATAAGGTAACAAGGAAGCTTATTTTGTCAGACGGAGAAAGAGTAAAAGAACAAGGAAAAAGAGAGACAGAGACAGAGATCATAGTAAGGATGGTGGTAAAGAGAAGAGAACATGGGCAGTTTGGAAAAGTGAAAATCTGACATTGGTGAAACAGGCATGTATGGTGATTAGGGAGAGGAGACTTAATTTTCATTTATCAATGTATTTATTTTTTTCTTTTAGAGAAACCTTTTCTTCCCCCTGAGATATTGTGGTATTTATTACCCCCATGGCCACAGCCACAGCCTTGGTCTGGACCTGAACTTGGGCCTGGGCTCTGGGACATTCCACAGCCTGGGAAATGCACTGGTTCATGGAGGAGAACTTGAAATGGGACATGGAGGAACACACGGCTTTGGATATGGAGTGGGCCATGGACTGAGCCACATCCATGGAGATGGCTACGGAGTGAATCATGGCGGGCATTATGGACATGGAGGAGGCCACTGAGGACACCATGGAGTGGATCACAGAGGGAGCCACCAAGGAGGCCACGGCAGGACAAGATGGCTGTGGCCATAGATTGGGTATCAAAACATATTATGGGTGGGAGGGGGTCATGGAGGAGAAAAAAATAATGATCATGAAATAATTAAAATGGAGCATAGGAAGCTTCCCAGGATGTGATCCATGGAGATGGACATGGACTAGGTCAAGAAAAGAACCAGCAAAAGGACCTCAGAGACTTTGACTGGCTTGGAGGGGACTTCAAGTCAAAGCTTCTGTGAGTTTTTCCTGAGTCTCAGCCTCTGTTGTGGGGAGTCACGACAACCACCCTCAGGACATCTTCTCTCCCATTTCCCGCCACATCAGGGTCAACGTTTCTCATCCCTGTGTTTCCTCATGGTGCTATAAATATTACCAAGACATGTCTAAGAAACAAAAGCACATAATGAATGTATTATCAGGGCCACACACGTATTCGTTT
This sequence comes from Homo sapiens, assembly GCF_000001405.40. Lineage (NCBI taxonomy): Eukaryota > Metazoa > Chordata > Mammalia > Primates > Hominidae > Homo > Homo sapiens. The sequence continues at coordinate 31,035,417 of NC_000006.12, forward strand.
TCCTGTTTGTTCTTTCAGGTTTTGTTTTTTTTTTTTTTTTTTGAGTGCTTATTATGTACCAATCACTATCCCAGGAGCCTTTAAATACGTCATCATTTGGCTGGGTGTGGTGGCTCACGCCTGTAATCCCAGCACTTTGGGAGGCCAATGCGGGTGGATCACTTGAGGTCAGGAGTTCGAGACCAGCCTGGCCAACATGGTGAAACCCCGTCTCTACTAAATAAATACAAAAATCAGCCAGGCGTGGTGGCGAGTGCCTATAATCCCAGCTACTCGGGATGCTGAGGCAGGAGAATCGGTTGAATCTGGGAGGTGGAGGTTGCAGTGAGGCGAGATTGTGCCACTGCACTCCAGCCTGGGCGACAGAGGAAGACTCTGTCTCAAAAAAAAAAAAAAGGTCATCATTTAATCCTCAGAAAATATCTTGGTGACCTTGAGGTAGGCAAAGATACTTAGATACTTAAGCAAGACACAAAAAGCACTAGCTATTAAAAGAAAGTGTGATGATTTGGACTTCATTAAAGCCTAGTATCAGCATATACCTTTAAGAGGTATATTCTTAACTATAAAAGGAAAGTCAAAGATGGGAGAAGATATTGCAACACATATAGCTAACAAACGACTCATATCCAGAATGCAGAAAGAGCTACAATAAGAAAAAGATGATGCAATTTTAAATTGGGCAAAATATTTGATAAATAGTTAGCAAAAGAGGATATCAAAACAGCCGGTGAACATTTGAAAAGGTACCCAATATCACTGCTTATCAGAAGTGGAATGTAAAACCGCAATGAGATACCACTACATACACACACTGTAATGACTAGCATTTGAAAGACTGCCAGTACCAAGTATTGGAAAGGACATTGAACAACTGGAACTCTCACACATTGTTAGTGGGAGTGTAAATTGATACAATTATCTTGGGAAAATGTTTGGCAATGCTAAAATTAAACACATACCCTATGACTCGGTACTTCCACTCCTGAGAGTAAATATCCAGCAGAAATGAATACCTGTGTCCACCAAAAGACATGTACCATGCCAGCTTCATTCATACCACTGCAGGGTGGAAATTTAACCCCAAAGTCCACTAACATTAGAACAGGTAAGTAAATTGTGACATATTCATGCAGTGGAATGCTACCCAGTAGTGAAAAAAAAAACCTATGAAATCACACAATAACATTAATGAATCTCATAGTCAGTGTTGAGTAAAAGAAGTCAAAACAAAAGTGTACCTACTGTATAATTCCATTCACATGCAGTTCAAGGCCATGTGACATTAACCTGTTGTAATAAAGGTCAGAGTTGAGGATGCCTTGGGGGAAAAGGCTGACCGGGAGAAGGCATGAGAAAGCCTTCTTGCAGGGGCAGACAGGGGAAGCTGAGAATGTTCTGTGTATGATCTGGGTGGTGATTACAAGGGTGTATAGATATGTAAAACTTCATTAAAATGTGCACATGAGATCTGTGCACTTTATGGTATGTAAGTTATGTCTCAATTTGAAAAATGAAAAAGATATTCTGAGGCTATTTTCTCAGCATATTATGATTTCCTTGGTCAGAGAATGTGGTTGGAGACACATGACGATAAATGAGGCATTTGGTAAGCCCAAAGACAGTGGTGCTGCAGGAAGCATTGTGTGCAAGGGAGGCAAGCAGCTATTTTCAATGAGGACAAATCACCTCTCTCTTTAGGTTGAAATAGGTCTGATATAATTAATCTGCCATTCTCTCTGGAGAATGGTGCCACATAACGGGGCCAACACTGATCTCTGCTGTTAGCAGTTGAGGCACTCAGCCATGGATTATCTGTCCAGCTTGGCCTTGGTGAGGGGAAGGCCAGCTCACTGAGCCTTGCATACGCTTCATCCCTGCCAGCCTGTCTGCTTTGTCCATGTCCCTGCTGAGCGAGCACTAGAGCAGCTGGAAAAAGAGATTGGCTGACGTCTGCAGAATGGATCGCTTGGTCAACCTCATCATGGAAGATTTCCTCTGTAGTGAACGCCCATTGGTGAACAGTCACATGGGATGCACATACTCTCACCATCTGTGCCCTTCCCAAGAGACTCGTCCACCTTCCTCTTTCCCAGACTTCCTTGTCATCAATTCACCATGTCTTTCCTCACCCTGAGTTATCTAGCCAAACTGTTAGCCACTGCCTATTGATCAGGGTTAACTGTAACTGGTCATCTCTTTGCCCAGGCAAAGTAAACAAAGCAGATGCATTCTTTACAATTCGGATCACTGGGAGAATTTTCCTTCCCCACTGTCCTGCAGGGCTGCCGTGAGTGGGGTGGTAATGCTGCAGCAGCCTGCTCTCTGTGGTGTTAGAATAGCATGCAGAACCACCCACACACCAGAGGAAACCAAATCTTTCCTTTCTCAGTCAACTAGACATAGGAAACCCTTCATGTGACTGTGATTATGGAGAGAGAGGTTAGGAATGTAGCTGGAGATGCCACTGGAGTTACAGCTGCCTACTCATGCCTCTTACTTGTGCCTTGAGGAACTAACTCAGCCAAATTCGCAGGCACCACTTCCATTCAAGGAGGTGAGCACTGCTAAGTATGCCCAGTCTAGTGTGGTGGTGCAGACAACACCCAGTTCATAAAGGGCAGCTCATGTTTCATGAACCCTCGCATGCTGAGGACCCAAGATTAAGTCAGATGCTAGGATGTGGAAGAGGGCTTGCTTTTGCTCCAAAACTCTGGGGACCTGTGCCGTGGCTCTTCTACTAGCTACCCAGTGTCTCCACACAGCTTTCTGATGTACCACAGACATTTTAGGCAACATTGGATCTAGTCAGCAATGTCTCAAGCAGCCTTATGGCCTTGCTTTGGTTCCCACTTGAAAGTGGGGAAATATGCGCAGACGGAGCCTAGAGATGAACTTTGAGTAAGATGTTATTTATGTTCTTTTTTTTTTGAGATGGAGTCTTGCTCTGTCGCCCAGGCTGGAATAGTGGCACGATCTTGGCTCACTGCAACCTCCGCCTCCCGCCTCCCGGGTTCAAGCGATTCTCCTGTCTCAACCTCTCGAGTAGGTGGAACTACAGGCGCCTGCCACCATGCCTGGCTAATTTTCGTATCTTTAGTAGAGCCAGGTTTTTACCTTGTTGGTCAGGCTGGTCTCAAACTTCTGACCTCAAGTAATCCACCTGCCTTGGCCCCACAAAGTGCTAGGATTGCCGGCATGAACCACTGTGCCCGGCCACGTCATTTATGTTCTAAGCCCCATAAGCTCCACCCTGACTTGTAGATCGCAATGATGTCTTGTATGTTACCCTAAAGGTTTGGGTGTTTTCATTTCCCCATTGCACTGTCACGATGATAAATGGCTGAGATTCCTTTTGAAAGCTAGGAGGAAGATTCGCGGCACATCCTGGTGGTGGTGGTGGATCTTGCTGCCTTCCCTTCATTTCTAGGTCTGTGAACAGGTTCGGGCCTGGGAATTAGGTGAGAGTCTGTGGCAACTCAAGTCAGCTCTCTGTTCAACCACCTGGATATTTTCACTTATATAGATCAAGTAAGATTTTAGTGGTTAATTGATTAATGATTAATTAGCCATAGCCAAAGAGCCCTGATTACAGCTCTGGTCGTGATGCCCACATCGATAATCATGCCTGTCTTGTCTCTGGAGGGAAAGCCCTACCACCTACCTACTGTTTCCTGAAGATTCCACCATGCCCACTGAAATCAGGAAGCTCATTTCAATGGTCAGATCATCCACCATTGCATTTAGCAAAGAGCTGCTACAGAGCTTTTCAACGATGCTGGTCCTCTCCCTTCTAATGCCTTGATGAAGACAGTTTCAATGGAACCTTCTGGGAGGACGTAATGAAAGAGTGAGTGAGCAAGTTGCACATATTAAATCCATTCCAACATAACTCTCTTCCTAAGTCTTTTGATTTTTTTCTTCCGCTTATACTAATGAAATACTGGGATCTCAACTTTATTTAGTGTAGGCCACCACTAAGTCCACATTTCAAGCAACCGAGAGAACTATTAGTGCAACTCACACCTACTTGAGCTAATGTTTTGAATCTAGAACATGTGATAAGTTCACCCATGTATTTGTTTTCTATCAGTGATAACTTACTACAAATGCAGCAGCTTAAACCAACACCCATTTATCAGACCACAGTTCTATGAGGCGGGTCTGGGGCCAGCATGACTGACTCCTTTGCTCAGTCTCACAGGTTAAAATGAAGGTGTTAGTTGAGCTGCATCCTCATCTGGAGGCTGGCATCTCTTTCAAGCTCACGTGGTTGTGGCAGAGTCCAGTTCCTTGTGTTTAGAGTTGAGGCCCCTGTTTCCTTGCTCACTGTCATCTATGGTTGTTTTCAGCCCCTAGATCTGACTCAACGCATGGAGCTGGAGGCCACGAGGGGCATTGTAATAGGGCCTGTGGTAGGCAGAATAACAGCCCCTCAAAAACATCCACGTTTCAATTCCCAGAACCTGGAAATATGTTACTTTATATGGCAAAAGGGACTCTGCATGCATGATCGCATTAAGGATCTTGTAATGGGGAGATTATCCTGGATTATCTGTATGGGCCCAATGTGATCACAAAGGTCCTTATAAGAGGGAGATGAGAGGCCGGGCGCAGTGACTCACACCTGTAATCTCAGCACTTAGGGAGGCTGAGGAGGGTAGATCACGAGGTCAGGAGTTCGAGACCAGCCTGGTCAAGATGATGAAACCCTGTCTCTACTAAAAATACAAAATGTAGCCGGGTGTAGTGGTGGGTGCCTGTAATCCCAGCCTCTCAGGGGGCTGAGGCAGGAGAATGGCTTGAACCCAGGAGGTGGAGGTTGCAGTGAGCCAAGATTGCACCACTGCACTCTAGCCTGGGCAACAGGGCAAGACTCAATCTCAAAAAAAAAAAAAAAAAGAGGGAGACAGGAGTCAGAGTCAGAGAGATTTGAAGATGCTGCGATGCAAGCTTTGAAGATGGAAGAAGGGGCCACAAACCAAGGAGTGCTGGAAGCCTCTAGCGGTGGAAAAGGTGAGTAAACAGATTCTTCTCTAGAGCCTCCAGAAGGACCACAGACCAGCTGACACCTTGACTTTAGCCCAGTAAAACCTATTTTAAACTTCCGATCTCCAGAACTGCAAGATAATATATTTGTGCTATCTTCAGCCTGAATTTGTGGTAATTTGTCACGCAGCAATAAGAAACTAATACAGGGCCTGAGGAAAATCTGTGTCCCCTTGCCAAGGGAGTGCTGTGAGGGCGTCACTATAGGGTCTTCAGGCAAGAGAAAGTGACTTCCTCACAGAGGGGAGGAGGGGCTACTTCTGCTGGCAAGGAAAGCTCTGCGGGATTTGGAGGTTCAAAGTTTTTCAGACTCATCAAAATCTACCCAGGTGTCTCCACTCCAATTCTGGGCTTCCGTTAACAAATATTCCAAATGTCACACACGAGACTGGCAAAGATATAAATGCAAGTTGAATATAATTCTCCAATCTGCAGAATCAAACTGTGGGTCTGGTTTTTTCATACATAGTCCCTGTGGCTTTGAGAGATAAGCATGTCTTTTAGAATATTCAGAGAAAGCTCTGTGTTCGCTGGCAATGCCTTGACTGAGGATGCAGCAGAGGGGTCATTTTTTTCCTGTAATCTCCCAGTGCAGCCACCCACAGTCCCGGCAGTCAACACTCCCAGCTTCACGATCTGTCACAGCGACCACCTGGGCTCCCGGCCCTTCCCTTCAACAATTGCTTTATTCCAGGCACCACCACAGGTGATAACTTAAGTCACTTTTTCTATCTTTTGCTGTGTAATACAAAGACTTCATTTTATACTAGCATGAGGTCGCCCCTGCCCTCAAGCCTAATGGGTCAGGGAACCAATCCCAGATTGCCACCTTTGAACGTCAATTTTCTGAAACCTCTTGTTATACCAAATACTGTAACAGTCAGAGTTCACTTATGAAAACAGAAACCACTTTGGATATTTCAAGCATAAAAGGATTTAGTACAAGAAGTAGATGTTTATAAAACCACTCGAAAAGGTGGTGTGCCGCCCATTGCTTCCCATTCTATACACAGTGATTCACGCTGGTCACACGCAGTCAGCTCTGGCGGGTGCATTTGCACCACGAGAAGTGAGTTGTTAAACATTTACCAGCACACACGCTGCAGGGGACCTAAGGAGAGTGATGGCACTGGAAAGAGGAATGCTCCTGCTTCTAATCCTCCTTGATAGAGGCGCTCCCCTTTTGTTTTTGAAGAATTTATAGAAGCTTTTCCACCGGGGAGCTTCAGCTAGGTCTTCTCATCAGTGCTGTGTGCCAGACAAGCCAGATGATCAAGGAAGTACCTACACTTTGGACACTGTCAGTTTGCCTGGGGACTGAGAGCTTACAGTCCAAGCTTGCTTCAACTCTGGCTGAGGCCAACAGAGAGAGCCCAAAGACAACTGAAGGAGCGGCAGAAAACAAATATGGGAACGGGGTAATTGGCTTCCAGTTCCTTCATTCGCAGGTCATGAAAAAAACCTGGGGCTAGACTCCATGAGAGTTTTTTTGTTTTCTGTTTTGTTTGTTTGTCTGTTTGTTTGTTTGAGACTGAGTCTCGCTCTGTCACCCAGGCTGGAGTGCAGTGGCGCGATCTCGGCTCACTACAAGCTCCGCTTCCCAGGTTCACGCCATTCTCCTGCCTCAGCCTCCCGAGTAGCTGGGACTACAGGCGCCCGCCACCACGCCCTGCTAATTGTTTTGTATTTTTCGTAGAGACAGGGTTTCACTGTGTTAGCCAGGATGGTCTCGATCTCCTGACCTTGTGATCCACCCGCCTCAGCCTCCCAAAGTGCTGGGATTACAGGCGCGAGCCACCGTGCCCGGCCTGTTTTCTGTTTTTTTGAGACAGGGTCTTGCTCTGTTGCCCAGGCCCTTGAACTATTCCACTTCCCACTCCTCCCCAGGCCCTTCCTAATGGGACTAAGTCATCCTCCACCCTCACCTACCTTCTGGCTGCTGTACCCTCCTCTCTAAGCTTGGGGATTCTGCCACTGCTCACAGCTGGAAGAACAACAGCCTACATGTCCAGGCCTTGCCCAGTCCAGATGATGCTTTAAAGGCCTTCTTCTTCTTCCTTTTTTTTTTTTTTTTTTTTTGAGATGGAGTCTCACTCTGTTGCCCAGGCTGGAGTGCAATGGCGTGGTCTCAGCTCACTGCAACCTCTGCCTCCTGGGCTCAAGCGATTCTCCCGCCTCAGCCTCCCAAGCAACTGGGACTACAGGCATGTGCCACCACACCAAGCTAATTTTTGTATTTTTAGTAGTGATGGCGTTTCACTATGTTGGCCAGGCTGGTCTCGAACTACTGACCTCGTAATCTGCCTATCTTGGCCTCCCAAAGTTCTGGGATTACAGGCATGAGCCACTGTACCCGCCCTAAAGGCCTTCTTTGAAAGAGAAAAAGAAGAGGTGGCATTCTGTGAAGGAACATCAAGGACCAGACATCCAGCTTCCCCTGCAGCCCAGGTCCCCCTAGCGGTGCTTCTCTTCAGATTGAGGACCTATTCTTTGGAGTTCCGAATTCCTAGTAGTCCAGCCCTCAGATCTCCACCTTGAGACTCCACCCTCAAGATTCTCATTTTCTGCCTTTCCCTTCTAAGGCTTAATCCCATCGGGACTAAGGGAGGAGCCTTCCCTTCCAGCCTCACACAGGCAGACTATCTCAAAAGAAAGAGAAAGCAATTTTCCCTTGCATGCTGGCTGTTTCACTTCCTTCTACTTTTAGGAAATGGTGAGTGATTTTGTTTAAAAGAGAATAATCTTGGAGTTTGAGTAGAGTTTGGGGAAAGTGTTGACAACTTCTGGGACACACACTCTGTCCTTGTTGCCCCCATTCTCTTCAAGGCAGGAGGGATGATTATTTTGCTTCTTTCTCTCCAATGCAACCCAGCATCTGTCCTCCGTTCTGTTCTCAGTGGCAACTCTTCTGCCCAGAAGATGGACCTATTTACTCTATAATACATCATTCCCAGATATAGGCGCATTAGAGTTGGAAGAGAACTTGAATTAGTGTCTGACCACCCGTAATAGGCAGGGATCTATTTCCAGCGTCTCTGACAGCAGTCATCTAGCCTCTAATTAAACACTTCATGAGACATTGCTGTTCCACACTCACGCAGATTTAATTCTCTCTAGAATCTGCCCCAGCATGGCTTTGACTCTTGTGTTTTATGCCCCTGACCAACACAAAACCAGTCTATTCCCTCTCCACAGGCCAGCTTTTCATCTCAACTTCTCACTTAGTTTCTCTCTTGGCTCTGACCCTAACCTAAGGCATCGACACACAGTTTTGGGATTCTTCCCTCAAATCTAAATTGGCAATCCTTATGTTAGTCCAGACAACACCAAGGCAAGAACATATGTGGAGGGTGAAGGGCAGCACCTACATCCAGGGAGAGAACAGGGCCATCGATGAGGAGAGGGTCTATAGGGATCTGGGAGGTCAAGGGCTTGGTTGTTAATGGGATGGAAAATCAGAACAGGGTAGAAAATAGGCATGACAGGGAAAGAAGCTCAGTCTCACCTTAACTCTAACTGATCCAACAAGAAAGCTGAGCCACTTTCCTGAATCCCAGAAGATCTTATTTCTTCAAGCTGACATGACTGATTCTTTACTAGTCCATGTGTCAAGACCATCTGGGGTCCCTTAAACCAGTGGCTCCCAAACTATTTTTTTTTTTTGAGACAGAGTCTTGCTCCGTCGCCCAGGCTGGAGTGCAGTGGCGTGCTCTCAGCTCATTGCAACCTCCACCTTCCAGGCTCAAGCGATTCTCGTGCCTCAACCTCCCGAGTAGCTGGGATTACAGGTGTGCACCACCATGCTTGTCTAATTTTTTTGTATGTGTAGTAGAGACAGGGTTTCTCCATGTTGTCCAGGCTGGTCGAGACTCCTGGCCTCAAGTGATCCTCCTGTCTTGGCCTCCCAAAGTGCTGGGATTACAGGTGTGAGCCACTGCGCCCAGCCCCAAACTTTTGTGTTCAGAAGAATTACCCGATGTAGTAAAAATGCACATCATGGTCCCCTCCCAAACCGATTCCGCTTGATTATCTGCCCCCTAGAGGAAGGGCACAATACTGTTTGGAGAGGAGCTTGATGGGCCTTCAACTTTTCTCTTACGTTCTTTAGTCGGAGAGTATCATGAATAGTTAAAAGAATAACACCATCCCCTGTAAACCCTGGTCTTGTAACTCCCCCATACCTGGGATATGGAATAATGCATGGGTTAAGGGCTTTAGGGGCTGGCTCTGGGGTCAGACTGCCTTGATTTAAATCGTTGTTCCACTACCTACTAACTGTCTGACCTGGAACTAGCTGCTTAACTTCTCTAAACCTCAATTTACCTATCTATAAAATGGGGGTAATATTAGTTTCTATCTCAAGGAGGTATTGTAAGGATTTTAGTACTAATTTATATGTGGCACTTAGCACAGTGCCTGGAATATAGTGAGCATTCTTAAATGACAGCCACTATTATTATCACTAGTATTACTCATAGTAGCGGTAGTGGTGAACAAAACCAAATTTCCAGTGGAGCCAACCAGCCACCCTTTCTTAACCAGCTGTAACTTCCAGTGAAATCACCACGATCATCCCCCCAGATTAACCCCACCTTCCAGTGGAATCACTGTGACCACCCCTCCAGGATCAACCACACCATCCAGCGAAATTACTGTGAACACTGCCCTGGACCAACCACACCTTCCAGTGGAATCACCATGACCACCCCTCCAGGATCAACCACATTATCCAGCAGAATCACCGTGACCACGCTCCCTGGACCAACCACACCTCCCAGTGGAATCACTACAACCCCCCTGCCCTGGGTCCACTATATCTTCCAGTGGAACTAACACAACAACCGCAACCTCCAGTGTCACCAGCACAAGTGCAGCCCCTCCAGGGAATGAGGGAAGGTCTAATGGATGCCTGAGGCTGTGGGAAGTCATCCTAGTCACTCTGGCCTTGGTTGCAATGGCTGTGATTCTCTTCACAGGGCTCTTTTATTTCATGAGTGCCTGATGTGTGGGAAATCCTTTTTCTGAGGGAGGGAGTGCAGGGAACTGAGGAGGGAAGCAGGGTAGAGAGAGTAGGGTCATTGTGTGGCTAATAGGGAATGAGAAATCAGGAGAGGGACAAAGCAAGACAGAGACAGCAGGTGAGAACCAGCAAGAGAGAGGGCTAGAAAAGCTGGTACATGTTCAGAGGAAATTGATGAGGAGAGAAGGGGCCAAAGGAGTACTGAGGCTGGGGAGGCCGAATGGGGAGTGGGGACACGTGGGATGGGAGAGCACTGGAAGAGGGGCATAACTCTGAACCATCCATCCTTTTGTTTTCTAGAGAAACTCTCTGTGCCTAAGAAACCTCTTCACCAAAGATCTTCACATCCCAAACCTTGGTCCATGTCCTCAAGGATATCATGGAGTCCAAGATGGGTCAAGTGAGACTGAAACGGATTTTAGAGACCAGTGTTCTCCCACAGGCATGGAGCTGATGAGGAGACACAGTGTCCCTAAAGGCAGGCACTTCACTGTCCTCAGGGTGGGGAGGACCAGCGGTCTCGGTTTTCCTCACTTGCCCCCAGGGCTGCTCCTCCCAGCTCTGCTCCAGCCCCTGACACTCCTACCTTCTGTTTAGTTCTCCCAGACCTGAAACAGGAGGCTATCGCTAGTGCTGAATGATTAAATAAGTGCATCTGCTCTATGTGACAGCCAGACTGTGGGTGTGTGCTTGTATATTGCTGTGAAGAGAGGTTTCCTATATCATGAGGACACTCTTTCGCTGTGACCTCCCAGTTCTCAAATCCTAGCATGAAATCCAGAGACCTCACATCTGTCCCATTTTCTTCCCCACTCCTTCCCTGCTCCCCGAGGCCTCTGGGTCGATGGAAGAACGGAGTCAGGAGAGATGGGGGAAGGCAGGTGCTGGTCTTTACAGACGTGTGTTGCATGGCAGGAAAACAGCCTCTGCGTGAGCCTAGAACATGAACTGGAGGAAAGTGATCCTGTTTTCATGTTGTGAGGTAGGAAAGAGCTTGCTACTGGGGCCACCCTTAGACATGGCCACTTTTCCTGGCCACTCACGTCTGCTCTGGGCTGCAGGTGTGAGTTGCCACCTTTCTCTCCTGTGGGCTCCCAGCCCAGCAACTGTCCTGGGCAGGGAGAATGTGCTCCCAGTTTTTGCAAGGGCAGGACTGGCTTGCCCTGCTACGGTCTAGATCCTCAGCAGCTCCCCCAAAACCAGGCCTCAGAGGGCACACATGCCAGTGTCAGCACCATGCTCAGGCCTGGTCCCACCCAGGCTTCTGGTGCAACTTGCTCTCGCACTCGCACACGCACCCCACTGATTCTTCCTCCCTGTGAATCACTCGCCTCTGCTTTATCAGTTTCACCCTCTGCTAAGTCTCTTCAGCTTCTGGGATTCTCCTGGGTCTTTGGGAGAGCCTTAACAGGACCAAGCTGTTTCTCTAAGAACATTTTACAATATGATGAACAAAACTGTTTTTAGGCTGGGTGCGGTGGCTCATGATGCCTGTAATCTTAGCATTTTGGGAGGCTGAGGCGGGCGGATCGCCTGAGGTCAGGAGTTCAAAACCAGCCCTGCCAACATGGCAAAACCCCGTCTCTACTAAAAATACAAAAATTAGCCGGGTGTGGTGGCACATGCCTGTAGTTTCAGCTACTCGGGAAGCTGAGGTGGGAGGATTGCTTGAACCTGGGAGGCGGAGGTTGCAGTGAGCAGAGATTGCGCTACTGCACTCCACTGTGGGCAACAGAGAAAGACTCTGTCTCCAAAACAAAACAAACAAAAAACATAACAACAACAACAAAATCTATTTTTAACAGATGCAAGAGAGTATCTACTGTACAATTTATTTGCATGAAATTCAACAATAGGCAAAACTAATCTATGGTGGCAGAGATCAGATCTCCTATGAGGGTGAGGGTTTTTAGGAAGGGGGCACTTTCTGGGTGATAGGAATGTTTTCTATATCAACTGGTCTGTTGGTTACACAGGTAAATACACTTGTCAAAACTCAGCTAACAGCTGGGTGTGGTGGCTGACGCTTGTAATTCCAGCACTTTGGGAGGCTGAGGTGAAAGGATTGCTTCAGCCCAAGAGTTTGAGACCAGCCTGGGCAACATGGCAAGACCTCATCTCTACAAAACATACAAATATTAGTCGGGTATAGTAATGCACACCTGTAGTTCTAGCTACTTGGGAGGCTGAGGTGGGATGATTGCTTGAGCCCAGGAGGTCAAGGCTGCAGTGAGCCGTGATGGTGCCACTGCACTCCAACCCGGGCAACAGAGTGAGACCCTGTCTCAAAAAAACAAAACAAAACAAGAAACCTCCACTAACTGAATTCTTAAGATCTGTGCATTTCACTTTTTGTAAATTTTACCTCAATAGGAAGAAAAAATGTATATTCGGGTTTTTTATTTTGGGATTTTTTAATTTTTATTTTTATATTAGGGTTTTAAAATAATACCTTGAAGATATTTATCAGTGTATCCATTATCTCCTCTTCAGTTTTAAGAGCCCCCAGACCTTTTCGTAAAATAATTATCATCTTTTGCACTCATTTTTTCATTCATTCATTCACCATATTTACTGGACACCTGCTTGGCATGAGGTCTCAAGGAGCTGGGGCAGCTAGGATGACCCTGTAGGTCACAGTTGGGTGAGGGAGGTACATAAGTTACAGGCCAACGCATCAAGTAGTATGAATGGAAGCACCACAGGAGGAAACATCTAACTTGATGAGGGGAGGAGAGGCTGACTCACATAGAAGGTGACATTTGGATTTTGAGGAGTTAGCAGGCATTTACGAGGAGCAGAAGAGGAAATGCCAGGCAAGCAAGCAGCTTGTGCAAGACTGGGCATGGCACGGCCAGTGAAGGTCAGAAGACCTGTGGGGCTGGAGAGCACAGCAGAGGGAGCTGGGGCTGGGGGCTAATGCGTGGCTTTGAACACCACTCCAAGGAGGCCAGATTTCATCCTTTAACAGCACAAAGCCCACAGATCACTTTAAGGTGTAGTGGGACACAATTTTTTCCCCAATAAGAACACTTCAATCAGCTGAGTGAGTAGAAAATAGAGGCTGGAAACCAGCAAAAATGGTGTTGTAATGCCCCTGCAAAGAAAGAAGCAAATAGACAAATCTAAGACCACAAAACATGGAAATGGGAAAGAAGAAAAGAAGTGGAGGCTGGGCACAGTAGCTCATGCCTGTAATCCTAACACTTTGGGAGGCCAAAGTGGGAAAACTGTTTGAGCCCAGGAGTTTGAGACCAGCCTGGGCAACAGAGTGAGGTCCTGTCTCTACAAAAAGTTAAAAAGATTAGCCAGGTGTGGTGGTGCACACCTGTAGTCCCAGCTGAGGTGGGAGGATAACTTGAGCCCAGGGGGTCAAGCCTTCACTGAGCTGTGATTGCGCCACTCACTCCAGCCTGGGTAACAGAGTGAGACCCTGTCTCAAAAAAAAAAAAAAAAAAAAAAACGAAAACGAGAAGAAATGTGAATTTCAAGAGATTTCTGCCTAGCACTTTTTTAAAAATCCCCAACTCCAGAATTTATGGTGACTTTTGTTAAAAGTCCTGTTTTAGGGAGGTCTTCATCTAACGAGCTCTAGGCAATTTTCTTAAAACTAATTCATCAAATGACTAATTCTTTGAATTTTTAAATTTTGTTTAAATCCTATTCAGTGTGATTCCCTCCTGCTGCAGGCTGGAGGCTGGGAGACAGAGGGAGACTGGGGAATGTCTTCTTGATTTATAGCATGTTTTCTAGTTAAGAAAATACTCAAGATAAATATATTTATTTATAACAATTTTCACATGAAAGACTTTATTCAAAAATATGTGCAAGAAAAAATTATTTATTCTTGACTCTGATGAATAATTGCAAATATGATTCCTATGAATAGTATATAAATTATATCTAAAACTATAAGGCTACAGACTATACGATTCCCTTCATATGACATTCTGAAAATGGCAAAATTATAGGGAAAGAAACAAGATCCATGTTGCCAGGGTTTGGGAAGTGGGAGAAGGGTTGGCTCTAAAGGAACGGCATGGGGGGAGATTGAGGAGGATGAAGGGATTCAGTGCGCCGAATATGTGACTCTACCATTTATCAAAATCCATAGAACTGTACACTACAAAAAGTGATTTTTAGGGTATGGAAATTCAGCAAATCAACCAGGATGTGGAGGGAAAGATGGAAAGCAGACTCTGACAAATGACTCATGTAAGCACAGTGAAACGGATGGAGAAGAAGGAGCTGGCCTAAGTAACTTTGAAAAACTGTTTTGAGTCAGGCATGGTGGCTCATGCCTGTAATCCTACCACTTTGGGAGGCCAAGGCAGGAGGCTTGTTTGAGTCCAGGAGCTTGAGATCAGCCTCAGCAACACAGCGAGAACCCCGCCTCTACAAAAAGTTAAAAAAATTAGCTGGGCATGATGGTGTGCCTGTAGTCCTAGCTGCTCAGGAGGCTAGGATGGAGGGATCGCTTGAGTCCAGGAGATCAAGGCTGCAGTGCTACTGCACCCCAGACTGGGTGACAGAGCAAGACCCTGTCTCAAATTTAAAAAAGAAAAAGAAAAGAAAAACTGTGTTTTGACCATAAAGCTAAAGACAAAAAAAAAAAAAAATACAGAAACACTGTACTGTAGTTGGTAAATGTGTTTCTGGCAAGGGTATGAATTAGCAGTTCTGAAACCACTATTTGTTTATTAGGGTTGAAAAAATAAGTAAAAAAATATGTTTATAGACATTCGTAGCCATGTCAGAGAAAGGAGTTACAAATAAAGAAAAGGGAGAGACTAGAATGAACCCCATGTTGCTGGATTAAAGCTGGAGGTGTCAAAATGCACCCATGCTTGTGTTTAAAACACAGGTTGAGCAACCCTCATCTGAAAATCCAAAATGCTCCAAAATCCAAAACTTGCTGAGCACCAACATGACACCACAAGTCAACATACACAAACTTTGTTTCATGCACAAAATTATTTAAAATATCACGTAAAGTTACCTTCAGGCTACATGTATAAGATATATATAAAACATAAACAAATTTCATGTTTAGACTTGGGTCTCATCCACAAGATATCTCATTGTGTATATACAAATATTTCGAAATCCAAGAAATTGAAAATCCAAAACACTTACGGTCTCAAACATTTCAGATAAGGGATTCAATCTGTATATGCAGACAGGTAATTGCAGAAATAAATACAGACCTGTGTTTATGCATGAGTTAGTTTACATACATACGTTTCCTAGCTCTAACTTCCGTGGGGGCAAGAAGCAGTGACACCCACTATGAATGAGCACACCTAGTACCCAAATCTTGGTTTCTAAATATTATTCTCTAATACAAAGAGGAGCCAGAGCTCTGTGGAGAAATAGTTGATTCCAGGGCCTGGATGGACAAAATAAAAAATGAGCATGAAGCATCTTGTAATACCAGAATGCAAGAAAGTGTTTTAAAAAGGGATGGAGAGGGCCATGCACAGTGTCTCATGCCTGTAATCCCAGCACTTTGGGAGGCCCAGGCCTGGGGATCACCTGAGGTTCGTGAGTTGGAGACCAGCCTGACCAACTTGGAGAAAACTCTCCCTACTAAAATAATACAGAATTAGTTGGGCATGGTGGTGCATGCCTGTAATCCCAGCTACTTGGGAGGCTGAGGCAGGAGAATCACTTGAACCCAGGAAGCAGAGGTTGCAGTGAGCCGAGATTGCACCATTGCGCTCCAGTCTAGGCAACGAGAACGAAATTCCATCTCACACAAAAAAAACAAAAAAACAAAATACCACGGATGGAGAGGCTGGGCACAGTGGCTTGAGCCTGTAATCCCAGCACTTTGGGAGGCCAAGACAAGTGGATTGCTTGAGCCCAGGAGTTTAAGACCAGCCTGAGCAATATGACAAAACTTTGTCTCTACAAAAAAAAAAAAAGTTAGCTGGGTGTGGTGGCGCACACCTGTTGTCCCAGCTACTTGGAAGGCTGTGGTGGGAGGATTAGTTGAGCTCAGGATACGGAGATTACAGTGAGCCAATATTGCACCACTGCACTCTAGCATGGGCAACAAAGTGAGACCCTGTCTCAAAAAACAAAACAAAATAGCAATGGAGATATCAGCTGGGTGTGCTGGTGCATGCCTGTAGTCCTAGCTACTTGTAGGAGGCTGAGGCAGGAGGATCCCTTGAGCCCAGGAGTTTGAGGCTGTATGATGATGCCACTGCAATTCAGCCTAGGAAACGCAGTGAAGTCTTGTCTCATAAATAAAACAAAACAAAAAAAGGATGGAGGACATTAAAACGGCACTGGAGCCCATCTGAAAGAGCTCCCAGTGGCCAAAGTTTGAGCAACAAAATAAATAGTGATAGTATTGGATCATAACTCACAGAACAAAATAAACATTTATGAGTCCATTCTGATATAAACAAATAGTTGAATAAATAAAATGGGGAGAGGGCACGACTTTTTCTTACAGAAGAATTTCAATTAATAAATGTAGAAGGAATCTAATCTATCACCATTAGGATTACACACCTGTAATCCCGGGTGCTCGGGAGGCTGAGGCAGGAGAATTACTTGAACCTGGGAGGGGAAGGTTGCTGTGGGCTGAGATCGTGCCATTGCACTCCAGCCTGGGCAGCAAGAGTGAAACTCTGTCTCAAAAAAATATATATAGTATTGTACCAACAATAACTTCTTAGCTTCTATAATTGTATATATAATCTCTCAGTTTCTATAATTGTACTATGTAAGATATTGACATGAGGAAAAGCTAGGGGAAAAATATACGGGAACTCTGTTAATTATTTTTGTAATTCTCTGTAAGTCTAAAATTATCTCAAAATGAAGTTTTAAAAATTCTAAAACAAAGCCAAACCAAAAAAATTCTATTGACCTGTACATGAAAAAGGGTGAATTTTATCATATGCAAATTATACCTCTTGACTTAGAAAATCAGATATTTTCCTTACTATACTCTTTTGAAATCTATTCATTAGTTATACTAAATACATACAAATTCTTTTGAGTGTGTTTAAATACTATGTTTGAAAATGTTGCTGGGTGATGTGGCTCACACCTGTAATCCCAGCACTTTGGGAGGCTGATGAGGGAGGATCTCTTGAGCTCAGGAGTTCGAGACCAGCCTGGGCAACATAGTGAGACCTTGTCTCTACTAAAAATAAAAAAACAATCAGCTGGGCATGGTGGTGCATGCATATAGTCCCAGCTACTCCGGAGGCTGAGGTGGAAGGATCACTTGAGCCTGGGAGATCGAGGCTGCAGTGAGCCGTGATAGCACCACTGCACTCCAACCTGGGCAATACAGCAAGACCCTGTCAAAAAGAAAGAAAGAGAGAGAAAGAGAAAGAGAAAGAAGGAAAGAAAGAAAGAAAGAAAGAAAGAAAGAAAGAAAGAAAGAAAGAAAGGAAGGAAGGAAGGAAGGAAAAGAGAAAATATTTAATACATTCAAATAATACTAGTAGTTAACATAGTCAGTTACATGTGGTAAACTAGCCATTCATTAAATTGATTTTCAGGAAATCAGCTGCCTTCTAAGAGAGGAACAATTCCCGGCCCACCTGCAATTTCACACTCCTCTTTTAGTTAGAAGGACACTGGGAAAGAGAGAGGCCCCACAAATGGTGAGAGACATCTCTGAATGAAGATGGGAACCAACAATGATCTTCTAAAGAGTGGGCAAGGCAGGGATAAGGGTCAGAGAAGGAGGAAAAGATGTGGGTATTCTCATTCAGGCCTGACCTCACCACAAGTGGACTAATTTTGTGCAGTGATATGGCTTGGCTCTGTCCCCACAGAAATCTCAACTTGAATTGTAGCTCCCACAATTCCCCTCATGCTGTGGGGAGTTTTTCTCTTTTCGCCAATCATCTTTCTCTTGCTATTCTCATGACTGTGAATAAGTCTCATGAGATTTGATGGGTTTATCAGGGGTTTCCGCTTTTGCTTCTTTCTCATTTTCTCTTGCCGCCACTGTGTAAGAAGTGCCTTTTGTCTCCCTCCGTGATTCTGAGGCCTCCCCAGCCATGTGGAACTGTAAGTCCAATTAAACTTCTTTTTCTTCCCAGTCTTGGGTATGTCTTTATCAGCAGCGTGAAAACAGACTAATACATGCAGTAATTGAGAAAGCTCACTGGGGTGAGGGCACTCGAGCAGGGGGAGCAAGGAGAGAGATCCGTGGGCTGGAGAGAAGCCAAGGAAGAGGATTTGGGTGGATGATTGAGCAAAGAGTGAGGTTTTAAGAGACAGAGAGATTGGGTGTTTTAGCCCCCTCATGAGTGTTCCTCTCCTTCTGTTGGAGGACCTTCTCTTGGTCCTTACCAAATGTCCTCTACCCTCTGACACCCAGCTCTCCTCCTGCCAAGCATCATCCCCCAGGCAGGCCTGGCCTATGCCCTCCTTGGTCATCCTGACTTTACTGTGGCCACCTGTGGGAAGGAAGGCCGAGGCCCTCCCTGAGCACTGAAACACCGGGTGGAGGATGGTTTTCAACTAGGCTCCACATCAGAAAGCAGTGCACTCACGCTGACAGGCTTGATCCCCTGTGGCTGCTCGACTCTGGGCTCTGGTCCAAAGCTGAGAGCCCCCCTTCCCCTCATGACAGCCTCTTCTGCCCTGCCCGGCCACTCCTTTGAGTGACAGGGGGTAATTGAGAAGCTGCTCCTCCCTCCAGGAAGGAAGACCCGGAGCTCTGGCTTCCCTCGGCAAAGCACATATAAACCCACAGCCACTGCGGGTGGAAGGAGAAGGGCAGGGTGGAAAAAGTTTGAGAGAAGGAGGGAGGAAAAGGTGTCCTGGCTAGCACCATGTGGATTCTCTTGAGATGAGAAGAAAATGCCCCGCTACGTCCCCCTTCTGCTGCTCCTGCTTCTCCTGAGGTGTTCAGAACGGGGTGGAGGAGTTAATTTTGGTGAGAAGGATGCAAAAGTCCCCGGGACCTGGAGAGATGGAGTCAGGGTCCCTGGAGAAGGAGCCTCTTGGGACTCAGACAGGGCCAGTCCCGAGCGAAGGTACGGAATAGGTGAGTGAACCTTGGGAACTCCGGACCCTGTTATCTACCCTCAATCACCTGCCACAGGGAAGCAGGGACCCCAGCGTCTTTCTCATATCCCCTTTTAAGGAAATGCTCTGCTTTTGATTTTGTGCATTTTATTTAAGTTTCTTTGTTTCAACTTTCCTGGAGAAATGAAAAATTTGGCACTCCTCTAATCCCAGCGCTTTGGGAGGATGAGAAGGAGTGGGATCCCTTGAGCCCAGGAGTTTGAGACAAGCCTGGGCGACATAGTGAGACACCATCTCTACAAAAACCAAAAAAATCAGCCAGGCGTGGTAGCCCATGCCTGTAGTCTAATCTACTCGGGAGGCTGAGGTGGGAGGATCACTTGAGGCCAGGAGGCCAAGGCTGCATTGAGCCATGATTGTGCTACTGAACTCTAGCCTGAATCACAGAACAAGACCCTGTGTCAAAAGAGAGAAAGAAAAAGAGAAAGAAAAGAAAGAAACGGTCAGGTGCAGTGGCTCATGCCTGTAATCTTAGCACTTTGGGAGGCTGAGGCGGGTGGGTCATCTGAGGTCAGGTGTTTGAGACCAGCCTGGCCAGCATGGTGAAACCCAGTCTCTAGTAAAAATACAAAAATTAGCTGGGTCTGGTGGCGCACGCCTGTAATCCCAAATACTTGAGAAGCTGAGGCAGGAGAATCGCTTGAACCTGGGAGGTGGAGGTTGCAGTGAGTGGAGATCGCGCTATTGCATTCCAGCCTGGATGACAGAGGGAGACTCCGTCTCAAAGAAAAAAAAAAAAAAGAGAGAGAGAGAGGGAAAGGAAGGAAGGAAGGAAGGAAGGAAGACTTGAACCCTATTAGAAAAATGTGGAGCGTCAGCAGTAGGGAGGGATGACTAGATTTGGGCAGAGTACCAAAAGTTCAAAATTTATGCCATGTAAGCTACATGTATTCCTAAGAATAAGAATACTCCCAAGTCCTGACGGCTGCCTGGGGCAGTGAGGGCTGGAGACGAAGAGGACTCATCTCTTCTTTGTACTTATACCTGACTCAGTGTTGCCCTCAGTCCAACTAGATCACACCCACACCCCTCATGACTCCTCCCCTAAGCCTGCCCCCATACCACCTTGAATCTTCCCTGCCTCCAAGCCTACCACGTTAGCCCCAGATCTGACCCAGAAGCTGTCTCATGCTTTTTTTTTCCTTTTTTGAGATGGAGCACCTGGCCAGCTGTCTCATTTTAAATCATATACCAAGCATGACCTGAGTGTAATCTCTAACATGAATCACAGCTTCTGCCTCATTGGTTTGCCAGAACCGCAGGCACAAATGGATGAGAGGAGACACCTATGAACATGGAGCCAGAATACCCCAATTGCTGAAACACCAGTTCAGAGAGGAGTGAGCTTGAGAAAGAGTCAGGTTTAGTGTCCCACGGAAAGAGACCAGACCTGGAAAAGACAGAGTCAAAGCTGGGTGAGCAGGCCTTCGAAGGGCGTGGCTCAGCAAAGATAATCCATATTGTAGTGCAAGAGGATTCTTGTGGAATATGTTTTACCAGAATTAAACCAAAAATGCCAAATGATCCCTAACTGGAATAAATCTCACCACATTACCTGGGGAGAGGTGTCATTTGGATGTGAGGATAGTTATGAAAATACTGAGCAGAGCAGATGAGGATAGGCCATCAACAATTCACATTAAATGAGATTACTTTTTAGTAGGACTAAGCCAAAGCATTTCCACTAAGCACCCAGAGACCAGCCCTAAAGACTCAAGAATAAGAGAAAATGATGTAACTGCAGATGGAAGGACCACTGAGGACCACATCACTGCAGACCCAGGGACCACCGAGGACTCTGTCACTGCAGACCCAGGGACCACTGAGGACAATGTGACTGTGGACCCAGGGACCACCGAGGGCTCTGTCACTGCAGACCCAGCGACCACCAAGGACTATGTGTCTGCAGACCCAGGGACCACCAAGGATTCTGTCACTGCAGACCCAGGGACCACTCACTGAGAACTTTGTCACTGCAGACCCAGGGACCACCAAGGACTCCATCACTGCAGACCCAAGGACCACAGAGGACTCCGTCACTGCAGACCCAGGGACCACCAAACACTCCATCACTGTAGACCCAGGGACCACTGAGGACTCTGTCACTGCAGACCCAGGGACCACCAAACACTCCATCACTGCAGACCCAGGGACCACCGAGGACTCCGTCACTGCAGACCCAGGGACCACAGAAGATGAAACCACTAAACATGGTGACACTCACCTTCTGTGAACTACTTCAGTCACAGCAGTGAAACCCACCAGGCTCCTGACACCCATGGGAATTATCCTCATATCCCTGGCTGCAACCACAGTCACTGTTGTGCTCTTTGTTGGATTGGGCTTCATTGTGGTGAGTATTTGGTCTGGGAATATTCAGGGCATCAGGGGAACGAGGCCAACTGAGGATAAGCGGTGGGCATGGAGAGCTGAGGTACAGAGGCCCAAGAAATCGTCAGGCGTGAGGAAGCCTACATAGAGAGAGCTCTGCAAAGACTCCTGGAAAGACAGAGGTGGAGAGAAAGGAAAAGAGCACCTGGCACAAAAGATGCAGAAAGCATTGGGGACAGAGGAAGCTGTGAGAGACAGGAAGGAGAGAAAGGGAAGAGAGGCTGAGAGTGAGAAACATAAGAACACAAACATGGTAAGACACAGCGGGAGTCAGGGCAAAGCATGAACCGTTAGGTACAGATGGATGTAAAAGAGGAAATTTTCCTAAGAAGACAAGGAACTGGGGACCAGAGGAGTGGATGAATTAGAAACATTCTGGGTGGTCCACTCATATCAGAAATTACATATTCTTGTGTTAATTACTACCTACTCTGAAGTTCTGAAGAAGATTTTTTTAAAACCAAAATTGAGTGGGTTTTTATGAGCCACCACTACCCTGCACCAAAGAGACAGTTTGTACCAGCTCTCAAAGAGGAGCTCTGGGTATTTTTCTGTCTCTGAGGGTCCCTGTTGTTTCTACAAGAGGAGACAAAAGAATTCCATGCCAGCCCTGCATGTTTCATCTCACCAAACTCCCAGCTGGAATCATCCCAAAAGCAGCAGCAGGGAAATTCCCACAGGGAGTGGCCCAAACCCTCCAGAGATGGGGCCAATTGGGATTCCAAAGAAAGAAGCCCAGATGTCAGGGTGATCAATTCAAAGCATTTATTAGGGGAACTTACAGAGGACTGCAGCAATCCTCCCTGCCGACAGGGAGGGAAAAGGGATGTTCTGCCTAAGCATGTCTGTAGCAAGGGGGTCAGGGTATGGAGTTTATATGAGGGTTTAGGGAATTTGACTCAGGGCTGGAGCCAGTTTCTTTCAACGTTTTGGGCAACAACCTAGATACCTTTATTAGTGCCTGGGAGTGTTCAAGGCCCTGGTTTGCGTTCAAGCCTGCTGGGGAAAACCTGCAGCTGGCTGGGTCACAGAACGGTCAAGGCAATCTGTGATTTTTGGTCAGTCTGATCAGAAAGAAAAGGAGGTGATCTGGGGGACCCCACATTGTGGCTTCCTCTCGCTAACATTTGATCTAAAACCCAAGCCTCCTGCTTCTGGCCTGCTGCTTGAGGGGGAAGGGCTGGTCCTTTTTGGCCATCCTGACCTACGGATTAAGTGCATGTCGAAATTTTAACAAGTGGCGGCTTGCAGGATTAGCCAACTCGGGCAGGTCATTAAAGCCTCGTTAATTCTTGCGGTCATTGATGCCATTGTGCACTGACCCCTGCTCCAAGATGCAAATCCACAGCTTTGGATCAGTTTGTAAGTGTGAGTAAAGCCGAAAGTAATGCATGATACAGATGAGGTGTTCACATTTAATTCTGCTAAAATGACACCATGAAACTAGAGCATTCTGAAGGATGCTGACAAGAGGAAAATGGAATGAAAGCGTCCATATGTACCTGACTCATGCATGAGTCATGTTCAGTATTCACCAGTAGAGGGAGGACCTTCTGGACTTCGCTGTTACCATAAACAATTGGATTTCTGATCATGTGGATCACCATGAAAAGTTGGACACTCTTGCTCTAGAACAAAAGATGCTTTCCTTCCTCCAAACCAGGCATTGGCCCAGAGAGGTCACTAGCATTAGCACCTTCTTAATTTCATGTAGAGACTAAAAACAAGAGATGGCTCAAAAGGCTCAGGGTGTGGGAAGTAAGAGGAAAGTCTATGCTCCCAAACTTGCTAAATTTTTGACTTTTAAACCTTTAACTCGAAAAGTTTTAAAAATAAGAACTATATTACCATTCCTCCCAAGTTTCATTTGTCAAAATGCTTTTTTCTTTAAACTTTAATGGTTTAAGTTTTTTTTAAGTTGTTTTAAAAAAAACAAAAAAGGTTTAAGTTTTTTTTGGCAGGGTGCGGTGGCTCACGCCTGTAATCCCAGCACTTTGGGAGGCCGAGGTGGGTGGATCACGAGGTCAGGACTTTAAGGCCAGCCTGGCCAATATGGTGAAACCCCATCTCTACTAAAACTACAAAAAAGTTAGCCAGCCATAGTGGTGGGCACCTGTAATCCCAGCTACTTGAGAGACTGAGGCAGAGAATTGCTTGAACCCGGGAGGCAGAGGTTGCAGTGAGCTGAGATCGTGCCATTGCACTCCAGCGTGGGCAACAGAGCGAGACTCCATCTAAAAAAAAAAAAAAACAAAAGGCTTTTTTTTCCCCCTAAATGTCGTCCACATTTTTGGCAAGTATTGATCTCTAGTAGTCAGTGTCAGGATCTGAAGAAAACAGTGACATCTAGCAGACTCCCAGAGCCAGGGAAACAGGCTGGGCAGAAGTGATAAATTACAAACCACCAGGGTTAAGAGAAGAACAGAGTGTTAAAACCAAACCATTTTCTTCCTCCCTAGAAAGAGTGTTTCCTGCCTCCATTAAATCCATCCACCAGGGTTATTTATCATCCCCATGTCATGGACTACAGTACACCATAAAGAGGACCCCAGCAGTGACTACAGTTGGTTCTAGAAAAAGGAGACCCCTCATCCGCCTCTGCAAGACTATACAGCATGATGTGTATCCTCAGGCCTCCACTCCTCCGCCCTAGTCTGGAGCCCTGGGACCACCACATGAGGAAGGCAGCTGGCCCCTGGAATAAGCATGTGGAGGACACTCAGAAGGATGCCCATCTGCTCTGAGTGTCTCCTAATTCTGCCTGACCTTGGTTACTTCCTCTGGACAATCGCCTTTACCTATCTACCAGGTTTTGAGGAATTACACACAGCTCAGGTATAAGAGATATTCGGTAAGTCTGATCAAATCAATAAAGCAAATTTTATCTGTTTTTGTCTGGGACATATCTCTACATTCATTCATTTAACCAAAAAAAAAAAAAATGTTTTTTTTGAGACGAAGTTTTGCTCTTTTGCCCCGGCTGGAGTGAAGTGGCGCGATCTCAGCTCACTGCAACCTCTGCCCCCCAGGTTCAAGTGATTCTCCTGCCTCAGCCTCCCTAGTAGCTGGGATTACAGGCGCATGCCACCACGCCTGGCTAATTTTTGTATTTATAGTAGAGACAAGGGTTTCACCATGTTGGCCAGGCTGGTCCCGAACTCTTGACCTCAGGTGATCCACCCGCCTTGGCCTCCCAAAGTGCTAGGATTACAGGCATGAGCCACCGCACCTGGCCTTAACAAAATATTTATTCAGTGCCTAGCATGAGCTCAACACTCTACGTCTCCCAGTCTGTCTATCTCAGTCTACCTGTAAGCTGAAGGATACAACTTATCTCTTAAGAGGACTATGCCCGCGTTCTCCTACCACCCAGGCCAAAGGGTCACATTTACAGGATGTAGTCAACTGGTCATTCAGCAAGTATGTATGAGCACCTGTGTGGGACTGGCCACCGTAGCAAATAAATGAGTCTCATCTTAGTCAATCGCGGTGTGAAATGAGGACACGAAGTCCAGACCTAACCTCTAAGAGAAAAGCCCTGCCTGATAGAAGAAGAGATTTGTCCTTACTTAATGCAAATGCACCATATTCATGCACCTATGAATGATGGCTAAGACCACAGACAAGGCCGGGGCATTGGATATAACAGCTCTGTGAGGAGCTCAGGACAAAAACCAAAGAATCAAAGATATGTGAAGACAGTTGATTATTGTTTGCTCACTACTGATGCCACTATGAGCAGCATCACCACCAGTGTTAAATAATGGAATTGTAGTATTATGATACAGAGTCGGAAACACGGAATAATAAATTAAAATACTAAAGTGAAAAAATTGGATTGATTAAATAAATATTAAACCAATATTTCTCAGACTTATGTGATAAACACCTTTAAAGGAAAAGATACATATATATTTTTGAGACAGAGTCTCATTCTGTTGCCCAGGTTGGAGTCCAGTGGTGCGATCTTGGCTCACTGCAACCTCCACTTCCTGGGTTCAAGCGATTCTCCTTCCTCAGCCTCCGAGTAGCTGGGATTACAGGCGTGCACCACCATGCCTGGCTAATTTTTGTATTTTTAGTAGAGATGGAGTTTCACCATGTTGCCCAGGCTGGTCTTGAACTCCTGACCTCAGGTGATCCACCCGCCTTGGCCTCCCAAAGTGCTGGGATTACAGTGTGGGCCACCGTGCCTGGCTGGAAAAGAGATTTTTTGAGAACTCGCCATGTTGGCTTAAACGTAAATATATATGAAACAGAAAATGAAGTATAAACTCCTTATGCTTATAGCTCTACTGTTCCAATAACGTTAGAAGTAACAGCAGTAGTTTAATGTAATGCATGATATTTCTTTACTGAAGAATTCTTCGCTCCAACATTAATATTGTAGTGATTGCTACAGCCTAGTTTCTCAAATCTCATTTGCCACTTGATGTTTTCCTTCTTTCATGGATCGTCTCTGTACAAGCTCTCTCAAGACCTTCAGTCTCTCAGTCAGCTGCGGGATTATTGGGCCCTTAATGCAAATGCACCGTTTAAATTTTAAGACAGTTCTCGTTCTACTCTTGTTAGGCTGTGCAATTGTAAAGACTAATCATTTCTATTAGCTTTATGTTGGTTTTATATTGGTCATCAATAGAATCCAGGAAATGCTTATATTATGGGGATTTTCAAGATTATTACCTGAAGGAAAACGTGACAGAAACAGCTCTAGTCTCCCCTTCCCTTACACTTGGAGAACCTGAGTTTTGGGGGTGATGGTAATGTGCCCAGCTGAAGAAAACCATTTCCCAAATCCCCAATTTCCCGGTCCCCCTTGCAGCCAGTGCAGTGAGGAGATACAGCTCTGGCCAATGTGATAAAGGCATAAGTTCCTGGGGATGGTGTCCCTTCCAGATGAAAAGGCCAAAGCTCATGAGGAGAAAGCCCTTTGCCCCTTCCCCTTCGTTCCTCTTCCTACCTGGAATGCAGATATGAGACCTGGGGCTCAGCAATGCTGAGGTCAGGGGGAGACCCACAGCAGGGTGAAGGCTTCAAGCTGAGAGTGGAGCAGAGGGAAGAAATCACTTGGGTGCCCGATGGCAATACTGAGCCCTGGGCTGCTCCTCTCGGACATTTCGTATATGAGATGAGCAGTGTGCCGGAGCTCAGTGAGGTGAGCTTCTTGTGATTCCAGCTAAATGGGATCCTAAATGATATGACACATAAACATCATCTAGAACATGCAGACTTCTGCGAATATCTCCATGACACATTTGGGAAGACACAGTGCTCAGGATTTTAAGAATGTGGGAGCTACACATAGTGGGGAATGGGAGAATAATAAAATGATCTCCCTCTTCTGCCCCCATGGAGGCAGCAAGTGGCCAAGGGAGAATTTTGTGATTAGAGATACTTGCATGAATATCAGTTTATTGCAGGAAAAAAGAGTGACAGAAGAGTCTCTTGGTTAATATACAGGCAGGAAAAGTCCAATGTGTTTCTATAAAATCTTCCTCCTGAAGTTCAGGCTGGGGTTTGGGGCTGGGCATTTGTCAAAGGGTATTGGCAAGCACAAGGAATTCCAGAATCTGCCTTGGTCTTCAAGGGGGCAGAACTTTTGGTCTCGGTACAAGCTAGGTTTGTGCAATAAACAAAGGAATTGCTAGAGCTACAAATTCTAGCTGAGAAGTCTGTGTGCTTGAGTTTCTGCACCTCAAGGACAACTTAGAGCAATTGAAGAGACCATGAAATCTCTGTAAATGGCATAGAAACTTTAGCATGCAAAAGCATGCATGCAAAAACGCTAGCATATCAAAAGCTTTTCTTTTCTTTCAATCAAGTTAATTTCTGGCCAGGCAGGATGACACACCTGTAATCGCAGCACTTTGGCAGACCGAGGTAGGAAGATCACTTGAGCTCAGAAGATCTACACCAGCCTGGGCAACATGGTGAGACCTTGTCTCTACTAAAAATAAAAAAAAAATTAGCCGAGTGTGGTGGCACATGCCTGTAGGCTCAGATACTTGGGAGGCTAAGGCAAGAGGCTCGCTTGAGCCCAGGAGGTGGAGGCTGCAGTGAGCCATGACTGTGCCACTGTACTCCAGCCCGGGCGACAGAGCAAGATCCTGTCTCAAAAAAAAAAGAAAAAAAGAAAGAAAGAAAGAAAAAGGCTGGGCACAGTGGCTCACGCTTGTAATCCCAACACTTTGGGAGGCTGAGGCAGGAGGATTGCTTGAGGCCTGGAGTTCAAGACCAGCCTGGGCAACATAGTGAGACCTCGTCTCTACAAAAAAATTAAAAATTAGCTGGGTATGGTAGTGTATGCCTGTAGTCCCAGCTACTTGGGAGGCTGAGGTGAGAGGATTGCTTGAGCCCAGGAGGTCGAGGCAGCAGTGAGCTGTGATCATGTCACTGCCCTCCATCTTGGGCAACAGAGAGAGACCTTGTCTCGAAGAGAAAAATAAAAGAAAGAAAATGTTAATTTCTGCTCCTGTCAGATTAGAGGGAAATTCAATCTCAGTCTTTTTGCTGCTCTCCAAAGATCCCAGAGTTGTACATAGGATTGAAGCATAAGGAACATCCTTAAAGTCAGTAGCAACTGGCCTGTACTAATTATTCCCAGGATACGCATATCCCTTTGTGGCAGCAGTTCTGCCAGAGGCACAGGGGCTTTACCCAGTCAGTCTCCTTCAACTTGCCACGTAGCTTTCTCCAGAATAAGTCCACCCCCTCAGGGTGCTACCGTGAAGGAGAGTATGGTTTTGGCATTTGAGAGCCCAGAGAGATATACATGAAGATCTGGTCTCTGGAGAGTATTGAAGGTAGAAAAGACAAGGAGAAGATGCTGCAGAACACCCATAAGGGAAGAAAAAAAAAATGAAGCCTCAATGAATAAGGGAAATACCTTTCTAACCACTCCTGGGACCTGAACTACAAGATTTGGTAGTTGACTCTCAAACCATAATATACTCATACTCAGATGACACTTATAAGTTGTCGCACATATCTGTGCATTCCATGCCTTTGGTAAATGCATACAGTTAATCATACAGCTAATCCTCCTTTTCTCTTTATGAAGTCCAGTGTTTAAAGGACCTCTTCAGGTGTCATCAAGGAGTCATACCAGGTCCAGCTGAACCCAACTTGCACAAGTCCAGATTGAGGACACCAGGCAAGTAAGCACACCCCTCTAGATTGTGCCTGAACAGGATTTATGCCTTTTGGGGAGTGTCACCTCTCATTAAAACGTCTGCGAATGCACACTCTGGTCCAGTCCCCTGTCTTTCTAAACAAGAATGTTTGGTGAAGCAACAGTGATTCAACACTCTCCCTTAGCGAGGTATTGTTTGACACCTTAGAAAACACGTAGTTATTTTTCAGATCTATTCAGGACCTTTCTTGTGATTCATCTAAAACAAACCCCTCTCTTCAGTCTCTACAGATTACCATATTTATTTTCTTTATGGAGCTGACGACAATCTGAACTTATGCTTATTTACGTGTTAACTTATTTGTTTTATGTCTGTCTCCTTCCACTAGAATGTCAGTTCCTTGAGAATAGGGGTTTTGAGGACAATATATGAGATAGATTAGATATTTAATAATCATATGCTTCATTGAGCCTCTGATGCACATCTTCCCCATTGGATCGTAATCTAAAATTGAGATGTCGGATGGGCGTAGTGGCTCACACCTGTAAACCCAGCACTTTGGGAGGCTGAGGCAGGTGGATCACTTGACGTCAGGAGTTGGAGACCAGCCTGGCCAACATAGTGAAACCCCGTCTCTACTAAAAATACAAAAATTAGCTGGGCGCTGGTGGCACACACCTGTAGTCCCAGCTACTCAGGAGGCTGAGGCAAGAGAATCACTTGAACCTGGGAGGTGGAGGTTGCAGTGAGCCGAGATTGCACCACTGCACTCCAGCCTGGGTGACAGAGTGAGATGCTGTCTTAAAAAAATAATAATAAAAATAAAATGGAGATGTCCACTGGCTGCAGTGGTTCAGGCCTGTAATCCCAGGACTTTTGGAGGACAAGGTGGGAGGATTGCCCAGAGCTAGGAGTTAGAGACCTGCCTGGGCAACATCGCAAGACACTGCCTAAAAAAAAAAACCAAGAAACGTTTAAAAATGGAAAAGTGTCTTACACTTGATAGCACATCATGAACCAGTCAGTAGCACTCTTTCTTCCTTAGTGGGGCATAAGTAATGCTGCATCTTGCATTCAACGTCATCTTAGATGGGATGAAATACACATTTTGGAATAAACGAATAAATGTATGCTTTCTTTTGGTGCTATTTCTTCTGTTTTGGTCTTATTTGTAAACACAAGGAAATTAGGATTCCTTTTTTTTTTTTTTTGAGACAGAGTCTCACTCTGTCACCCAGGCTGGATTGCAATGGTGTGGTCTCAGCTCACTGCAACCTCCGCCTCCCAGGCTCAAGCAATTCTCCTGCCTCAGCCTCCTGAGTAGCTGGGACTATAGGCGCGTGCCACCACACCCGGCTAATTTTTGTATTTTTAGTAGAGACAGGGTTTCACTATGATGGCCAGGCTGATCTCGAACTCCTGACCTTGTGATCCACCCACCTTGGCCTCCCAGAGTGCTGGGATTACAGGTATGAGCCACTGCACCTGGCCTAGGATTCCTTTAGTAACTGTCTAGTATGGTGCTGGGAATTCTTTTGGGAACAGAGGCAGCCAACCAACAGAAGTGAATGACATAGTTCTTACCCTCAAGGACAAGAAAACCAGCAATTACAGTGCAACATGCTAAGTGCTACAATAAAGGAATGCTTTCGGGCAGAGTCCAGAGAAGGGATCTCATTCAGCCTGTGCAGATCCTGGAAAGCTTCCCAAGGGATAGGGTAACTGACCGGAGACTTGTGACATATTTGTGGGGCACTTTGAGCTGCTGTCACATATGTGGATTCTTTTGATCTTCACATCACCTCTGTGAGGTAGGAGAACCATCCTGTCTTAGAAATGCAAAGACTGAAGTTCAGAGAAGTTAAATAAATTGTCCCCAAACCTCCTTAACGGTAAGTGGCAGGGAGGGGTGGGGGGTGAGGGAGTTAAACTCAGGTTTCCTGGCTCCAGGATTACTCACTTTTTATCTCATTTGGACTGAATCTCAAGTGATGAACTGTTCTGCACTGTCTCTACAAAAATCACTCACAGGTATGAACACTTTTATCCTTCAGTCTTCTCTTCTTTAGGCTTGCAATGGCAGGCTCTCGGATCTTTCCTCCAATCTGTATTGGGTTTTGAGCCAAGCAAGAAAAACCAGACACAGTCCCTATTCTTGAGGAGCCCCCAGTCTGAAAACAAGTCGTGGATACACAGAAAAAACATTCTTGTGTGTGTGATGGATGGTAGGGAACGTGTCATCAATTGTGACATTTATGGCATTTATTTGCCTTTACTAGTGAGTTCTGCTTTTTAAGATGTTTGCGACTTCTCAGGCCTCACCCTCAAAAGAATTTGAAAATTGAACACAAGCAGAGATGTTTTGTTTTCAACTCAGGACCTCACCCAGAGTTTTTTAGGCAGCAACCCTGAACCAAGTTGGCCTCGAGGTATTCGTGAGTTTCCATACCCAGAAGACTTTTTCAGCTTCTACCTTCTACCCATGAAAGGAGGTGGCATGGATGTTTCCTTTTTCTTTTTCTTTTTTTTTTTTTTTAGTATTTATTGATCATTCTTGGGTGTTTCTCGGAGAGGGGGATTTGGCAGGGTCATAGGACAATAGTGGAGGGAAGGTCAGCAGATAAACAAGTGAACAAGGGTCTCTGGTTTTCCTAGGCAGAGGACCCCGCGGCCTTCCGCAGTGTTTGTGTCCCTGGGTACTTGAGATTAGGGAGTGGTGATGACTCTTAACGAGCATGCTGCCTTCAAGCATCTGTTTAACAAAGCACATGGTGCACCGCCCTTAATCCATTTAACCCTGAGTGGACACAGCACATGTTTCAGAGAGCACGGGGTTGGGGGTAAGGTTATAGATTAACAGCATCCCAAGGCAGAAGAATTTTTCTTAGTACAGAACAAAATGGAGTCTCCCCTGTCTACTTCCCTCTACACAGACACAGCAACAATCTGATTTCTCTATCTTTTCCCCACATTTCCCCCTTTCTATTCGACAAAACCGCCATCGTCATCATGGCCGGTTCTCAATGAGCTGTTGGGTTCACCTCCCAGACGGGGTGGCTGCCGGGCAGAGGGGCTCCTCACTTCCCAGTCGGGGCTGCCGGGCGGAGGTGCCCCTCACCTCCCGGACAGGGCGGCTGGCCGGGCGGGGGCTGCCCCCCCACCTCCCTCCCTGACGGGGCGGCTGCCGGGCGGAGATGCTCCTCACTTCCCAGACGGGGCGGCTGCCGGGCGGAGGGGCTCTTCACTTCTCAGACGGGGCGGCCGGGCAGAGACGCTCCTCACCTCCCAGACGGGGTCGCGGCTGGGCAGAGGCGCTCCTCACATCCCAGACGTGGCGGCGGGGCAGAGGCGCTCCCCACATCTCAGACGATGGGCGGCCCGGCAGAGATGCTCCTCACTTCCTAGATGGGATGGCGGCCGGGAAGAGGCGCTCCTCACTTCCCAGACTGGGCGGCCAGGCAGAGGGGCTCCTCACATCCCAGACAATGGGCGGCCAGGCAGAGACGCTCCTCACTTCCCAGACGGGGTGGCAGCCGGGCAGAGGCTGCAATCTCGGCACTTTGGGAGGCCAAGGCAGGCAGCTGGAAGGTGGAGGTTGTAGCCAGCCGAGATCACGCCACTGCACTCCAGCCTGGGCAACATTGAGCACTGAGTGATTGAGACTCCGTCTGCAATCCCAGCACCTCGGGAGGCCGAGGCTGGCAGATCACTCGCGGTTAGGAGCTGGAGACCAGCCCGGCCAACACAGCGAAACCCCGTCTCCACCAAAAAAATAGGAAAACCAATCAGGCGTGGCGGCGCGCGCCTGCAATCCTAGGCACTGGGCAGGCTGAGACAGGAGAATCAGGCAGGGAGGTTGCAGTGAGCTGAGATGGTGGCAGTACAGTCCAGCTTCGGCTCGGCATCAGAGGGAGACCGTGGAGAGAGAGGGAGAGGGAGAGGGAGAGGGAGACAGTGGGGAAAGGGAGAGGGAGACCGTGGGGAGAGGGAGGGGGAGAGGGAGACCGCGGGGAGAGGGAGAGGGAGAGGGAGGGGGAGAGGGAGACCGTGGGGAGAGGGAGAGGGAGGGGGAGAGGGAGACCGTGGGGAGAGGGAGAGGGAGAGGGAGGAGAGGGAGAGGGAGGGGAGGGAGAGGGAGGAGAGGGAGGAGAGGGAGAGGGAGGAGAGGGAGAGGGAGGAGAGGGAGAGGGGGAGGGGGAGGAGAGGGAGGGGGAGGGGGAGGGAGAGGGAGAGGGAGGAGACTGGATGTTTCCTTTGATCATCTATCACATCTTTGCAGAGGACATATAAGCCTGTGCATGGCTATGAGAACACAGTGGAGAGCCATGTAAATAGCTTTTGCCTTCAAGGTGCCTGGCAGAAGCGAATGAATATTGCTGTCATGTACATGCAAACGTTGTGAAATGCTTCAATGTTCCACATCTTCTTTGGAGACCTTTAAGAAATTCATGGAACTTTCAGCAGTGATATTTACCACCAACAATGTAATCAAATGGGGCAGCAAGCAAAATGAGCTACTACTAATGCACCATGGAGCAGAGGAATTTTCTCTTGCGCTAACACCACAACAGACCCATTCTTTCATTTGGATTAGTATTCACTACTTGTGCTTAGTTGCTTGCAGTGGATACCCAATTTGTGAAGTGAGCTGAGGTATAATGCAGTATTGTATACTGGAACACAGGGGCTGCAAAAGCAGAACTCACTAACAAAGTCAAATGCCATGAACGTCACAATTGATGAAAACTGGCCATTTGAAAAATCTAGATATGATAAAATTGTTAAATTGATGAGGATGAAGATTGGATTATAGTATATATTCAGCATGCAAAAACAGATAATCAGGGGAAATGCAGTGACAGTCAAAGCAACTATGGAAACAATATCCATGGCAACAAATGGCCTGGTCGGAAGAGAGGCCCAAAGACTGCCTGTGTCTTCCTGATGAAATGTCTGGTAGCCCCCTAGTGGCAATGACCGGGTAGTGGCCCTCTGCGAGATGGGCGCCTCTCTGGAGATTGAGCGCCACTTCTGAGGGCCTGGAGAAGTTGACTTGTTTTGCATCCCACGGGGTCACCCCCACCTCCCCCTTTCCTTGCACTCACTGACATGAGACACAACGTATGTCCACAAACAACTGCTGCTCCTCATTGCATCTAAAGCTCCGTTGCCGGAAAACATACCATTATTTCATGCAGCACTAAGAGGAAAACACAGCGGGTTAAACTATGACACGCCATTGATTGTAAGACGCATCCCTATTCAAGAGATGATAAATGGGAAAATAAATATATGTCTTACAACCTATAAAATATAAATGACTTTCGGCATTTATATTATATTACAGGGTGAGGTGGCTCACACCTGTAATCCCAGCACTTTGGGAGGCCGAGGCGAGTGGTTTGCTTGAGCTCAGGAGTTGGAGACCAGCTCGGATAACATAGCAAGACTCTGTATTTAAAAAATATATATATATATATGTATATATATACACACACACATATATATAAATGACTTTCAGTGATTCATTTAACATTTTCAGATACTTGTTCCCTCACAAACTAAACAACTAAACCATTAATTAATTAATTCACTCATTCTACTCACATTTATTAAGTGTGGATTATTGGACAAGCACACTGACGTCAACACTGAGGATACAGCAGTGAGCTGGTGTCCTGTCTTTAGGGGGCTTTTGTTACAGTGACTTGGTTTCTGATTATCTTTGTCACACTGAATCTGTGAGTCAGTGAGTCCGTGACCCTAAGTGAGTTTCAGAGTGAAAACAGACACCAGATAAGAAGCCAGAAAACCTGGGTTCTAGTCTAGTTCTTCCCCTTAATAGTTTATTTAATCTGTCTCAACCTTATTTTATCTACTTATAGTCTATCACGGTTAAATTGAGAAATAGTTATATTTTTCTCATAGCAGAGTCTTTCAAACAATACGCAATGACAATCAAAATAGCAAAGTAGCTGTGGAAACAGTGTCCATGGCGACCAATGGTCCCATCTTTTCTTTCTTTCTTTTTTTCTTTCTTTCTTTCTTTCTTTCTTCTTCTTTTTCTTTCTTTTTCAAGGTCTCTGAGTTTCAAGTCAAGCCTAAAAAAAATTTTAAGTTTTTTTAATTTGCTGGAATGCAGTGGCATGATCATGGCTCATAGAAGCCTTAATCTCACTGGCTCAAGTAATCTTCTCACCTCAGCTTCCCAAATAGCTGGGATCATAGGCATGCACCACCATGCCCTGCTACGTTTTATTTTTATTTTTTCAATAAAGATTAGGTCTCACCATGTTGCCCAGGCTGGCCTTGAACTCCTGGACTCAAGGTATCTTCCAGCCTCAGCCTCCCAAAGTGCTGGGATTATAGGCATGAGCCACAGCACATGGACCTCATCTTTCTTTCATGTCACTAGATCAAGAAAGCTCCAGAGTTTTTCTTGTTCCCTTCAGGTGTCAAGCAATATCATTTTATGTATATAAACATCTAATTCAGAATAGTTTCACTCTTTTTTCCTATTGTCCTGCATAAAGCTTCCCCCTCCCCAGTGGACAGACTGCAATGGGCTGGCATCTGACATTTGTCTGCAGACCTCATGGTAGGAGACAGGCTGGTTTTCTGCCCTGGGAGTGGGAGTGTAGGAAAGGAGGAGGCACTGGGGACCTGTATCCCAGGTTTTCAGGGCAAGGCTGTGTAAGTATTTCCAGCAGACTAGTGTGAGGCATGCTAGGAAGCGAGCTGATGTGGAGCCGAGCTAATCCTGTCTGATGTGGCCACCTACAGGCATCAACAGGCCTCAGCAGAGAGAAGCTGAAGTGATTACTGCATTCCTATGAGCTGTGGGAGGAATAAATCGTGGAAAGAAATCCTCATTTGCAACTGTATGGCATTAGGGGTGAGGGGTCTCGGAAGAAGCACCCAAGGAGGAGGAATCCCCTGTAAGCCCCTACCAGTCCCAGAGAATGCAAAGCCCTCTTGCAAACCGTGCCTGCTCCACGCCCCAGACCACTCCTTCCCCCAACCCTTCCCCATTCTACTCAACCTTGGAGGGTTAGAAACCACCATTAGCAAGACAGGAGAAGAAGGATAGATGCATAATGTTGAGGACCTGTTTCCCCATTTCTCATCTTCCCATCCTTGCAAAGCCCTTGCTGGAGGAAAGGAGACTTACCTTTGGAACTAAACGTTGAGTTTCTGAATTGGCATTGTGTTTGGTAATATAAAATAACTACAGGACCTAAGAGAGATCAGAACAGTCTTAGTACTGTCCATATTTTCATCTTGGAATGGGGAAAACTGGCTCCACTGAGCAAGTTAAGGACGTCATAGACTGATCTGTAGATGTTCAATGAAATCTGTAATTCAAGACTAAATAACGTATTCTTGGCTGGGCACAGTGGCTCACGCCTGTAATCCCAGCACTTTGGGAGGCCGAGGAGGCGGGCGGAGGGCAGATCACCCGAGGGCAGGAGTTTGAGATCAGCCTGGCCAAAGTGGTGAAACCCCATCTCTATTAAAAATACAAAAATTAGCCAGGCGTGGTGGTGTGCACCTGTAATCTCAGCCACTCGGGAGGCTGAGGCAGGAGAATCACTTGAACCCACGAGACAGAGGTTACAGTGAGCCAAGATCATGCCACTGCACTCCAGCCTGGGCTACAAGAGCAAGACTCCATCTCAAGGAAAAAAAACTAATTAATAATAATAACTTATTCTTGAGACACATGCGATGCAAGACAAGTATTTATTGCTAGGATCTCCTCAGGTAAGCTGTGCAGTAAGTCTGTGCTGTCCTACATGGTAGCCATTAGCCACATGTAGCAACTGAGCACATGAAGTGTGGCTAGTCCAAATACAAATGTGCTCTTAAGTGCAAGACACACATGAGATTTCAAAGACTTAGTACAAAAACAGTAAAATATCTCACTAATAATTTTTATGTTTATTACTTGTCAAAATCACAATATTTTGGATATGCTGTGTTAAATAAAATTTACTATTAGAATTAATTTCACCTGTTGTTTTTTACCTTTTTGATGTGACTACTAGAACTTTGTAAATTACACGGAGCTCGCTTTCTGTGGACATGTAGTCTCTCTCACAGAGAAATACATGTATATTTCTGCTGGACATGTAGTCTCTCTCACAGGTCATAAGGCACTGAGGTCACAGGCCATAGGTTGGGATGTTTCTCCTCCAGAGAGTAGCTCATTCTCACTTTAAATCATCCTAAAGAACACAGGTACTGGTAGGTAGGTGGGCCGCAAGCTGGATTGAGTGGGGAAACTTCCTGCTGTCTTTGAACCAGAACAAGAACAGAGTTGGGAGCCTGTATTTTGCATAGTGAAGGCACACTCAAGGGAGCCACCTATCTTGGGGAGTTATGCTGGCCCCCAAAACTCAGAGCGTGCTAAAGGTGAGGCAGAGAAGCCTCCTGTAGCAAGTGCATACAGGGAGGGGCGTGGGCCTCTGAAATCTGAAAGCACCATGTCTCATTTCCAGTTTTAAGTGTACCTGGAATTCTCTTCTGTTATCCCTAGGTCTTTAGTGGAGCCTGATTAAACATGAGGCTGAGGGCAGCTGTGGGAGCTGAGGGTGGATTCTGTGCCCACTCGTGGCCCCCCCACTGGCCATGGCTTCCTCCCCAGCAGGCCTCGACAGCAGTCTCTGGAGCCTCTGGCCCAGCTTGCTGCGGGTCGCTGCTGTTCTCTTTGTGTCTCTTAGCCTGTGACTTCAATGCAGTCATCTCATTTCTGGGAATCTATCCAATTCTCAATTGTGTAAAAAGCTTTATAAACAAAAAAAGTGCATTACAGTTTACTATCTTAACAAAATATTGGAAGCAGCAGAAACATTTAGCAGTAAAAACTATAAATTATAGACTATGTACTTTGTGCATCATTGGGAAGCCACTTAAGTGACTTTTATTAAAACTTATATTAACAAAGAAGACAATAGTGTCATAATAATTTATTTAAAAAGAATTAAAGGCCAGGCACAGTGGCTCATGCTGTAATCCCAGCACTTTGGGAGGCCGAGGCTGGCGGATCACTTGAGGTCATGGCAAAACCCCATCTCTACTAAAAATACAAAAATTAGCCAGGCGTGGTTGGTGGGTGCCTGTAATTCCAGCTACTTGGGAGGCTGAGGCACGAGAATCTCTTGAACCCGGCAGGCAGAGGTTGCAGTGAACAGAGATCACGCCACTTTACTCCATCCTGGGTGACAGAACTAGACTGTCTCAAAAATAAATAAATAAATAAATATAAGGAATTAAGGAACACACAATTATATATGCAATTGGTGACAATAAAATACAACCCCTCAAAAAGAACAAAAACAAAAACCTAAACAACAACAACCACCTAGGTATAAAGAAAAGACTAGAAAAAAATGTTTTAAAATGAAACCATAACTGTATTAGGGTTCTCCAGAGAAACAGAACTAAAACCTCTCTCTCTCTGTCTCTCTCTCTCTCTCATATAGATGAGAAGACACACTCAAAGGAGCTCATATAGGTGAGAGAGAGATTTTAAGGAATTGGCTCACACGATTGTGGAGATTGGCAAGTCCAAAATTTGCAGGGAAAACTGGCAGGCTTGGAGACAAAAGTTAATGTCACAGTTCAGGCCTAAGGGCAACCTGGAGGCAGAATTCCCTCTTCCTTGGGGGATGTCAGACCCACTCACATACGGGAGGGTAATTTGCTTTATTCAAAGTCCATCCATTTAAATGTTGATTTCATCTACAAAATACCTTAGTAGAAACATCTAGAATAATGTTTGACCAAATATTTGGGTACCATGGCTTAAGCATACTGACACATGAAATTAACCTTTGGCTGGGCACAGCAGCTCATCCCTGTAATCTCAGCACTTTGGGAGGTTTAGATGGGTGGATTGCTTGAGCCCAGGAGTTCAAGACCAGCCTGGGGAATATAGTGAGACTCTGTCCCTACAAAAAACAACGAGAAAAAATTAGCTAGGCATGGTGGCGAGTGCCTGTGGTCCCAGCTGCTCGGGAGGCTGAGGTGGGAGGATCTCTTGAGCCTGAGAAGTTGAGGCTGCAGTGAGCCGTGATTGTGCCACTGCACTCCAGCCCGAGTGACAGAGTAAGACCATGCCTCAAAAAATTAATTAATTCATTAAATTTAATAAATATTTTTAAAAATTAACTTTCACAATGATCTAAGGCTTACTACTTTAGGATTTGCTTTTGAAATACTTTTCTGTGTTTTCCAAAATACATAAAATAATAAAGATGTACTTATGATGGAAAAGGCCTGTGTAAACACATTTTAAAACACAGCCTCCTTGGGGTAGCCCCAGAGTCCCAGGGCTCTCCATGGCCCCTTGGACACCTTTCACAGCATTCCTCACCTCTGTCTTCTACCATTATTATGCATGTCTGAATATGTCTTCCTTTGCTAAACATCAAACAGAGTTTTAGGACTGGGATTCTAGAAAGTGAGAGAAGGCAGGCGCAGAGGAGGCAGTGGGAGCCTGCCTGAGGGCATTAACGTCAGTCCTGGGCTATGTGCTGGCTCCTCAGGACCGCCCTTCTGAGGGGCACAGACACGTGAGTGGAGGGAGCTCATGTTCCAGTTTCTTTGCAAAAATCAACTTGATAAAGTTTTTCCTGTTTTGTTAAAATTGCCTAAAATTTTTTAGCAATACTTCATTTGATTTTCTCTAATGGTTTCTGTCATTTCTTTGAGTTTTAATTTATTGCTCATGCTTTAACATCCCAGTTTATGTCTTGCTTAATTTAATGTCCATATAGTTGACCCTTGAGCAACATGGATTTGAACTGCATAGGTCCACTTAGGTCCACTTATGCATGGGTTATTTTCAATCAAATGCAGATCACAAACACAGTAATGGTGACATGTGAAACCCATGTATACAAAGGCCCAACTTTACATATATTTGGGACCCAAAGGGCTGACTGTGGGACTTGAATATGTGTAGGTTTTGGTATACACAGGAGTCTTGGAACCAATCCCCCTCATATACCAAGGGACTACTGTATATCTGCTTTGTTTATTTCTTTTTTTTTTTTTTGAGGTGGAGTCTCACTCTGTTGTCCAGGCTGGAGTGCAGTGGCGCCATCTCGGCTCACTGCAACCTCCGGCTCCCGGGTTCAAGTGATTCTCCTGCCTCAGACTCTCAAGCATCTGGGACTCCAGTCACCCGCCACGCCCAGCTAATTTTTTGTATTTTTAGTAGAGACGGGGATTCACCATGTCGGCCAGGTTGATCTCCAACTCCTGACCTCAAGTGATCCGCCAGCCTCAGCCTCCCAAAGTGCTGGGATTACAGTCGTGAGCCACGGTGGCCAGTCTCATTACCATTTGTTAAGAACTCATTTGGGCGGGCAACAGGTATACATCGCCTCATGAAAACTGAGTCACTCAGCCTGTGCTCCCACCTGGACAGAACACCATGCAGCCTCTGCTTAGAGATGCTCCACAGGAGCCAGTGTGGAAACACCAGGGCCAGGCATCCTTTAGAAAACCATTTTGGGATTGCTCCAGCTCATGAACCAGCAGTTAACTGAGTCACCAGCCATATCATAAAGCATGACTACAACTACGCAGGCCTGGTCCCTAACCCCATGTTGTTACAGCAAAATATAACCCATTCTTATTTCAGAAAAAGAAAAAAAGCTAGATGTGATGGCACATGCCTGTAGTCCTGGCTACTTGGGGGGCTGAGTCAGAGGATCAGTTGAGCCCAGGAGTTCAAGGTCACAGTCAGCTGATTGTACCACTGCACCCCAGCCTGGGCAACAGAGGGAGACCATCTCTAAATAAAATAAGACAAAAACAACAACAAAAAAAAAACAGAAGAAGAAAATATACCAAAATGTTAACAATGTCTTCTATCTTTATTTATTGGGGTTAGAAATTACTTTTGTTTTCTTATATTATGTATATTTTATTTCAAACCTGATAATTTTTTTTTCCTTTTTGAGACAGGATCTCGCTCTGTTGCCCAGGGTGGAGGGCAGTGGTGCGATCTCGGCTCATTGCAGCCTCAGCCTCCCAGGCTCAGGCAATCCTCCCACCTCAGCTCCCTGAGTAGCTGGGGCTACAAGAACACGCCACCATGCCTGGCTAATTTTGTTCGCTTTTTGTAGAGATGGAGATCTCACTACGTTGTCCAGGCTGGTTGCAAACTCCTGGACTCAAGCCCTCCTGCCTCGGCCTCCCAAAGTGCTGGGATTACAGGCGTGAGCCACCATGTCCAGCCAATGTTATTTAATTTATTTATTTTTATTTATTTATTTTTTTGAGACAGGGTCTCATTCTGTTGTCCAGACTAGAGTGCAGTGGTGCAATCATGGCTTATCGCAACCTCAACTTCCCTGGGCTGAGGTGATCCTCCTACCTTAGCCTCCCAAGCAGCTGGGACTACAGGTGTGAGCCACCACACCTGGCTAATTTTTGTATTTTTTGTAGAGATGGGGGTCTTACTATGTTGCTCAGGCTGGTCTTGAACTCCTGGACTCAAGTTATCCTCCCACCTCGGTGTCCCAAAGTGCTGGTATTACAGATGTGAGCCACCATGTCCAGCCTTATTTTTAAAAGAAGGAGAAAATTATTGAGCAAGAGAGTCTCTCTGCAGTTCTTAAGATTGCTGTCAGAACCACCTCAATACTCTTTCTGCAGTCTGTGCTTTGAGCAGCAATATAAAAATGCAGCATTTTATGAGCATTAATAGCAGGGAATGTAAATTAGCCTATTTGTTTTGGCTCTGCTTTGCTTCTGATCATTAGAGGCCAGCAAAAATAGAATGAGAACTGCAAACTCCCTCTTGTTCCCGGAAGATCTCTCCACAGCATGGCATATCAGTCAGATTTCTGGGCTGTCTCATCTCCGTCTCCGTAAGAAAGGATCTTGTTGGAAATACATTGAGGCATACACTGAAGCAGAGGCCCCAGTGCCACCTGGGCAGAGGCAAGCCAGAGAAAACAGAGGGAAATGAAAAGAAAGACTTCCTGGTATTCACTTCTACATACTGCCAGCTAAGCTGCGCTGGGTACCCAGAGCCCACCCACCACATCTACACCACAAATTCAACTGGGACTTCGGGCTTTTTTTTTTTTTTTTTGAGTCTGAGTTTCGCTCTTGGTTCCCAGGCTGGAGTACAGTGGCAGGATCTTGGCTCACCACAACCTCCGCCTCCTGGGTTCAAGTGATTCTCCTGCCTCAGCCTTCCTGAGTAGCTGGGATTACAGGCATGCACCACTACGGCTGGCTAAGTTTTTTGTTTTTTTTTTTTTAGTATAGACGGGGTTTCTCCATGTTGGTTAGGCTGGTCTTGAACTCCTAACCTCAGATGATCCGCCCACCTTGGCCTCCCAAAGTGCTGGGATTACAGGCCTGAGCCACTGTGCCTGGCCGGGCCTTCAGGCTTTATGTAGCTGATTGAACACAACCATCTCTGCTCCCAGCAGAAATCCCACCAAAATGTGATAAAGGGGTTTTAAAAGGCAAGGACTGACAAGAACAAAAGGCGGGGGGAGAGGAGAGAGAGAGAGAGAGAGAGAGAAACTGACTACACAATCTAAATAAATAGAGAATAATGATCTGGATAACAAATAGACAAAGGTCTTAGCAGATAAGAGAAATTTAAAGGTAAAATGTCAGTGGGAGAATCCCAGAAGCAGGCTGATTTCACATAGCAGAACCCCAGTAAGGAATGGAGAAACCAAGTATCCCAAACGTGAGTGTGCAAGAGGCCTGGAACCAGAGGCTGATGGTCTATGTAAGAAGCCACTAGAACCCTAGATCTCCTAACTCAACGCACATGGCAGAGTGACCCCCTATATTCCACCCTAATGAGTGGTTTGCTCGCTGGAGGCGTTGAACCATGCCACATCCTGGGAACCACAATGAAAATCATTTAAGGCTGGGCGTGATAGCTCATGCTTATAATCCTAGCACTTTGGGAGGCCAAGGCAGGAGGATCACTTGAGTCCAGGAATTCAAGACCAGCCTAGGCAACAGAGCAAGATCCCCAGCTCTACCAAAAAAAAAAAAATTACATATATATATATATAGCCTATGGCCTTCTGGCTTTATGTGGCCAGAAGAAAACAAAATAAAATAATTTAAAAAATAGAAAATAAGTAATAATAAAAGAAATAAAATAAGAGAAGCAATAAAAGAAAAGAAAAAGTCATTTAGGATTATGTAAAAGCCTGCCTATCGAACAGTAAGGCTTCCTGGTCCCCTCCATGAAGTTGGTTCTGAGAACTCCAGCAGCCAGACTTGCCCCAGGCCGATTAATAGAGAAACCTTCTCTGGAGAAACTGACCAGACAAGGAAAAACACCTAGGAACACAGGAGTAAGGGGGTTCTGACGGATATTAAGCTACTGTCACTTGACTTCAAAACCCTCTTCCACTCTCTCCTTCCCAGCTGGCTCCCTCTTAGGTGTAGAGGGAGGTGTCAGCACTGGAGGAAGAAGGGATCCCTTCCCTTGTTGGCCTCCCAATCCTGCCGGCATCACCACAGCCGAGGATCTTCAGCCCTGTAGCAACAGCTGGTCCAGCAGCAGTAGCAAGTCCCAAACTGTGGTTCTTCCTCACTCCCGGCAAAGGCCTCTTCCCGTGGCCTCAGTGATACCGGCTCACTGGCCAGGCTCCTCCTTAGGAAACTGAATTCTAGCTCCGTGGGGCCATCCTCCCAGATTCTCCCATTGAATAATACTGACCTCTTCCCTCAGTTCCCCAAGACTGAGGGAGAGGCAGTTGCCCCATTCCTGATTCCCACGCGTTCTACCTCTGCGGTATCTCAGTGCTCTTTTTGTCTTTTTAGATCTCAATATGTGGTTAACAATCCTTTATATAAAATTACCTCTGTCTGGGCGCGGAGGCTCACGCTTGCAATCCCAGCACTTTGGGAGGCCGAGGCAGGTGGATCACCTGAGGTCAGGAGTTTGAGACCAGCCTGGCCAATATGGTGAAACCCTGTCTCTACTAAAAATACAAAACTTAGCTGGGTGTGGTGGCAGGTGCCTGTAATCCCACTACTTGGGAGGCTGAGGCAGGAGAATCATTTGAACCCGGGAGACCGAGGTTGCAGTGAGCCGAGATTGTGCCACTGCACTCCAGCCTGGGCAACAGAGTGAAATTCCTTTTCAAATAGAATAAAATAAAACAAAATTACCTCTGTTTAAATATTTGGATTTTTTTCTTTCACCTGACTAGACCCTAATACAAGGGTCTTCTGGAGAAACAGTTCAGCCCATTTGCACTATGGTGAAGCCCACTGAAACCTCCCCCCATCCCCAACACACACACCTGGAGTTTCCAAACAGCTTAAGATCTAACTAAGCCAAGGATTACTGTATCATTCACAAAGCCCAAGCCCCAATTTGAGCAGAGAAAGTTTATTATTAGAAAGAATTATTGGCTGTAACAGGCTAAAAAGACGTGCAGAGAACTCCAAAGAATGCTGTAGGGCCGCGGGAGAGTACCCAAAGAAGGACACACGTGGAAGCATCCCCACCCCAAAGCTGGATTCAGAACTCAAGGCAGAAAGTGTGCATGTGCCCACCAGGTACCAGATTATTTCCCTGGGATGCCCAGGCCAAAGCCTGTGAACAGTCATGAGCAAGCAGGAAACTGGGGGGGTCGCGGCATCGGGAGCCCACTCACTGCATGCAAGGCCTGGGGCATGCAGGGTCCACGTCAGGGCCAGCTCGCTGGGGGAACGCATGCTGTCAGCACGCAGCTAGGACAGAGACCACCGGATGTTCCCACCTGGCCACTGATGGGCCCTGCCGCAGGAGCAACAAGAATCACAAACCATAGCTCCCGGAACCAGAGATAAAAGAAATTCTTTCCTCTGGCAGTGTCCCTCCGGCGCCCTCTACTGAGAAAGCTTAATATTGTGCTGGCTGCGAAGGAGAACCGCTTAATTCAATACAGATCAGTTAAGAGGATGGATTTACGGTTGAGAGGCAATACATTGATAAGAAACTAGTCATTATGGGATGAAAACCACTGACATGAAAGACAGGTATTGAAAACACAAGAATTAAGGAATATAAAGCCAGGCGCGGTGGCTCACGCCTGTAATCTCAGTGCCTTCGCAAGCCAAGCTGGGCGGATCGCTTGAGCCCAAGAGTTCAAGAACAGCCTGAGCAAAATGGCGAGATTCTGTGT
Source organism: Homo sapiens (assembly GCF_000001405.40). Classification (NCBI taxonomy): domain Eukaryota; kingdom Metazoa; phylum Chordata; class Mammalia; order Primates; family Hominidae; genus Homo; species Homo sapiens. Next base: position 31,080,260 of record NC_000006.12, read on the forward strand.
CTACAAAAAGTACAAAAATTAGCCGGGCGCGGTGGCGTGCACCTGTAGTCTCAGCTGCTCAGGAGGCTGAGATGGGAGGATCACTTGAGTCCGGGAGGTCGAGGCTTCATTGAGCTGTGATTAAGCCATTGCCCTGGACCACAACAGAGAGACCCTGTCAAAAAAAAAAAAAAAAAAAAAAGAAGAAGAAGAAGAAGAGGAAATTTAGAGAATGCAAAGAGCCAAATAATAAAATCCACTGCAATTAATATTTTCATAAACATAAGAGACGATATTTTCTCCATGGTAAAAGAACACATTATTAAATAAAAAATTTAAAGTTGAAGAAATCTTCTAAAAAGAAGCAAAGGGTAAAGAAATGTAGATGGGACCGGGCACAGTAGCTCAGGCCTGTAATCCCAGCACTTTGAGTTGCGGAAGTGGGTGGATCACTTGAGATTAGGAGTTCGAGACCAGCCTTACCAACATAGTGAAACCCCGTCTCTACTAAAAATACAAAAATTAGCCAGGCGTGGTGGCATACGCCTGTAATCCCAGCTACTTGGGAGGCTAAGGCAGGAGAATCGCTTGAACCCGAGAGAGGTGGAGATTGGAGTGAGCCGAGATAGTGCCACTACACTCCAACCTGGGTGACTCCATCTCAAAAGAAAAAAAAAAAGGAAAAGAAATGTAGATGGTATAGAAAATATATGAAAATTAGATCATCTGGATGAATAGGAGGATTTCTAGAAAGAATAGACAGAGGGAACAGAAGGGATGAAATTATCAAAGAAATAATTCAAGAACTTTTCTCAGAACTGAGAGATATGGTTCCAAAGTGAGATAGACCTCAAGTGTCTAACAGAAGTGTCTAACAAAAGGAATGAAATCCAAGGCATACTACCATAATTTTAAAAATACTGAGGACAAAAAGAAAAATCCCAAAATTGGACAAAAAGAAAAAAACAGGTCACATGAAAAAGATCAAAACTCAAATGGTATAGGGTTTTCTCTTTTTTTCTTTCTCTTTTCCTTTTTTTTTTTTTTTTTTTTTGAGACAGGATCTCACTCTGTCACCCAGGCTGGAGCGTAGTGATACAATCATGGATCACTGCAGCCTTGAACTCCTGGGCTCAAGGGATCGTCCCCTCTCAGCCTTCTGAAAACTACAGACACGTACCACCATGCCCAGCTAATTTTTAAATTTAATTTTATTTTTTGTAGAGACGAAATCTTACTACGTTGCCCAGGCTGGTCTTGAACTCCTGGGCTCAAGCAATCCTCCCACTTTGGCTTCCCAAAGTGCTGGTATTACAGGTGCGCACCATAACACCTAGCTGAGGACTTTTCAACAGTAGCACTGGAAGCTGGAAGATAGTGGAGCAGTGCTTTCCTAATTTAGGTGTAAATTTTACAACTTGGAATTTTATTTTCAGTAAAACTATTAATCAGATGTAATCATAATATAAAAGACATTTTCAGACAAAATTTCAAAAATTGCCCTCCCTTGCCCCTTTCCTTAGGAAGTTCCATCAAAGTAAGGGATTAGATCAGGAGAGATAAAGATGTGGGATCCTCCAAAGAGTGAGGAGAATGAAAATCCCAGGAGGTTGCTGTGTAGGAGAACTAGGGATCCGCAGGTCCAGATTAAAATGGTTTGGAGGCCGGGCATGGTGGCTCCTGCTTGTAATCCCAGCACTTTGTGAAGCCAAGGCGGGTGGATCACCTGAGGCTAGGAGTTTGAGACCAGCCCGGCCAACATAGTGAAACCCCGTCTCTACCAAAAACACACAAAAGAATTAGCTGGGCATGGTGGCACATGCCTGTAATTCCAACTACTCAAGAGGCGGAGGCAGAGAATTTCTTGAACCCAGAAGGCAGAAGTTGCAGTGAGCCAAGATTTCACCACTGCACTTCTGCCTGGGTGACAGAGTGGATCTCAAAAAGAAAAAAGAAAAAAAAAAAAGGCTTGGGGCCAAAACCTCAGGGATTAAGAAAATTCCTTTACCTGGTTACAGAAAGATATTACCAAGAAAAAGAGGGAATTGATTAATTGTAATACATTAGACTGCAGAGAAAAAATAGACTTCTATAGAATCTGCTGACAAATTTGTGATAAATTCATAGACAAATGATCAAAAGAAAACCTAGTAGATCTGTATAATTCTGGATATCATTCCATAAAGCCCAGCTTAGAACCTGTGCCCTCAGCCCTTATAAAGATTTCAAAAGCTCTTAATACCCTTTGTAAAATGTCTTCCTGTTAATTTACCTAGCGTAATCTCTAGTTGCTGCACTGAACCCTGACTGATATAACTTGTTATTAAGAAACAGGAAGATAAAAACTAATTGAGCATCGAAGTGCTTTTACTTCTAGGAAGAGAGAATTAGGGGTTGGTACCGGACTATAGCTTTTGTTCTGTCTTTGGCTTTTTAAATTACATATCTGTAATTTATATACACACACATATATATTTGGCTTTTAAAATTACATATCTGTATAAATCTGATAAAAATTTTAAATAGTTAAATAAAAACTTATTTAGGAGATAATATATTAGAATACTAAGATGAGTGCTGAGTTTAAAAAACAAAAAGGCCAGGAGCGGTGGCTCACACCTGTAATCCCAGCATTTTGGGAGGCCAAGGTGGGTGGATCACCTGAGGTCAGGAGTTTGAGACCAGCCTGACCAACATGGTGAAACCCTGTCTCTACTAAAAATACAAAAAAATCAGCTGGGGATGGTGGCAGGTGCCTGGGTAACAGAGTGAGACTCCGTCTAAAAATGAAAGTGGCATCTGATACAGAGAAGATTAGCATGGCCCCTGCTCAAGGATGACACACAAATTTGTGAAGGGTTCCATTTAAAAAAAAAAAAAAGTCTGAGCGAGGTGGCTCAGTCCTGTAATCCCAGCACTTCGGGAGGCCAAGGCGGGAGGATCACTTGAGGTCAGGGGTTCAAGTCCAGCCTGGCCAACATGGCGAAACTCCGTCTGTACTAAAGTACAGAAAAATTAGCTGGGCATGGTGGTGCATGCCTGTAGTCCCAGCCCCAGCTACTCCGGAGGCTGAGGCAGCAGAATTGCTTGAACTCAGGAGGCGGAGGTTGCAGTGAGCTGAGATCATGCCATTGCACTCCAGCCTGGGCAAGAAGAGCAAAATTCCATCTCAAAAAAAAAAAAAGGGCATCTGAATATATACAATTACAATGTCAATAAAAATAGATAAATGAATAAATACAGTTAGTCTTTTTTTTTTTAATGGCATCTGGACATTCCTACATTCTGGAAGATTTACAAATACATAGTGGGGATACCTCTCATAAATGTATAAGCCTCTCAGTTTTTCCTTCCAATGCATTGCAGATTGTCCTTATTTAGCCCTTTCCCCTGGGAACCTGAGACTGAGAGCAGTGCAAGCTATGCTTTTTTTGTAAACACAGCACCTCACATTTCTAGAAGACAACCCTAAGTAAACTTCAGGGCCCTACGTCGGTCACCATTCCATCTGCTCTTCTCTGCTCTGATTCTTCCTATCCCTCAGAAACCCAAGGCCTCCTTAGCCAAACGGAGCTGCTGTGGTCGCAAATAGCCTTGTGCCCCTGGGAACCTGTGAGATGCAATATGTCGTCAGTCTCCCTCAATCTTGGCCTGAGTCCAAGAGAAAGGCAGCTGCTCTGAGGTTCGAGACTCTCCAGTGACTCAGCTCTCTAATTCCCAGTACTCTGTGCATATGCCCTCCTCAATTCCATCTCCTAGACTTGCCAGATGTAGGTCGAGTCCTCAAAGATGAGATAACCAAGATGCAAAATCCTAAAATCCTCCATTAAGCACCTACCAGCTGCAGAGGCCCTGCTGGGGCCCTGAGGGAGATGTGTGTGGCAGACTGCAGGCCAAGTAAGTCCTTCTTTAAGGCTGGTGTCATGAGAATTACTCAATGCCGCCTCCTGCTGGGGAAGGACACTTCACCCCTTTTATGGAAGCCCAACGGGAAGGACTCATGGGACAGGGCAGGCTGCCCTGTCTCTTTTTTAGGCAGTCACTGCAATCACACATGCTCACTAATCCAGTTCACTAAGGTACGAAGCCACAATAAAGTTTGGAGCCAAAACTGTAGATATAAAGAGAGTTCCTTTATCTGGAATGGCCTCGATTTTTGAATAAGGAGTTTTTTGTTGTTGTTTTGTTTTGTTTTGTTTTGTTTTTGAGACAGAGTTTCACTCTTTTGCCCAGGCCGGAGTGAAGTGGCAAGATCTCTGCTCACTGCAGCCTCCGCCTCCCGGGTTCAAGCAATTCTCCTGCCTCAGCCTCCTGAGTAGCTGGGATTACAGGCGCCTGCCACCACGCCTGGCTAATTTTTGTACTTTTAGTAGAGATGGGGTTTCGCCATGATGGCTAGGCTGGTCTCGAACTCCTGCCCTCACGTGATCCGCCGGCCTCGGCCTCCCAAAATGCTGGGATTACAGACGTGAGCCACCAAGCCCATCCATAAGGTTATATTTTTTAATGTCCTGCCTCCTCCTCTTTTTTTTTCTTCTCTTTTTGTTTTCAAATAACTAAAGATGCACAGAAAGTTGCAAAATTAGTACCGAGATGTCCTGTGCACTCTTCACGCAGCTTCCCCAGTGGTAAGCTCTTACATACTACAGTACATTATCAGAACAAGCAATTGATGCATATTTTCTCAATGCATTGCAGTAGGTGGATTTGGTACTTGAGACCCTCAACAATCTCTTTCCGCATATCATGACTAACAGTATAGGCTCATGGTTTTTAAAGGACTGCCCTTTGAAGGAACTGGATGGAATTTTGTTTGCAAAGAGCTGAGAATCACTGGAGAGGCAATAAATGGAAATGTTCCTGTAGATTGTCACTATAGAGAGCAGGGCTGATGGATGTCAAAGGATATCCAGGGATATAAGCCCTCAGCAGGGAGGAGAGCAAAAAGGCCAGTGTGGTTGGTTATTGGAGAAGTTATTTGGATAGTTTTTAATTAGAGACATCTCTTGCATGAATGGATTTCCTAATGAAATCAAATTTTGATTGTGGAAAGCATAATTAACATGTAGGAAACATCAGTATATTCTAGGACCTGAGAGTAAAGGATGAAGTCCCTTTTAGAGAGATACACTGTTCTCTTTTAGGAAGATGGGCATAGAAGTGCAGGAAGTCAACTAGACGTGTTAAAATATAAATTTTTGGCTGCTTGTAACAGAGACACAAATGCCACTGGTTTAAATTAGGTAGAAAATGTTTTCCCACCCTTGGATCCAAGCACATGAGGACCCTGCCCGGGCTCCATGATCTAGAGGGACCTGCTCTATCATTCCCCCAACTTATAGGACAAAAAGTCCGAGAAGCCAAAGGGATAGACCTACCCATGGAGGTTGCATCTCTTCTACAAGTACTACAGTCTAGGTACTTGGAACCCCTGAATTCCTGGCACTAATGGCCCCCAAGCCTGCTTCCAAGTTTGCATGGGCCTCCTCCTGGGGCCATCGTCCCAGGGGTTATGCCTCGCTGCTGTCGTGCATGCTCTGAGACCCCAAAATGTGGCTGTTTTCAGAGAAGGATATGGGTCTGGAGATTTTAGGGACTTGAATTTTCAGGAAAAGAAAGTAGGGCAGATGCAGGTAGAGGACCCAGAGCTAGTTTTCCTCACTCAGCCATATTCTGCCATGGAACCTAGGGGAGTCTCAGAATTCTAAATTCCAGCCTGGCTGTCCTAGCCTGGATTCCCCAGAAAACAGATTCTCAGATAGATTTATCTGCAGAAGTTTTATTGGGGAACAATCTTGGGACAAACACCTTTAAAAGCTGAGAGAAACGGGACAGGGAAAGGGAGCAGTTGAACTGTAATGAAGCCGTAAAGAGTACTGAGCTGATCTCATGGGTTGTGGAGGCCTCTGGCACTGGAAAAGTCCTTTAAATTTGGCCAAACTCGGCCGGGCGCGGTGACTCACGCCTGTAATCCCAGCACTTTGGGAGGCCGAGTGGGGGAGGATTATCTGAGGTCAGCAGTTCAAGACCAGCCTAGTTAACATGGTGAAACCCCGTTTCTACTAAAAATACAAAAAATTAGCCGGGCATGGTGGCATGCGCCTGTAATCCCAGCTACTCAGGAGGCTGAGGCTGGAGAATCACTTGAACCCAGGAGGCGGAGGTTGCAGTGAGCAGAGATTGTGCCATTGCACTCCAGCTCGGGCAACAAGAGCGAAAGTCCATCTCAAACAAACAAACAAACAAACAAACAAAAAGGTGGCCAAACTTGAAGCAAGGTAACCAGGACTTTGTATGTTCTTATCTTATCTATCAGTCATTGGATGTGGCTGCCCCCAGGGAGGGGAGGTGTAACCTTGGGCAAGACAGCTCTTTTCAGCTAAGGGCAATTCCCAGAGACAGAGCTGTCACAACCAACACCCCTGGCAGCTGGGGAATAAGTGACAATGTTGAAGGTAGGATTTGGGTGGCACACAACAGTATCTGCTACACTAGCCTTCAAGATCAGTATGAAGGTATATTTATCAAGACAAAAGCTGGAACATGTTTTATTCAATAATTTATTTGTTTGACTTATAACAATAAACCATCTCTAACACACATTTCCCTTCCTGATATCAGACAGCTGCTCTGAGGGATACCCGAGACCCACATTCAGGAAGTAAGATAGATATCAGCCTGGACTGCTGAATAGATGCCCTGTGATTTATCTTCAGACATGACTCAGTGGAAATGCAGTTGACTCCATTCTAAAACCTCTCTTGAGAATATTTCCAGGCCCAGTCAACTTATCTTGGTCTCACTATAAGGAAAGGAACTGAGATCAGCTGCACCCTGAGAGGCTAAGATCCTGATAGGGAGCAGGTGAAATCAGGTTGGAAAATAGACAAGACAAAGGCAGGCAGATGTAAGAGGTATTCAAAAGCCCAGTTGTGCTCTATTTTTGCCTTCCACGAGGAATCTTACGGGGAGCTTCCACATTACCCGGTTATTGGTCACGGCGGTGAGTTAAGGCTGTTTTATTGAATGAAATCATCAACCCCCCTCCTTTTCCTGCTAAAACGCAATCTGTTTCCAAGACTTTCCTAATGTAGAGTGATTTTATTGAGCCTAGACCATGGATTTCCCATCTGATAACTCTTTAAGAGGGATGAGATAGAACATAATGTGAGAAAATAACATTGTTCCAAGATTTGTAAATGCTAATAATTGTTGAAGTCCCATGGTAGGTAAATAGAGGTATTTTCTTTATTTTTGTGTAAGTTTGAAAATTTCCATAATAAAAAGTGTTATAAATTGTCTTAGCAGGTCACATAACTAATAATAAAGGTAAAATTTTTGTTGGTCTTAATGAGAGAGAATTTGGAAAGTGGAGATAAGCGGGGCTTTGGAGCTCCTAAACTATTCGGGCTGTGTTTTGACTCAGCGAGCTCAAAGTGGGAGGGCAGGAGAGCTCGCTTTTTAAAAGATCGACAGCGCCATCTACCGGTAAGAGCGCCCAACTCCCTTGCTAAGGATGATATCATTATGCTAGGGTGATAGTAGCAAGCCTCATTGTTAGTCACCTAAGAAGTTAAGACAATAAGAAATCATTCAAAAAATAAAATGGTGGCAGGACGAGGTGGCTCACGCCTGTAATCCCAGCATTTTGGGAGGCCGAGAGGGGAGGATCGCTTGAGCCCAGGAGTTTGAGACCAGCCTGGGCAACATAGTGAGGTCCAAATCGCTACCAAAAAAAAAAAAAAAAAAAGAGAAAAAAAAAAGAAAGGCGTTAAAATTAATTTAAAGATACACAATAATGAAAATATTACAAAGTACTATTATTCAGCCATAAAAAAGAAATTACATTCTATTTATTTATTTTATTTTATTTTATTTTGCAGACAGAGTCTTGCTCTGTCACCCAGGCTGGAGCGCAGTGGCGCAATCTTGGCTCACTGCAACGTCCGCCTCCCCGGTTCAAGGGTTTCTCCTGTCTCAGCCTCCTGAGTAGCTGGGATTACAGGCACGCGCCATCACGCCCAGCTAATTTTTGTATTTTTTTTAGTAGAGACGGGGTTTCACCATGCTGGCCAGGCGGGTCTCCAACTCCTGACCTCAGGTGATCTGCCAGCCTCGGCCTCCCAAAGTGCTGGGATTACAGGCATGAGCCACCGCGCCCAGCAGAAATTACATTCTGATACATGCTACAACATGGATGAACATTGAAAAAATTATGTAAAATGAAATAAGCCAGACACAAAAGGACAAATATTGTATGATTTCACTTACGTTAGATATTTAAAATGGGGAAATCTGGTTTGCCAGCACAGCAGGAAAAAAAATAAATAAAAGTAAAATACAAAAATCATAGAGGTGAAAAGTCAATTTGGCCAGGTGCCGTGGCTCATGCCTGTAATCCCAGCACTCTGAGAGGCTGAGGCAGGAGAACTGTTTGAGGCCAAGAGTTCGAGACCAACCTGGGCAACATGGTGAGACACCCACCCCCACCACCTCTAAAAAAAAAAAAAGAAAAGAAAATAAGTCGATTAGAGGTTACCAGGGGCTGGGCGGAAAGGAGAATGGGGAGTTATTGCTTAATGGGTAATGAGTTTCTGTTTGGAGTAATGAAAAAAATTTGGAAACAGATAGTGGTTGACAGCTGCACAACAACGTCAAATGTAATTAATGCCAATGAATTATACATTTAAAATGGTTAGGCTGGGTGCAGTGGCTCAGGCCTGTAATCCCAGCACTTTGGGAGGCCGAGGTGGGAGGATCACCTGAGGTCAGGAGTTCAAGACCAGCCTGGCCAACATGGTGAAACCCCATCTGTACTAAAAATACAAAAATTAGCCAGGCATAGTGGCAGGCACCTGTAATCCCAGCTACTCAGGAGTCTGAGGCAGGAGAATTGCTTGAACCTAGGAGGTGGAGGTTGCAGTGAGCCGAGATCGTGCCACTGTACTCAAGCGTGGGCAACAGAACGAGACTCCGTCTTGAGAAAATAAAATAAAATAAAATAAAATAAAATGGTTAAATGGGAAATCTTACCTTATATACATTTTCATATATATAACATACACACACACACACACACACACACATATATATACACACACACCACACACACATACAAGTATGAGCCACCACACCTGGCTAAATTGACTTTTCACCTCTATGATTTTCCTATTTTATTTTTATTTATTTTTTTCCCTGCTGTGCTGACAAACCAGATTTCCCCATTTTAAATATCTGATGTAAGTGAAATCATGCAATATTTGTCCTTTTGTTTCTGGCTCATTTCATTTTGCATAATTTTTTTTCAATATTCATCCATGTTGTAGCATGTATCAGAATGTAATTCCTCGTTTATAGCTGAATTATATATATGTTTATTTTTACCACAGTAAAAGAAATTTTAGGCCAGGCATGGTGGCTCATGCCTATAATCCCAGCACTTTGGGAGGCCAAGGCAGGTGGATCACTTGAGCTCAGGAGTTTGAGACCAACCTGGGCAACATGGCGAAACCCTGTCTGTACTAAAAATACAAAAATTAGCCGGGCGTGTTGGTGCACGTATCCATTTCAGCTACTTGGGAGGCTGAGGTGGGAGGATAGTTTGAGCCAGCGAAGTCCAGGCTGCAGTGAGCTGTGATTGTGCCACTGCACTCCAGCCTGGGTGATAGAGCCAGACCTTGTCTCATAATAATAATAATAATGATTAATTAATTTAATTAATTATTTTTTTAAATTTTTTATTTTTTGAGGCGCAGTTTCAGTCTTGTTGCCCAGGCTGGAGTACAATGGCATGATCTCGGCTCACCACAACCTCCGCCTCCCAGGTTCAAGTGGTTGTCCTGCCTCAGCCTCCCTAGTAGCTGGTATTACAGGCATGTGTCACCACACCCGGCTAATTTTTGTATTTTTAGTAGAGACAGGGTTTCTCCAGGTTGGTCAGGCTGGTCTCGAACTCCTGACCTCTGGTGATCTGCCCACCTCGGCCTCCCAAAGTGCTGGGATTACAGGTGTGAGCCACTGCACCTGGCTAAAAAAAGAAATTTGTAATGAAATTGACTTCAAAATAATTTAAAAGTTAAGAAAAAAACCACATTACACAAATATGATATAAACTTAAAAGAATGACATAAAAAAAAACACACAAGAGCAAAAAAGGACGCAATGAAATATGGAAACTAGTGAATGGAAACAGTGAAATGACAAAATAACTAAATAAACTAGTAGCAAGATACCTGAAAGGAAAAGTTGACTGCCAATCAAAATACGTTGCTGGGTGACCAAGAAATCAAAGTTAAGAGAGGTAGATATTTTAGGAGTATTTCATCCAGGTCATAGTAAAACCCAGTCCAGGAATAAAACATTGTATGTATCTATACCAGCCTTGTTTTAAACAAAATCTAAAATAGCTTAAACACAATACAACAGAATTAAAAATTACAACTAAGGCTGAGCCTGGTGGTGCCTGCCTGTAACCCCACCTACTCTGGAGGCTGAGGCAGGAGGATTGCTTGAGGCCAGGAGTTTGAGACTGCCCAGCCTGGACAACATAGCCAGATCTCATCTCTAAAAAAGCAATAAAATGAATTAGCCAGGCTGTTGGGGCACATGCCTATAGTCCTAGCTACTTCCTCAGAAGGCTGAGGCTGGAGGATCACTTGAGCCCAGGAGTTTGAAGCTGCAGTGAGCTATGAGTGAGACCCCAAAATCTCTAAGAAAAAGAAAGAAAAATACGAAGGCAAGTAAAGAGTTAGAAAAATCAGATAAAACCAGTAAGATTAGTATAAACATCATGCTGTGCTGGGGGTGGGGGTCGCAGGTTTGGAACTGAGCTCTCTAGAAGCCAATTCAAAGAGGGAAACACAATCATCACATGGCTTCCAGTGTCCAAAGTCTCAGAAGTAGTGAGACAGCCAGGTGGGAGGGGTTCCCTGGAGAAATGCCAACCAGCCTGCCCACTGAGGTGGAGCCTCAGGAAGTTTGTGCCCTTTGCAGCGGGGAGCAGCCTGGCCCCTCTTCTTAGTGTGTGGATCCTGGGATTTGAATGGCGGGTGGGAAGCGCTCTAGTAGGGACTCTGGCCTAGCGACAGTCCCTGTTTCTCCGTTTTCTTCCTTTTCATCCAATAAAACCCATCTCATTCACCATTCAGATTGTCTGCGAGCCTGAATTTTCGTGGCTGTGGGACAAAGAACCCGTCTTTAGCTGAACTAAGGAAAAGTCCCGCAATAGTAACACAACTAATCCTTTCCCTGAGACCAGGAAGCAGTTTTCTTCTGGTCTCCCTTGACCAGAAGGGGTGTGATAAAGTGAACAACGTCTCAACCACACCACTACCATAAATACAAGTTTTCATAGGATTTATTCATTTCTTCGGTGTTCCTGTTACAGCTGGTGGCACCATGTTCCGGCAGAATCAGTCAGATCAGTGCAGTCCCATGCTGTGTGTCCGTGCCACTGGTCTGGCTTAATTCAGGGATGAATTCTAGTGTACATGAAACAGACGGCACACATATTCTTCCATCAAACTGACAGAAGAAGTCTCTCTCCACCCATCTTTTGATATGTAGAGCATGACTGTGAGTTCAGTGTTATTATACACTTGATGTCACAGCCATTTTGAAGCTGCTGATTAAAAGTAGGTTATGGCTGGGCGTGGTGGCTCATGCCTGCAATCTCTTAGGGAGGCTGAGGTGGGAGAATCACTTGAGCCCAGGAGATCAGCCTGGGTAACATACCAGACCCTGTCTCTATTAAAGAAAATTAAGAAAATAAAATTAAAATAGGTTACAACAGAATACTCATGGCCAGAACATACCTGTCTTCATGTTCCCCTGCAGGGAACAATGACTAAACAGCTCATGATTCTTGTCCCTTGAGCCCCGCTTTTCTAGATTCCATAAAGGCCACCCTCTTCTGCATCCACATTCTTTCTTCAGTTGGCGCCTAGTACCATGGATTTGATTTTTGCTTCCTTAGGTCTAGTCTTTATCCATGCATACTTCCCCTTGGCTCCCTTTGATTGGATTTATTTACTCCCCAATTTCCTTAGCACCATCTACAGTGTCTTTTCCAGTTAGTGCCTCTCATTCACTGTGCACAGACTCCCCACAACTTTCATTCGTAGGTGATTAACTTTCATGTAATGTCCTAGGAAACCCTTTACTAGCTGTGTGACTTTAGGCAAATTACTTAACCTCTCTGAGCCATATTTTCATCATTTATAAAGCTCATAATGCCTACCTTGGAAGGATGTTTGGAATTAAAGTAAGTTAGAGGCTGGGTGCAGTGGCTCACACCTGTAATCCTAGCACTTTTGGAGGCCAAGGTGGTCAGATCACCTGAGATCAGGAGTTCTAGACCAGCCTGGTCAACATGGTGAGACCCCCGTCTCTTCTAAAAATACAAAAATTAGGCTGGGCACGGTGGCTTACACCTGTAATCCCAACATTTTGGGAGGCTGAGGTGGGCTGATCACCTGAAGTCAGGAGTTCAAGACCAGCCTGGCCAGCATGGTGAAACCCCATCTCTACCAAAAATACAAAAATTAGTTGGGCATGATGGCGGGTGCCTGTAATCCCAGCTATGCAGGAGTCTGAGGCAGGAGAATCGCTTGAACTTGGGAGGCGTATGTTGCAGTGAGCCGAGATCGCACCACTGCACTCTAGACTAGGTGACAGAGCGAGTCTCAAAAAAAAAAAAAAAAAAAAAATTAGCCGGGGGCGTATTCCCAGCTACTCAGGAGGCTAAGGCAGGAGAATCCTTTGAAGCCAGCAGGTGGAGGTTGCAGTCAGCCAAGATCGTGCCACTGCACTCCAGCCTGGGGGACAGAGTGACACTCTGTCACTCAAAAAATAACATAAAATAAATTATAATAATAATGGTAACAACAGCAAATTGTTATTGAGTTCTTATCGTGCCAGACACGATGCTAAGAATTTCGTATACAAATATTTGGTTGAGTCATCTCAACAAGCCTATCACATGGGAACTCTGACTATCCCCACTTTACAGATAAGGAAGATGAGGCTTAGAGAGCTTAGTGCTGGGCCCATTAGTTACAGTAGTTATAATTATTCAATGTCCTTCAATGTCATGAGAAAGTCACCATCAGCCTGGGAGTTCAGTGGGAGGGTCAGGAAAGACTTGAACAATGAGTTGTTTGCAGATGAATGGGCTTTTGTGTTTGTTTTGTTTTTATTATAAACCCAGTACTATACAGGTCTTTGTAAAAGTACAAAGTACAAAGTTGAAAAGTCCTGAAAAGCTTCTACCACCAAGGAATAACCGCCGAAATAATATCTCATCAGAACTTTCTCCATGAATACACTTTTTAAAAATTATCACCAGCAGTTTCATGGAACACGAATACTCTGTTTAAAAAAGAGATAAGCTTTTATGTCTATATTACTTTATTTTTTCTGAGTACTATTTTTTCCCCTGATTTTCACCGAAAGGGTTGCTCTCTATGTTGTTGTTTCAGCCCTTCCAGTAGTTTAAAACATGCATCTTTAGTTCTAGTCTAATTCATGATTTCCCTTACATCTATTTAAAGTTATAATTTTATTTAACATCAAAGGTTATTCAGTAGCTTTAGTCTTTCCCCTGAACCAAACACATTTATTTATTTATTTATTTATTTATTTATTTTTGGAATTGGAGTCTCACTCTGTCACCCAGGCTGGAGTGCAGTAGTGCGATCTCAGCTCACTGCAACCTCTGCCTCTGGGGTTCAAGTGATTCTCGTGCCTCAGCTTTCCGAGTAGCTAGGATTACAGTTGCCCGCCACTACGCCCAGCTAATTTTTATATTTTTAGTAGAGATGGGGTTTTGCCATATTGACCAGGCTGGTCTTGAATTCCTGATCTCAAGTGATCCGCCCGCCTCGGCCTCCCAAAGTGCTGGGATTACAGCCATGAGCCACTGCGTCTGGCCACCAAATACATTTTAACTTCTTTCCTCTTTCCATTCCTCTTACTGTACCCTTCTAGGATTCCCTGGGTTTTGTTAAAAGCTTCTGGAACTGGAATGTAGCAAATGAATGTTCCATTTAACAGGCAGAGAAAGAGGAGGTGGGCAAATCACAGAACCAAAGTGCAGAGTGGTGAAGAGCTCCAGTTGCATGCAGGGTGGGGTGGCTGCCAGGGCCCTGGTGCCTTCAGTCATTAGTTCTGCAAATGTTCATGAGTTCCACCAGTGGTGTCTGCCCAGCAGAGAGCAGGAGCAGGGGTGAGGGTGAGGACAAGAGACAGACAGAGCCTGGAGGGGCAGTCAGCTGCACAGGAACGACCTTCTGTGCAAGCTGCAGGCTCTGCACCCAGCCAGTACCTGAGCAGGGTAGAGGTCTGATGAACTGACTTATAGGATGGGCTGGAGGACGCAGAGCCTGTGGGTATGAGGCCAGTTAGGAGAGTGCTGTCACCACCCAGGCAGGAGGCCATGAACATCCCCATATGAGAAAGAAGGGCATAAACAGGAAACAAATTTAACAATTAAATAAAAGCACCTCCCTCATGCAGGAAACTCGCCCTGTGCCAGGCCCTGCAGAACCATCTGCAGAGTCATTTCCTCTCTTGGCAACTTGGCAGCCCCTAGCAAACACAATGCATCTTGGCTTGCCATCAGTGCAACCCTTGTTCTTCAGATACAGGTAAAATGCCAAATCCCTAAGAAGGCCTAGAAGGCTCTGCAGTGTCAGCACCAGCACCCCCACCCCTTGGCCCCTCTCTGTGGTCACTTTCTTGGGTCCTGCAGATGCTCCAGGCTCCACTCAAATTCTATTGGATTAAGGCTCACCCTAATGACCTCATTTTAACTTGATGACCTCTATAAAGACCCTATTTCCTAATCAGATCACATTCTGAGGTACCAGGGATTAAGATTTCAGCGTATCTTTTGGGGGTGGGGGACACATGGTCACATCCTGAATGACTATAGCTCAAACAGGTCTTTGTTAGGTGAAAATAACAGGTGGAAAAATCACTGAGCACTTCACCTTATCTCAAACTTATGACTTCAAAATCTCTACAGTGGACTGGTTTCCCAGCTGACCTCACCTTACGTGGAGTGTTGCCCAATTCACACTCTCCAGCCTTCCCCACACTGACTTTAACTTCCACATATTCCTTCACTTCATTCCTGCATAAACCTGGGTATGGTCCCTTCATTGTCTCTCAGTGATGTGGAAAGTTTTCATGATGAGTCTACCCTGCTCTCTCTAATGCAAGTAGGATACAACAAACAGCATGTTAAGTTAGCAAATTTGACATTAACGTCTATCTTAAAAAGTGGCCAACTATGGGCCAGGCACAGTGGATCACACTTGTAATCCCAGCATTTTGGGAGGCTGAGATGGGCAGATGGCTTCAGCCCAGGAGTTTGAGACCAGCCTGGGCAACATGGTGAAACCCTGTCTCTATTTAAAAAAAAAAAAAAAAAAATTAGCCAGGCATGGTGGTGCACTTGTAGTCCTAGCTACTTGGGAGGCTGAGGTGGGAGGATTGCTTGAGCCTGGGAGGTTGAGGTTGCACTAAGCCAAGATGGCACCACTGCACTCCAGCCTGGCAACACAGCAAGACTCTGTCTCAAACTAACAAACAAACAAACAAAAAAGTGGCCAACAGAGGAGGTAGTAGTTTTGTCACTAGCTGTCATGTGGAACCCCAGGACCTAGCCTTTGGTTTCAAATACTGTTTTTCATTTATAGAAACTAGGACCCCTTAGAATGCAAGGCTTAGGTGACAACTGATTCCATGTCTCAGAGAAGGAAAGAATCAGGACAGGACTTGAATGTTCTGTTGTTGCCATAGAGCAAGGATGACTTCAAGAATGTGAAGGACAGGCTGGGCACGTGGCTCATGCCTGTAATCCCAGCACTTTGGGAGGCCAAGACGGACAGATCACTTGAGCAGAGGGGTTCAAGACCAGCCTGGGCAACGTGGCGAAACCCCATCTCTACAAAAAATACAAAAAGTAGCTGGGCATGGTGATGCATGCCTGTAGTCCCAGCTATGTGGGAGGCTGAAATGGGAGGATCATCTGATGCTGGGAAGGTCAAGACTGCAGTGAGCTGTGACTGTGCCACTCCAATCTGGGCAACAGTGAGACCCTGTCGCAAAAAAGAAAGAAAAGAAAGAAAGAGAGAGAGAGAGAAGGAAGGAAGGAAAGAAGGAAGGAAGGAGGGAAGGAAGGAAGGAAAGTAAGTCAAGGACAGTGCTTAAAAAGACAAAGGAGCCAATTTCAAAGAGCTCCCATTGTTCAAGTTGACAGTCGGGCATGAAAGAAAGAAGATGGGAGGAGGAATGATAATTATGGTTAATTGAAGTAAATTGAATCTGTGGCAGGCCATGAAATCACGATAATAACAGATAAAAATTCACATAAAGGGCACAAAAGATGACTGTAATAGAGAAGAATTGAGTTTTAAAATTTTATTTTAATAAAAAGGGAACTATTCATTTTGTCTCTTCTATTAATTATGTGTCTGTTTATAAAGCAAAGATAGGTGCTTGCTTTTGTCTGTGTAAGCAGAAAACCCACAGAGAATGCTGAGAAAGCCAAGTAGCCCTGTTATAGTAGGCAGCTAGTCAGGCACGAGCAGAGCAGGAGAGGGCTTCCTACCACACACACCCACCAGGAATGCCAGGCGAGCATCAGGTGATGGCCAGGCGGTTATTAACTGTTTCTCTAAAATAATAACTGGTAGCAGCTGGCGCCAGGGACAGGCAGATCCCAATAGATAGAAAAAACCTGAAACTGGTGATCAGCAGCTTCCTGATAAGATCTCAGGAGTTGGGCGAGTGGACTCAAGCATGCTCACTAAGAGGCAAAACTGTGGAGTTTAACTGGTGTATGTCCTTCCTCTACGAATTTTAGACTGGCAAGGGAAGAACGCCTCAAGTGAGCATGCGTACAACTCCAGTAAACACACTGTGCATGCCGCCCTTTCCAAGGGCTAGCAGACCACTGCACATATGGACAGCCCAGCCCAAGGGAAGAATCAAGGGAGAAGGAACACCAAGACCCCCGAAGCATGCAATGTATAAAACCTCAAGTCAGGCCGGGTGCAGTGGCACACCTGTAATCCCAGCACTTTGGGAGGCCAAGGTGGGCAGATCACCTGAGATTAGGAGTTTGAGATCAGCCTGGCCAACATGGTGAAACCCCGTCTCTACTAAAAATACAAAAATTAGCCAGGCTTGGTGGTGCACACCTGTAATCCCAGCTACTTGGGAGGCTGAGGCAGGAGAATCGCTTGAACCCGGGAGGCGGAGGTTGCAGTGAGCCAAGATTGCACCACTGTACTCCAGCCTGGGTGACAGGGAGAGACTCCATCTCAAAAAAAAAAAAAACAAAAAACAAACAAAAAAAGACCCAAGTCAAAAGATCAAACCACATACTTGATCTCTAAAGTCGTCCACTTGGCCCTCTTCCAAATGTACTTTCCTTCCTGCTCTAAAGCCTTTTAATAAACTTTCACTCCTGCTCTAAAACTTGCCTCGTTGTCTCCTGCCTTATGCCCCTCAGTCAAATTCTTTCTTCTGAGGAGGTAAGAATTGAGGTTGCTGCAGACACCTACGGATTCACCGCCAGTAACAGCCCTGCTGTAAATATGAATGTTAGCAGAAATAAGAACGTCTGACATGAGATGATGTCAGAGGCAATAATGAAAGAGAAGGGAGTTTCAATAGTAGGTACCAAGACAATAAATTAACCAAAAATATCACTAAAAAGAAGAGCTAACCAAGTCAACCCAATTCTTCATCTTCTAGAATATTGAATATTTAAATTGCCCTACTAGTTATAATAAAATACAAATAAGATATGCATAAGATTTAATACTGCTAACAGATCAAGTCAGTATATCATAATGAGAGAAAAATTCATTATGTAATAATGGTCAAGAGATTATTGAAGTGTGTTATATTAGGGGGAGAAAATATGTTGTGAGATTCTTGTTTGTTTTTTTGTTTTTGTTTTTTGATACGAAGTCTCGCTCTGTCACCCAGGTTGGAGTGCAATGGAGTGATCTCGGCTCACTGCAACCTCCGCCTCCTGGGTTCAAGCGATTCTCATGCCTCAACCTTCCGACTAGCTGGGATTACAGGCATGTGCCACCACGCCCGGCTAATTTTTGTTTTTTCAGTAGAGACAGGGTTTTGCCATGTTGGCCGGACTGGTCTTGAACTCCTGACCTCAGGTGATCCATTCTCCTCAGCCTACCAAAGTGCTGGGATTACAGGTGTGAGCCACCGTGCTTGGCCCGCAAAATTCTAAAATTTATGTAAAAGATGTGTACCTAACTAAAAGCAGTTATATTCCTCAGTGAGATATAATTTCACACCCACTAGGCTGGCTATAGTAAAAAGAGAGATAATAAGTGTTGGCAAGGGTGTGGAAAAATTGGCACTCTCATGCACAGCTGTTGGACAGTGAAATGGTACAGCACTTTGGAAAATAGTCTGACCATTCCTCCAAAGGTTGAACATGGAGTTACTGTATGACTCAGCAATCCTACTTCTAGGTTTATAGCCCAGAAAAATGAAAATCTATGTCTACACAAGAACTTGTTCACAAATGTTCATAGCAGCATTATTCATAATAGCCAAACAACAACGACAACAACAACAACAATAAAAAATGGAAATGGCCTAAATGTCCCTCAACGGATGAATGGAAAATAAAATGTGATATATACAGCCATACGCTAGAATAAAAATGAATTTGAAAATAAAAAGAAATAAAGTACTGATATGTGCTACAACATGGATGAACCTTGAACACATTGTGCTAAATGAAAGAAGCCAGTCAAAACGACACCATGTTGTATTATTCCATTTATATGAAATGTACAGAATAGGTAAGTCCTTAGAGACAAAAAGTAGATGAGTGGCTGCTTAGGGCTGGGGTGGAGTAGGGGAGGGTTAGGAGATTGGGAGTGACTGCTCATGGGTTTGGGCTTTCTTTTGGGGTTGATGAAAATGTTCTGAAATTGATTATGGTGTTGGTTTTGTAACTCCATGAGTATACTAAAAACTACTCCCTGGTTTTGTACATTTATTTATTTTTATTTCATTTTATTATTATTTATTTATTTATTTATTTATTTATTTTGAGACAGAGTTTCTCTCTTGTCGCCCAGGCTGGAGTGCAATGGCACAATCTTGGCTCACCGCAACCTTCCGCCTCCTGGCTTCAAGCAATTCTCCTGCCTCAGCCTCCCAAGTAGCTGGGACTATAGGCATGCACCACCACGCCCGGCTAATTTTGTATTTTTAGTAGAGATGGGGTTTCTGCATGTTGGTCAGACTGGTCTTGAACTCCCAACCTCAGGTGATCCGCCTGCCTCAGCCTCCCAAAGTGCTGGGATTACAGGAGTGAGCCACCACGCCCGGCCTCATTTTATTATTTTATTAATGATTTTTTAATTTTGTGTGTACGTTGTAGGTATATATGTTTATGGGGTACATGAGATATTTTGGTGCAGGCATGCAGTGTGTCATAATCACATCATGGAAAATTGGGTATCCATCCTTTCAAGTATTTATCCTTTGTGTTACAAACAATGCAATTATACTCTTGTAGTTATTTTTAAATGTACAATTAAGTTATTATCAGCTGGGCGCAGTGGCTCATGCCTATACTCCTAACACTTTGAGAGGCCGAGGCGGGCGGATCACCTGAGGTCCGGAGTTTGAGACTAGCCTGGCCAACATGGTGAAACCCCATCATTCCAAAAAATACAAAAATTAGCCAGGGGTGTTGGTGCATGCCTGTAATCCCAGCTACCCGGGAGGCTGAGGCAGGAGAATCACTGGAGCCCAGGAGGTGGAGGCTGCAGTAAGCTGAGAAGGTGCCACTATACTCCAGCCTGGGCAACAGAGGGAGATTCCATCCGAAAAAAAAGAAAAAAAAAGTTATTATTGACTGTAGTCCTCCTGTTGTGCTATCAAATACCAGGTCTTATTCATGCTTTCTAACTATTTTTTTTGTCCCATTAACCATCCCCACGTGTCCCCCATAGCTCTACTCTTCCCAGCCTTTGGTAACCATCCTTCTACTGTCTCTGTCCATGAGTTCAATTGTTTTGATTTTAGATCCCACAAATAAGTGAGAACATGTGATGTTTGTCTTTCTATGCCTGGCTTATTTCATCTAACATAATGACCTCCAATTCCATCCATATTGTTGCAAATGACAAGATACCATTCTTTTTATGGCTGAATAGTACTCCATTATGTATATGTACATTTTCTTTATCCATTCATCTGTTGATGGACACTTTAGTTGCTTCCAAATCTTGGCTATTATGAACAGTGCTGCAGTAAACTATAGTTATTATTTTCTATTGGTTCATCATTTAGTCTTTCTACTTTAAGACAGGAGTAGTTTACCTACCACCATTAAATTATTATACTATTCTGTGTTTTTCTGTATACTTGCTATTACCAGTGAGTTTTGTAATGAGATTTATTCTCATTCATTAACATCCTTTTCTTTCAGATTAAAGAGCTCACTTTAGCATTTCTTGTCAGACAGGTCTGGTGTTGATGAAATCCCTCAGCTTTTGTTTGTCTGGAAAAGTCTTTATTTCTCCTTTATGCTTGAAGGATATTTTCACTGGATATACTATTGTAGGGTAAAAGTTTTTTTCCTTCAGCACTTGAAATATGTCATGCCACTGTCTCCTGGCCTGTAAGGCTTCCACTGAAAAATCTGCTGCCAGACTTATTGACGCTTTGGGAGTTTGATCATTAAATGCCTTGAGGTAGTCTTTGAGTTTAATCTGCCTGGCATTCTATAACCTTCTTTTATTTGAATGTTGATATCTTTCCATAGGTTTGGGAAATTCTGTTATTTCTCTGAATAAACTTTCTATCTCTATGTCTTCTGTACCTCCTCTTTAAAGCCAATAACTCTTAGATTTGCCCTTTTGAGGCTGTTTTCTAGATCTCGTAGGCATGCTTCATTGTTTTTTATTATTTTTTCTTTTGTCTCCTCTGACTCTGTATTTTCAAGGAGCCTGTCTTCAGGCTCACTAATTCTTCTGCTTGATTAATTCTACAATTCAGAGATTCTGTCTTTTCTGAAAGATTAAAATAAATAAAATTTTAAAAAGGCTGGGCACAGTGGGTCACACCTGAAATCCAAGCACTTTGAAAGGCCAAGGCAGGCGGATCAACTGAGATCAGGAGTTCGAAACCAGCCTGGCCAACACAACAAAACCCTATCTCTACTAAAAATACAAAAATTAGCCAGGCGTGGTGGTGGGCATCTGTAATCCCAGCTACTCGGGAGGCGGAGGCAGGAGAACCTCTCGAACCCAGGAGACGGAGGTTGCAGTGAACTGAAATTGTGCCACTGCACTCCAGCCTGGGTAACAGAGTAAGACTCTGTCCCCCCCACAAAAAAAAAAAGAAAGAAAGAAAAGGAAAAAGGAAAAAGAAAAAAAATTTTCAAAAAAATTTTCAAAAGAGTCGTACATTCTTCAGCATGTCCATTGTATTTTTCAACTATTGAATTTCTGCCTGATTCTTTTTAATTATTTCATTCTCCTTGTTAAATTTATCTGATAGAATTCTGAATTCTTTCTCTATGCTATCTTAATTTTTTTTTTTTGGAGATGGAGTCTCACTCTGTCACCCAAGCTGGAGTGCGGTAGCGTGATCTCGGCTCACTGCAACCCCTGCCTCCTGGGTTCAAGCGATTCTCCTGCCTCAGCCTCCTGAGTAGCTGGGACTGCAGGCACGTGCCACCACGCCCAGCTAATTTTTTGTATTTTTAGTAGAAATGGGGTTTCACCATGTTAGCCAGGATGGTCTCGATCCCGATCTCGCGATCCGCCCTCCTCAGCCTCCCAAAGTGCTGGGATTTCAGGCATGAGCCACCGTACCCGGCCCTTGAATTTCTTTTAGTTTCCTCAAAACATCTATTTTGAATGATCTATCTGAAAGATCATATATCTCTTTTTCTCCAGGATTGGTCCCTGATAGCCTATCTAGTTCATTTGATGAGGTCATGATGGTATTGATGCTTATAGGCGTTTGTCGGTATCTGGGCATTGAAGAGTTAGGTATTTATTGTAGCCTTCACAGCCCTGGGCTTGTTTGTGCCTGTCCTTCTTGGGAAACCCAATAATGCTGTGGTTTTGCAGACTCTTAGAAGTACTGCCTTGGTGGTCTTGGATAAGAGCTGGAAGAATTTTCTGGATTATCAGGCATAGACTCTTGTTCTTTTTGCTTACTTTCTCCCAAACATACAGTCTCTCTCTCTCTTGCTGAGCCACCTGGAGCTGGGGGTGTGGTGACACAAGCACCCCTGTGGCCGTCACTGGGACTGCACTGGGTCAGATCTGAAGCCAGCACAGCACTGGGTCTTTGCCAGGGCCTTCCCTTCAGGGCAACAAGTTCCTCTAGGCTAAGAGCTTCTCCAGAGATGCTGTCTGGGAGCCAGGGATTGGAGTCAAAAACTTTGGTAATTTACCTGATGTTCTGTTCTACTGTGGCTAAGCGGGCGCTGACACCACAATACAAAGTCCCTCCCACTCATCCCTCCCCTTTCCTTAGGCAGAGGAGCCTCTCCCTATGGCAACCACCACCACCAGTCCACAGCAATTCTGCCAGTCCACCACCAATGTTCACTTAAAGCCCAAAGGTGGCCGGCTGTGGTGGCTCACGCCTGTAATCCCAGCACTTTGGGAGGCCGAGGCAGGTGGATCACTTGAGGTCAGGAGGTCAAGACCAGCCTGACCAACATGGTGAAACACTGTCTCTACTAAAAATACAAAAATTAGCCAGGTGTGGTGGTGGGTGCCTGTAAGCTCAGCTTCTTGGGAGGCTGAGGCAGGAGAACCTCTTGAACCCAGGAGACGGAGGTTACAGTGAGCCCAGATGGTACAACTGCACTCCAGTCAGGGTGACAGCAAGACTCCGTCTCGAAAAAATAAAAATAAAAATTAAAGCCCAAGAACTCTTCCATCAGCTTGTGGTGAATGTTGCCAAGCCTGGGACTTACCTTTCAGGGCAGCAGGCTCCCCTCTGGACCTGCCATGAGCCAGAGGGGCAGGTCCAGGACAGAATCTACACCTAGATTTGGGGACTCCAAGAGACTGCTTGTTGCTCTGCCCTACCATGGTTGAGCTGGTGCCTAAGGTACAAGACAAAGTCCCCTTTACTTTTCCCTCTGCTTTTCTCAAACTGCAGGAGTCTTTCACCATAGCCACCATAGCTGGGAATGTGCTGGGTTACTGCTGAAGACAGCATGTCTCAGAGTCTCACCCAAGGCCCACAGTGTACTACCTGGTTATTGCTGCTAGTTATGCAGGGCCCAGGGGCTCTTTAGTCAGCAGGTGATGAATCCTGCAAGTACTGGGCCCTTCTCTTCAAGGCAGCAGCTTCCCTTTTGGCCCAGGTATCTAAAAATGACATCTGGGAGTTGGGCCTGGAATGGGGGCCTCATGACTTGGCCCAGTGCCCTATCCTACTGTGGCTGAGCTGGTATCCAAGATGCAAGACCAAGTCCTCTTTACCCGTTGCTCATCTCTCCTTAAGCAGAGGGAAGGAGTCACTTTCGTTGCTAGGAGCTGCACTGCCTGGGATTGGAGAAGGGGTGGCACAAGCCCTCCCTTAGCCATACCGGCTGGTGTCTACCTAGGTCAAGTGCAACCCTAGTCCATTGGCTGTAAGTCCAGCCGAGCACTAGGAGTTGTCTAGGAATTGCAGTCCTTGGGTCCTAGACTGCCTTTTCTTTTTTTTCTTTTGTGGAAATATGGCCTCCTTATGTTGCCCAGGCTGGTCTCAGACTCCTGGGCTCAAGTGTCCCTCCTGCCTCAGCTTCCCCAAGTGCTGGGATTATAGGTGTGAGCCACCGCATCCAGCCTAGACTGCCTTTCAAGTTTACCTAGGACACCAGAGCACTTTGGCCCATGGTGGTGAGGCTTGCAGAGAAACTCAAGTTCCAACCACTGGGACAGGTGATTTCCCTCTGGCTAGGGCTGGCCCAGATGCCCCCCTCCACATGCAGGTGCCGGTCGATCCCAGCATGACTTTGCTCTCCGCTATGACAGTGCAGCAGTGAGTTCAATATAAAGTCCCCCACCCCATGCCCTCCCTCCCCAAAATGCAAAGACTCTCTTTCCACGCTGCAGGGACACTGCCAGGGAGGACGGAAGGGGCGTCACAATTCAAGACTGTCTCTCCTGCCCTCCTCAATGTTTCCTTTAGTGATATGAAGTTAAATCCAGTTACTGTGATTGCTCACCTGATTTTTGGTTCTTGTGATGATGCTTCTCTGTGTGCAGATAGTTGTTAAAAGTTAGTGTTCCAGGCTGGGCACAGTGGCTCATGCCTGTAATCCCAGCACTTTAGGAGGCTGAGGTGGGAGGATCATTTGAGGCCAGGAGTTCAAGATCAGTCTGAGCAACATAGTGGGACCCCATCTCTATAAAAATTTAAAAATTACCCAGGTGCAGTGGTGCAGGCCTGTTGTCCCAGCTACTTGGAAGGCTGAGGTGGGAGGACTCCTTGGGCTCAGGAGGTTGAGGCTGCAGTGAGCCCTGATGGTGCCACTCCACTTCAGCCTGGGTGATAGAGGAAGACTCTGTCTCCAAAAAATAAAAATAAAATAATAATAATAATTGCATTCGTAGGCCGGGTGCAGTGGCTCACACCTGTAATCTCAGCAGTTTGGGAGGCCAAGGTGGGTGGATGACCTGTGGTCAGGAGTTCAAAACCAGCCTGACCAACATGGTGAAACCCCATCTCTACTAAAAATAAAAAATTAGCCGGGCATGGTAGTGCACACCTGTAATCCCTGCTACTTGGGAGGCTGAGGCAGGAGAATTGCTTGAACCCGGAAGGCAGAGGTTGCAGTGAGCAGACATCGCGCCATTGCACTACAGCCTGGGCAACAAGAGCGAAAATCCATCTCAAAAAAAAAAACGCATTTGCTTCTTAGGGGGTTTCAGACATTTAAGAGAATCCTATGTATTAAATGCAAGATTTTTTTTTTTTTTTTAAGATGGAGTCTTGCTCTTGTCACCCAGGCTGGAGTGCAATGGCGCGATTTCGGCTCACTGCAACCTCTGCCTCCTGGGTTCAAGCGATTCTGCTGCCTCAGTCTCCTGAGTAGCTGGGATTATAGGCGCTTGCCACCATGCCCAGCTAATTTGTATATTTTTAGTAGAGACAGGGTTTCACCATGTTGGTCAGCCTGTTCTCGAACTCCTGACCTCAGGTGATCCACCCGCCTCGGCCTCCTAAAGTGCTGGGATTACAGGTATGAGCCACTGTGCCCAGCTAAATGAAAGATTTTAATTAAATGCTTAAATGAGTTTAAGTCTAAAATCAATATTTAGGCCGGGCGCAGTGGCTCACGCCTGTAATCCCAGCACTTTGGGAGGCTGAGGTGGGTGGATCACAAGGTCAGGAGATCGAGACCATCCTGGCTAACACGGTGAAACCCCATCTCTACTAAAAATACAGAAAAATTAGCCAAGCGTGGTGGTGGGCACCTGTAGTCCCAGCTACTCAGGAGGCTGAGGCAGGAGAATGGCGTGAACCTGGGAGGCAGAGGTTGCAGTGAGCCGACATCACGCCACTGCACTCCAGCCTGGGTGACAGAGAAGACTCCGTCTCAAAAAAATAAATAAATAAATAAATAAATAAATAAATAAATAAATAAAATCAATAATGTGTTTTAATCAGTTTGGATTATTAAATCCATAAATGTCTATGTATTAGTTGTGTACATAGTGTATAAATAGAAGAATATTTAATGCTTAAATGCTATTTGTTTAATAAATTCATAAGAGAAACAAAATTACATTAAGTAGAAATACCTTAATGACATTTAGACACTGAGAGGGTGTCCCAGGAAAAGAGAGGGGCACCTGAACTTGAAGGCTGGTGACAGATGTTTAAGGGGCCACTAACATACCAGATAGATTTTATCTTCCTAGACTCATCATCTTTGCACCTATTAATCATGAACAGAGTTAGTTCTCCTGAATTCATCATATGAAAATGTCACAGTGGACAGAGAGACTCAAGAGAAGTGAGTTTTGACTGGGTGAGTCAAGAGGGATTATGGTCCTGAGTAGCCAGGGAGTGATTTAAGTACGGGATTCAGAGAAAGGAGGGACAGAGGAAGAGGTGCTAAAGAAACAACCCTCTGGCCGGGCGGGGTGGCTCACGCGTGTAATCCCAGCACTTTGGGAGGCTGAGGCGGGCGGATCACGAGGTCAGGAGATCAGACCATCCTGGCCAACATGGGGAAACCCCGTCTCTACTGAAAAATACAAAAATTAGCTGGGGATGGTGGCACATGCCTGTAATCCCAGCTACTCGGGAGGCTGAGGCAGGGGAATCGCTTGAACCAGGGAGTCGGAGGTTGTGGTAAGCAGAGATCACGCCACTGCACTCCAGCCTGGCAACAGAGCGAGACTCCGTCTCAAGAAAAAAAAAAAAAAAAAGAAAGAAAGAAAGAGAAAAAAAAAACACCTGCTGCATCAGTCACAACTGCCATCCTGAGGCCAAGAAGAACTAAATGGTCTCAAAATTATTTCACAACTTGTTGCTACCACCTTTCCACAGTGGGGCTTGTCTAGCCAGAGAATCAAACATTAATTCACTTTAGGCTGGTCATGGTGGCTCATACCTGTAATCCCAGCACTTTGGAAGGCCGAGGCAGGAGGATC
Source organism: Homo sapiens (assembly GCF_000001405.40). Lineage (NCBI taxonomy): Eukaryota > Metazoa > Chordata > Mammalia > Primates > Hominidae > Homo > Homo sapiens. The sequence continues at coordinate 31,106,929 of NC_000006.12, forward strand.
ACTTGAGGCCAGGAGTTCAAGACCAACCTGGGCAACAAGCGAGACCCCCATCTCTACAAACAAACAAACAAACAAAAGAGTAAGCACGTCATACACATCATAGAATTCTAAGAACTGAAGTAACCTTGTAACATTTAGTTCATGGTAAATACATAAAGGAAACTATTATTATTATCACCCAACAGTGTGTGTGTAAGTGAAAAATGTCTTTTTTACTGACAAATGGCTAAGTGAATGCTGTTTGTTTGAGGGATGAAATATTTAAATGAGAAGCCAACTCAACTCTTCCTCTTGATCTTAGAGTCATTCTCTCAAGTGTAACTCCCAGTGCAAAGCATCACATCAACTTATCAATCGACTGTGATGTCAACTACAGCCTCTGCACCAGACCAGCCCTCCTCTGTGGGACGAAGAACTATCCTGTGGTCCTGCCAGGACTGCCTCACTGGGACAACGCACTGCATTAGGATCTATCCCTTACGATGGCTCAGGGTTTTCCAGTCTCTAAGGCACCTTATCATTATCTTACCTAAACTTCCTAATAATCCTGTGAGGGAGGCTGGACATCTGCTTTCATCCCATGTTACAGATGAGAAAACGAAGGTCCACAGAGGTCAATGACTTGCCTAAGGTGACCTGGCACAGAAAGTTGTGTGGCAGAAGGGGAACTTCTGTTTCCTAACTTCTGGATAAGCGCCCTCCTAGGATAGGAGAAATGAATGACTCTTGCTACTCCAGCCACCACTTCCACTAATTAACCACTAATAAAAATGTAAAAATCAGTATGCCAGCAGTAGTCCCTGTTGCAAACATTAGGACCTTTCTCATATCACAGATTACTGAAGACATTCCCTCTCTTTTTGTTGTAGTTGTTGTTGTTTGGTTTTTGGGTGTTGTTTTTGTTGTTGTTGTTGTTTTTCTGAGATGGAGTTTCCCTCTTGTCACCTAGGCTGGAGTGCAATGGTGCAATCTCAGCTCACTGCAACCTCTACCTCCCAGGTTCAAGCGATTCTCCTACCTCAGTCTCCCGAGTAGCTGGGATTACAGGCGCCCACCACCACACCTGGCTAACTTTTTATTTTTAGTAGAGACAGGGTAGCACCATGTTGGCCAGGCTGGTCTTGAACTCCTAATCTCAGGTGATCCACCCTCCTTAGCCTCCCAAAGTGCTGGGATTACAGGTGTAAGCCGCCTTTCTTTTCTTTTCTTTTTTTTTCCTTTTTAGTCTTGCCCTGTCACCCAGGCTAGAGTGCAGTGGAATGATCATGGCTCACTGCAGCCTCAACCTCCCAGGCTCGGGTGATCCTCCCACCTCAGCCTCCCAAGTAGCTGGTACCACAGGCATAACACCATGCCAAGCTAATATTTTATTTTTTTTAAAGTTTATTTTTGCTCTTATGATGATGATTTTTTTTTTGAGACAGAGTCTCACTCTGTTGCCCAGGCTGGAGTGCAGTGGCACAATCTCAGCTCACTGCAACCTCCATCTCCCAAGTTCAAGCAATTCTTATACCTCAGCCTTCCCTCTAGCTGGGATTACAGGCGTGCAACACCATGCCTGGCTAATTTTTGTATTTTTAGTAGAGATGGGGTTTCACCACATTGGCCAGGCTGGTCTCCACCTGCCTTGGCCTCCCAAAGTGTTGGGATTACAGGTGTGAGCCACCATGCCCGGCCTACTCTTAATTTTTTTTTTAAGTGCTCAAGCTAATTTTTTAATTACTATTTGTAGAGATGAGGTCTCCCTATGTTGCCCAGGCTGGTCTAGAATTCCTGGGCTCAAGTAATCCTCCTGCCTCAGCTCCCAAAGTGCTGAAATTACAGACATGAGCCACCATGCCCAGTTCCACCATTTTTTAAGCAACAACTAACGTTAATCCAAAGACCACCCTGAGGGGACTGGCCACATCCCCCTGGGACCCTCCACTGTTAAAGTCCATCTTCCCTGAGCCATCAGCACCAAGCATCAGATGAACTTCACTGCCCTGGCTCAGTGTTGCCTGTGTGTGAGCCTCAGCTCCCCATCCTCTCTGGGCCTCAGTGTCTTCCCTGTGCAGTATGCCCCGCAGTGCCCACCCAATGGGGTTGTTGTGAGGATTTGCTGGAAGGGTGTGTGTGCAAGCCCCTTGTCCAGGACCTGGCCTATATGTAAATATAATAAAAGTTCGTTGTTATTTCTGTTAATTGCATATTGTACTTGAATACTCCCTGGACAGATAATGAGAAAAATGAGGTTTGAGTCACCACCCCTGTCACTTGTAACCCTGTGTGACTTGCTTAATCCCTCTAAATCTCAGTTCCTCCATCTGTAAAAATCTTTTTTTTTTTTTGAGACGGAGTCTCGCTCTGTCACCCAGGCTGGAGTGCAGTGGCGCGATCTCGGCTCACTACAACCTCCAACTCCCGGGTTCAAGCGATTCTCCAGCCTCAGCCTCCTAAGTAGCTGGCATTACAGGCACCATGCCTGGCTAATTTTTGTGTTTTTAGTAGAGATGAGGTTTCACCATGTTCCCCATGTTGGACTAGGCTGTCTCGAACTCCTCAGGTGATCCGCCTGCCTCGTTCTCCCAAAGTGCTGGGATTACAGGTGTGAGCCACCGTGCCTGGCCGCAAAAATCTTATAATGCCTTCCTCACAGAGAATAATGAAGGTTAAATGATGAAACGCACAGAGCATTTTAATGCTGAGAAGGGCTTCATGAGGTTGTTGAAAAATGTCAGTGAGGCTCTGGGAGGGCTACAGCCGGAGTGTAGATTAGACTCTGGGTGTAGCCGCATGGCTCAGGAATTGAGTGGAAGAAGAGAGATGATGAGAGAGGGGGAGGGACAGAGAGAGAGGATCAGCCATTCCTTCGTGCCTGCTGAGTGCCTGCCCTGGTCCAGACCCTGTTCTTTGTGCTGGGGGTGCAGCAGTGAACTAAAGAGACAAAGCCCCTGTCCTCGTGGTGCTTATGCTCTAGTGAGTCTGTGGAACAGAGCAGGGGACTGTTGACACCAAATTTAAATGTGCGAATAGGAATGACTATGCAGAAGAGGCCACCAGGAAGAGGGACAGAGAGAAATGAGACTCCAGGCTTGATAGAATGACCTTGGGCTGGTGGAAGAGGCAGGTGCTGAAAACAGGCATGGAACCCCTTGCCCTAGGGCAGGGAGAAACCAAGAGAGTCCAAGCTGGGAAAAGAATCAGGTGAGGAGGTTGAGGTGTTGACGAAGGGAGTGTGCTTGGTGATGGGAAAGGTGGGCTCTGAGGAAGGTGTTCCAGGAAGGACTTCTCAGTGTAGGATGGAGCCTTATGGCAGACGCTGGGACCGGGCATCTTCTCCAGAAATGCCCATCTGCCACTCAGGCAGGCAGGCAGGCAGCTCCCTACCCCTTGAGTTCTGGTGTTTTTCCTACTCCTTTCTCCCCTCCCACAAGCTGCCCAACTCCCAGGGACCTGACTGGATGGAGAGTACATACACCTGGACCACTGCAGGCATGGCACAGGGAAGAGAGAATCCAGACCCAAATCACCTCCAACCCACACCTGCTGATTCTTCCGTGCTTTTGTAGCCTGACCCTTCGCTGCCGTCACTCCAACTCCTGTGTGAGGATGTTGAGCTCCTGGGAAAACCGAAGGGAGGGCAGGAGAGACAATACTGTGACCAAAGGCTGAGACTGTGTCATCACTTGGGAATGAAAGCATCAAATGCCACCCCAGGTGGGATTGTTGGCTTCAAGGTTTTTTTCTCCCTTTCCTTTCTCCCTTTTCTCTTTTCCTTTATCGAGGTCTGCTATTTACTCAGCAACTCTTCAAAGTCTGTGGTTCTGTGGGACACAATGTGCTAAATGATGCCTGTAAGGGAGGAGGTCGATGTACCTCCACTTCCAAGAAGCTTGACTTTCCGGGGAAGAAAAGACAAGTGAAGCGTAGACATTGCGACTTTTGGCTTCCTGTTTCTGTGAGTTGCAAGGAATCCTGTCCACCTGGCCCTGGAGCCGCCTTCTGGGACCTCATCCTTGCCCCCTGCTGCAGGTGCCATCTCAATTAGTCCTGCTGTCCCTCCTCCCCCTTTCAGATTCCAGCACAATTCTGGAACAGCTCTCCCACCTGGCCGGGGTGAGACTGAGGCTCCACCCTCAAGCACTTGGGCACTGATCCTTTGTGAAGGATGGGGATAGCAAGACAGCGTCTGCAGGGGCCCCTAGAGGGCCGTGGGGATGGCTAGAAAACAGGAATGAACAGACTCACTTCAGCTTATGCCCAGACTCACTTCAGCTTATGCCCAGAAACAAAGAAACCAAGGAGAAGCAAATTCCATAAGTGCTTTTATTTTATTGGAGATGAGCAGGGGAGGCACTGAAAAGTGGGGATAGTGCTGGAAACATGCTGACAGGGCCTGGATTGAGCCCACACAGCAAGGGGCGGGAGCAGGACTCTAACTCCCAATGTTGGGTTTCCCTCTATCGTGCTCTAGCCCCACTGCAACCTAGGGCTTGGAGGATTAGGGAAGCCAGCTGGGATGTTCCAAGAAGAGCCAGGAGGGCGGAGGACTCCAGGAGGAAATGGGTTATTGATACCTGGGTATAGATGAATATTCCCCCAGCTGCCTCCTGGATACCGATTAATATTCCCCCAGCTGCCTCCTGGATACCGATTAATATTTCCCCAGCTGCCTCCTGGATACCGATTAATATTTCCCCAGCTGGTACCTGGGGGTTGATTATTGATACCCCAGATTCCCTCAGGGTGTGGCATGGGCCTCGTTCCCCAACCAGTCCCAGGGCCTCCACCTCCCCAGGACACACTGGGATTCAGGGTACCCCAGGGGTGATCAGGCAGAACCCTGTGGATGAGAGACCAGGGAGGGCGTTGGGAAAGGATTTTTCCCCCGGCTCCCAGTGAATTAGAACGGGGCAGTCGTCTGGACTCCGAGTCCTGGTGGAGGAGTGAAGCCTTGGGTGAGAGGCCTGTGGCATCGGGAGAAGACTCCCCAGGCAAAGGGCCACTGCCCGGAGCGAGGGCCGCAGCACTGGAGAGGTAAGAGAGTTCTTCAGGCAGCGCTTCCCCCAGGCGGTCCTCAGCCGCAGCAGCCATCATCTGCCAAGGATCCTCAGGGGGCCAGGAATCCATGGCAGGCAGCCCCCACGATGGAGGCCACCTCTGCACTGCAGAACCTCCTGCAGGTGGGAAGCCATCTGATGCAGGCACGCTGAGCTTCAGAGGAACCCTTGCCAAGTCATTAGACCTAGGGTCCAGAGCGGGCTGCGGATGTTCAGAGTTAGAGGGGCCAGTGGAGGAAGGTTGTCCGAGCTGAGGCAAGTTGGTCCCCAAGTTTTGGGAAACTTTCTCCTCCACAACACCGATGCTCCGGGCAAAGAGGCCTGAGGGAAAGGGAAGATAAAGCAACCAGTGGTCTCCAGTCCCCGAGTCCCCAGTTCCCTTTGCTTCCCCTATGCCTATTCTTCCTTTTCCCTCAGGGACCTAAATGTGTACCCTCCTGCCTTTACCCCTTTCCTTAATTCCTGTTTCCTGGGGGACCTCCAGTCCCTCCTGCCCAAGGGCATCACGGCCTCCATACCTGGGAGATGAAGACAGACCAGGAGCAGGCCCAGAGGAGCGCAGCTCCCTGCCACGCGGCCCTGCATCCTGCTCAGCACCCGATCTCCCTCAGCCCCAAGACAGCCAGCCCTTTATCCTGGTAGTGGGGTGGGGGACAGCAGAAACAGGCTGGGCTAGTGGTTGTGAAGACAATAAACCTCCACATTCCACCCTCATTCCTAATGTGGTCTGTGGCAACAGGTGTCACTTGAATGAATGTCCCAGAGGAAGCTGGGTGTCTCCCGCCCTGGCTCCTTTCCTTGACCTCCCTGCCCCTTCTTGGCCCAGGTGTCCTGGCTCACAGCTCATCCCTGGTTGCCAGCCTCCCCAGCCCTGCTTCTCTATACACAAGGACCTCCACCCTGGGGTCCCACTCTCTTAATTGCCTCTCTCAGCAACAGAAACACTTGTTTCTTTTTGGGAGCTGGATTGTTTCCTCCCAGCACCCCTTTCTCATGCATCCTCATATCTCCTTCACCTTGGCCCCAACCTGCAGGAGGTTCTGGGGTGCAGAAGTGGCCCCATCTGAGGAGCTGCTCCTACATGAGACCCTGGATCTAGCTAGGGAAATGGACCTGGATGCCATCCTTATGAGATACTGACTAATTCCTGCTGCTGCAGTGACAAATTACCATGAACCGAATGGCTTACAACAACATGGATTTATTACTTTACAGTTTTGGAGATCAGAAGTCTAAAACAGGTCTCAGTGGATTAAAATAAAGGTGTCAGCAGGGCTGTGATTCTTTCTGGGGGCCTCAGGGGAAAATCCCTTTCCCTGCTTTTTCACCTTCTAGAGGCATCCTGTGTTCTTTGGCTCATGGTCCCCTTCCTCCATCTCCAAAGCCAAAATCAGCCATTTCTTACACTGTATCACTCAGACTTCCTCTTCTGCCTCCCATGTCCACATTAAGGGACCTGGTGACTACACTGGACCCACCTGAATAATCCATGATAATCTCTGTGAAGTCAGCCGAATAGCAACCTTAATCCCATCTGGAACCTTAATTTCCCTTTGCCATGTAACCTAATTCCTACGTTCCAGGGATTAGGATGTGGACATCTTTGATGGTGTTGGGGTTGAAGACATCATTCTGCCTGCTACTGGTGGTCAGATGTGCCATAGAGTATAAGAAACCTTGGGAGAAAGTGGCTATTTCCAAGTAACAGTAGAGGAGAGCCTTTAAATGCTGCTGTCAAATGGCCAGGACTTGATCCTTGTTGAAGCTGGGCGATGAGAATGTAGAGATTCATTAACAGTTTGTTGGCTTTTAAATATGTTTGCAAATTTTATTATAAAAATGCAATGGCTTTGTTCTCTCCATGGCTTCCGGGAGGCCCCAGGAGTAGGCTTCCCTGGCTGCCCAAGGTCTAAACATGAGCTGTTGGCTGATTCTACTGCTGTGTCCTCCCCACCTGCCCCTGCTGGCTTAACCACTGGAGGAGTGAAGAGCTCCTCTCCAGAACTGGCAGTGGATGGAGCCCAGAGGCCTTTTTGGATGACATGCATGAGTTTTACACAAGCTTTTAATTTGGAGCACAGCAGGAGACTCGAGGAAACACCACATCAGAGAGCCTTCTCTCCCTGCAATTCCCATTCATGAAGCATCTGAGGACCTCGATTCCTGCCATTGGCTGCAGATCAGGGGCCAGATGCTGGACCAAGGGTGATTCAATCCCTTTCTGGTCAATGTAATACATTTTTGCTGATTCCAGACTTGGAGTTTCAACAGTTCTAAATTCAGGACCAGACAGCACCACCCTGATAGGAGGGAATGGGTTAAGTGCTACAGTAGGGGTGAATTCCTTTGCAGCCAAGCAGAGGCTCTGAGAGGTGGCCTGGGGTGGGGGGTGGGGCTCCTACAGGGACAAGCACAATCCACTCTGCCCTCCTTGGGATGCGGGAACTTCGTCCGCCTCAGCCTCTCCCTGCCTGTCTCAGGACTTAAGTCGCATGGACCCCACCACACACTCCACTTTCTCTCTCTTCTCCAGTGGAAGCGACTCCTCTTTCCCACTGGGGCACTCTGCCTTCTCAGCCCTCACCTGAGAGCCATGTTGCTCACACTCTCACTCTGGACCCCAGCAGAGCAGGGAGTGTGAAGATGGAGAGACCACCGGCAGCTCTGTTCTGCCACAGGCTGGGCCTCTTGATCTAGGCCAGTGAGTCACCCTGCTTGGCTGCACTCCCTGCCCTGCTCCCATCCTCTCAGTCCTTTACTCTCTCCACCCCCAGCTCCAGGAACAACGCCCAACTGGCCTCCTACTCAGCTGACAGGAATCTGGTTGGAGTTGTTGTGTCCCAGCCTTCCCAAGCTTCCAGGTGTCCCAGAAACCCAGGAAATCGAGACTCATGACTCCCAGAGAGGATGGCATCTAGAAGGTGAGGAATGCTAATGGTGGAAGAAAAGGAGTTTGGGTGGGGAGGGGAGGGGAGGGGAGGGAGAGGAAACACTGAGGGCCCTAAATAAGGGGAAGGGGGACCCCACGGTGAATGAGGAATGGGAAGAGAATGGATTTCCTGGAGCAATGAGAGAGGAGGGAAATGGCGGAAGGATCTGGGAGGCCAGGCAATCTCTGCTTTCAGTTCAACAAATATTTATTGTCTTCCTCCTCTGTGGGAGCAGCTGGAAGGTAGAAGAGAAACACAGCCCGCTTTTGAAGGAAAATGAGGAACACAGAGACCTCTAGAGGCGTAGGAAGAGCACCACCCAGACTCTCAGAGGAGACCCAGGACTCCAAGAAGGCAAAAAGTCTGCACCTAGTCCCCACAGTTTACTGAGCCATCTGTCCAGGATCCAGGGACAGCAGGGAGCCTGCTTCAACCTCTGAGGGTGCCCCAGTGTCTCCCTCACCCAGGGAATCATCTGAGCACTGAGGGAAGTGGCCACAGGAAGGGGCTGAGATAAGGGCCTTGAGAGGCAATGGGTGTGTTGGGGACGGTGATCTAGGAGGGCGTGGTGAGCTCTGTAATGGAGGGTGGGGTGGAATTGGGAGCGAGAGCCCAGTGGCATATTGGGTGGGTTGACTAGATGTCGAAGAAAGGTCAGTGAAAAGTGGCCACTGTTTCCAGATGATGGTTTGACTTTGCTTTATTTGGTAAAGGGGAAGAGGAAGGTATAACTTCTTCAGGCGTCAGAGGTGCTCTGAGAGCATTTCAGGGGTTTCCCAGTTGAGAAGCTGATGGGGGTGTTACTCAATGGACCATTTCCACACAGTAGAGGGAATTGTAAGGGGTGGTGATCTGGCTGAGGGGCACTGTGGTGGAATGGGAATTTAAACAGTAGGAGAGAATCAAGAGAGGAGCTTTGAATCTACCATTTTGAGAAGAGGAAGGAGGAAGGGGTGATAAGAGAGAGTCTGCAACCTTGGGGTAGTGGAGAAAGCAGAACCACTCTTTTGGGAAGGAGGGAAACTGAGCTAACCCTATGCCTGGGCACTGGACTTCTCCCATATGGGATATAGTGTATGTGCTTGTTTGTGCCCAAGGCATGCACACACACAACAGTTGACTTCTTATGGACTGTTGAGTAACTCTCCTTGGGGTAGGAAAACTTCAGGGTCAGCTAGCTGGGGCCCCAGAGGCTTCACTTGGGCTAGGATATCCCGGATGGAGCGGCAGGGGATCTTTCCAGCACTGCTGGAGCCACAGGGCTTGGCACCAGCGGAGGGATCAGGATGGGGAGAGCCATCGGGGCCCCCAGTCAGTGTCAAGGAGGAGACAGACATGCAAGGGTGACCAGAAGAGCTGGACTTGCTGCCACAAGGCTGAAGGATGATTTTGCCACTGGATTGGGAACTGGAGCTGCTGCTGAAGGAGCCGGTGCCTGGTGGGGAGCAGGGGCTCTGGGAAGCACTGCCGCAGGGATGGTAGGGTAAACCGGAGCTGCTGGAAATGCTAGAACTGCTGGGGACTCGAGAACTGGAGGGAGAGCAGGGTCCCTTGGAGCCCGTGGAGCCGCCTCCACAGAGCTGGACCCCACCAGTCCCCACTGGCTGGAATGCAATGGCCGAGGAAGCTGCCGACTGGCTGGGGATGATGGGGTTGCTGGAGAAGTATTTGCCCTCAGAGATGGGGGGCCCAGCTGCAAAGGAAGGGACCCCTGGAGAGCCTTTCACAGGGTTCTCTTTGGTGAAGTAGCCCACAGGGTAGATTTTACCCTTACTGTAGGTCATGCCTGGAACCAGATAACTGTCAGAGGAGCCACCCACCACCTCGTAGCCACCATAGGATTTGTCTACAGAGGTGATTGGGGGACAGGGCTTGCCTGGAAGGCCACCATTGCTACAGGGGGGACCTTGAACCACTCCAGGGGCACCAGAACCGTGCTGGTCCACCACCACCACCACAGGCCTCTGACCCCCTGACACAGAGTGGGAGCTGGGGATGTAGGGGCCGGAGTGCGAGACGATGGGCCCTCCACTGCAGGGAGAGTCGGGGATGTCCGAACTACAGGGACGCTGGTTGGAGCTGACGCTTTGGCCACTGCTGGATACCCCAAAGGTCTGGGAAGAGGAAGAGCTTTGTCCAGGCTGGGAAGGGTTTAGTATTCCGCGGTAAGAGTTGTCATTGGTTGGCAGAGCAGAGCCATTCCCTACTTGGAAGCTGCTGCTGCTGAACTGAAAGCTGCTGCTGCTGCTCGAATGAGAGCTGCTGCTTCCCGAGTGAGAGCCGCTGTTTCCCGAGTGAGAGCTGCTGCTCCCCAGCTGGGAGGAACCGGATGCACCTTGTAGACTAGAGCCAGATCCGGAGGAGTAGCTGACCTGGGAATACCCCGTTCCTGGCTTAAAAGATCCTGCAGAACCACCCTGGGCAATGCTGGATCCGCTGGAGCTACCACTGGAGCCACCACCAGAGCTTCTGGCACTGGAAATGGAGCTGCCAGAACTGCTGGAGCCACTGTAGCTACTGAAACCGCTGGAGTCACCCTTCCCAGTGAGGCAGGGGTCGTTAGGGGAGGTGATACGCGTGGGGTCCTTACAAGGGTCTGAGAAGGTGCCAATGCTCTTAGCCAAGGTCCCTGTGGAGGAAAGCAGTGGTTAGTAAGGGCCAAGGAGGCTTGGCTTCCTCCCTCACCTTTCTGCCTTATCTCAGTCATCGGCCTCTCGGGTTTCTCCCAAGCAGAGCGCAGGGAGAGTTTAGGGATGGAGAAAGGAGGAAGAACTGGCTATTGTCTCTAAAGGATATTGAGGTGGCCGAATAAAGGCATTTCTTTGTTTGGGAAGGGTGGGCAAACACCAACCAGAAAAATAGAAAATTAGGTGCCAAAGTGAGTGGCCTCAAAGGAATACATTGAATATAAGAGGGGGCTGGGCACAGTGGCTCACGCCGGTAATCCCAGCACTTTGGGAGGCCGAGGTGGGAGGATTGCATGCGCCCCAGAGTTCAAGACCAGCCTGGGCAACATAGACCCCGTCTGTATTTTGTTTTTTAATTAAAATTTTTTTTAAAAAGAAGAGGGAATGGAGAAGGGGCAGGAACAAGTAGGTCTAAAAGAAAGGACCCTGAAGAGACAGAGAATTGGGGAAACTGAGGCTCTGAGGAGTCCAGGCGTAAATTCTTAGGGGAAAAATCCTGGGCCAGACAGTGGGACCAAAGGGAAGAAGACAAAAGGCAAAACAATGGAGGGCTGAGAAGTGGAGACACATATAGAAGGAGACACTGGAAAAAGACAAAGCTGGGGGCAGAGGGGCTGAAATAAAGGAAAGGGCACTCGAGGACTAAGATTTGGTCACCAGCTTCTTCGTGAGAGCCCAGGCTGGGGTCAGGAATGGAAACCCTATTTCCTATCTCAGCACTGGCCATGCCAGTAAAGCTGGGTGGGGGCCAGGATGTGGGGTCACTACCTGTTGCTTCAGAACCTGCTGGTACCAGTGTGTCAGGACACCGCACCCTGAGCCAGCCCTGCTCTCGCTGGCCCAGCCCAGGGAACCAGGACGAAACCCCACGAACCTCCGAGGCTCCTGGCCACAATCAGCTTCCCTCTCTGAGCACACCTGCCTCTGTCCAGCCCCTCATCTGACTTCTGCTGCCTTGACTTCCCTCAGGGATGTGGAGCCACATCTTTCCTTATCTTTCCTTTCCTTTGCTCAAAACCCCAGGCCCAACTTACCCCGTGGTTCCTCCATGACTCTTTCACCTGCGTTCCTTCTGCCTTCCCTAGCCCCTCCAGGTCCCACGTGTTACAAACAGAGCCACATACTAGCAAGTTACTGAACCTCTCTGAGCTTTAGTTTATACATTCAGAGGGGCCAAATTTTCCCTGCCTTCCCACAGCATTACTATGAAGAAAACTAAATGAGATCATCCACCTGGAAGTTTTTTCTTCTTCTTCTTTTTTTTTTTTTTTTTTGTGAGATGGAGTTTCTTGTTGCCCAGGCTAAAGTGCAATAACACGGTCTCAGCTCACTGTAACCTCTGCCTCCTTGGTGCAAGCGATTCTCCTGCCTCAGCCTCCCAAGTAGCTGGGACCACAGGTGCCCGCCACCACACCCAGCTAATTTTTTGTATTTTTAGTAGAGAGGGGGTTTCACCATCTTGGCCAGGCTGGTCTTGAACTCCTAACCTCAGGCGATTCACCTGCCTTGGCCTCCTGAAATGTTGGGATTACAGGCACAAGCTATCATGTGCGGCCAGATGTTTTAGAAAGTGTAAAGCATTATATATTATGAATTATTACTGCCACTCATCCTGATCCCTCCACCAACAACCAGACTGCCATCCTCTGTGATGTCCCTGTTCTCTCCTCAGAAAGAAATTCTCTGCATGCACCTCCACGCCGAACCCCAGCTGTGCCAATTCCCTTCAGTCCTCTGCACGAATCCACCATGCATTGCCTCTCTCTTTCGCTATTCCCTCAGACACCAACCACCCACTAGACCATGGGAAGGTCGCAGAAATTCCTCAAGGGCTATAAGTACCCGGTGGTCAACAACACAGGTCCAGGGGTTGCCCGGCCTGGGGTTGAAATCTTGGCTTTGCTGCCTTCTAATGCATGATCTTGAGCTACTTTCCTAACTTCTCTGAGCCTCAGTGTCCTCATCTGTAGAGTGGAAATAGCAAATCTCCTTTCATACCGTTCTTGTAATGATCAAAAGTGCTAATATAGGCCGGGTGTGGTGGCTCATGCCTGTAATCCCAGCACCTTGGGAGGCTGAGGCGAGCGGATCACTTGAGTCAGGAGTTCAAGACCAGCTTGACCAAAATGGTGAAACCCTGTTTCTACTAAAAATACAAAAAAAAGAAAATTAGCCAGGTGTGGTGATGGGCACCTGTAGTCCCAGCTACTCTAGAGGCTGAGGCATGAGAGTCGCTTGAACCTGAGAGGTGGAAGTTGCAGTGAGCCGAGATTACGCCACTGCACTCCAGCCTTGGAGACAGAGTGGGACTCCATCTCACAAAAAAAAATAAAAATAAAAGTTCTAATATATAATCCAAATGTGCTTAAAACAGAGTCTAGCATATAAAAAGGCTCTAAAAATGATATTATTACTATTAAATGTCCAATCATTATCTTGTAGTGCTCCCATAATAAAAATCACCACCACCATTTATATAAACCTCTAGAATTTCCAAAGTACATATCACATACATTATTTAATTTGAGACACACAGACTAGAGTTAGGTGTCATTAACCCCACTTCAGAGTTTCAGAAACTGGGGCTCAGGAAGTTTAAGAAACTTACCTGAGGCGACCATACAGTGAGGAGCAACCCCCAGACTCAAAAGGCAGATTCCAGAGCCCCTGCCTGTCCCCTTCGCTGGGTCCTCTCCCGGAGTCTCCCTCCCGCCTCCCTCCTGTTCCCAGGGCCCCCAGCCTCCTACCTGGCAGGAGGAGACCAGCCAGCAGCAGTGCCATCATCCCGTGCCCACCCACACGCCCCATCCAGGGTGCCCGAGACGAGCCCATCTCGGACTGCACGGCCTCCTGACTGATGGCAGCTCAAGGACACCCGGGTCCTTTATGCCAGAGCTGGACATTCCCTGGGCAGGAGTCACTGTGGGGAGAGGAGGAGAGGTGGAGGGGGTGGGTGCCCCAGGGGAAGTTGGTGTGGCCGGGAGGAGCGTGGTAATCAGCCCGGTGCATCTGCCTACTCAGCAGCAGCAGTGGCTGCAGTGTGGGGTACCCATGGCCACGGGGCTCTAACGATCCTGCCACCTGACAGGCCTGGCCCCGGCTCCTCATTGCCTAACCCGGAACCAGGCGCTCTGCCCCACGGCCACCCACTCTGGGGCGGCCACTCTTGCCACGGGACCCAGCTGCCTGGCTCCTTAACTCTCCTGCCTACCGTAGCTTGGCCTGTCTCTCCATCTGCCCTCCACTCGCAGTCGTGGGTGTTTCAGCTTTTTCTTCCACACTTGGGTGCCCGCTCCAGCCCCACCCACCCAACCCCAATGAGGTCCCATTCACAGCCCCTGATCTGCTCCTTCCTTAGGACCCCATCACTCCACCTCCACTTTCCTCCTTCAAATATGAGTTCTGCCCCCATCCCCCAGGCTCCCCCTCCCACCACTCCCCAAGTACCAGGCCAGCCACATACCTATTACGTGTTCCATCACCTGGGGAACTTTCTCCTTCTCAGAAATGGGGCACCACATTCCCAAAACCAACTCCCTGACCTGTCGCTTCTGGGGGCCTCTGGGGACGGCATGGTGGCGGGGGTGGGGGGGTGCTGGGAGCCAGGGCTCAGCCAGGGGAGGGGCCTGGGCTGATGACCTCTGTCAAAGCTGGGCCTTGGTTACTCACAGGGCACTCACAGCCCCTCCCCATGGCTGGTAACCCAGACCTCAAGGGTGAGCAAGAGGCTAAGAAGGCTAATTGGGAAGGTGGTGGCCCCATAGCCCATCTGCTGGCCCTGGGCTGGATGAGCGAGCAGGAAGCAGCAGCCAGCTCTGGGCAGGTCGAGGAGGGCCAGGCAGGCTCCCGGGTCCTCAAAGGATGAAAGGAGGCCAGGAGAACCGGAGCCCTGCCATCTGCTGAGAGGGTGGTGGCTTCTCCTCCATTGCGTTGGCCTCCCTCCTGCTCTGGCCCCTGCCCCGCCCCAGCCAATTAATTGCTCACTAGTATTGCGGGAGTATCAGTATCGGAGGGAGGTGCCTGGGAGTCCAGCAAGCTGCCCTCTCCTCCCCCAGGCCTCAGACACCCCTGCTCCCCTCACCCAAACTCACTTCCCAAACCTCATCTCCTCACAAAGGCAGCTCTGTCCCTGGGCCCCTTGGCCTGGTCTCTCCCATTCCCTCTACCTCCTGACCGCCCTTTAAGTTCAGACCAGCAGGAGGATGGAAATGTTTCCTGTCTGTGCTGTCCGATACGGTAGCCACTGGCCACATGGAGCAAGTTTAACCACCAAAGATTTGGAGCTTTAATTTTAATTAATTGTAATGATGTGGTTGGCCACGTGCAGCTAGTGGCTGCCATCTAGTCTTGCTCTTGACTTGCTAGTGACACTCAGAATGGGAGTGGGAGGAAAGAGGGGCTGAGGGAGCTGTGGAGAGAGGAAGGGATAGGACAGGGTCCCCTGAAGGGGGCTAATGCCTTGGGAAAAACAAACAAACAAAAAACACTGGCTTCAGAATGAAGATGACGTGGGTTCAAGTCCCAGCTAACCTCTTGGCTTTGGGCGGCTCTTCAAACCTTTCTGAACTTCCATCTCCTCATCTGTGAAATGGGGGTATTTTAAATAACACTTATTTCACAAGGTTTTTGTGAACATCAAATGGGAAATTATCAAAAAGGTTAAATGGGACAAGGGGTGCAGTCCCCCAGTAGGAAGCCCAGCAAATGGAGCCCTGCAGGTGCTCCTGTCTTCATCCTTCCACTGGGGGAGACAAATAGGCCAGCTTCACCCCCACAGCCCCAGGCTCCCTTTCCTGAGTCTCCAGCCCAGCCAATGCTAGCAGAGTGTCTTCTGCTCCCTTCCTGCCTTGTATAGAGGTGCAGGCACAAATGTGAGACAGAGATACCATTTAAAGTGATGCTGCTCGGCTGGGCACGGTGGCTCACGCTTGTAATCCCAGCACTATGGGAGGCCGATGCGGGCGGATCACTTGAGGCCAGGAGTTCGAGATCAGCCTGGCCAACATGGCGAAACCCCGTCTCTACCAAAAATACAAAAAAAATTAGCCAGGCGTGGTGGTGGGCGCCTGTAATCCCTGCTACTCGGGAGGCTGAGGCAGGAGAATCACTTGAACCCTGGAGGCAGAGGTTGCAGTGAGCCAAGATTGCACCATTGCACTCCAGCCTGGGTGACAAAAGGGAAACTCCGTCTCAAAAAATAAAGTGATGCTGCTCTTTCCGAACATCATTTCCTCCTGTGGGCCTCCCTAGACTCTCAGGCTTGGCTCCCTGGAGGACCTGGGCAAGGAGGGAGGGGGCACTGGGGTAATGAGGGGAGTGGCAGAGGGCAGGGAGGAGTGGACTAGAAGGTGCTGGGCCGTCCCAGGGTGTGAGGGGAGAAGGCAGCGGAACAGTGGAATCTGTGGCTTCTTCTTTTCCAACACAAACTTCCCCTGACCAGCCAGAGGTAGCAAAGTTTGTCTTGTTTTCTTTGTCACATTCCTCCTGGCTGCCGTCAGAACTTGGCCAAGACAGCCAGGCTGGAGGAGGCACAGTCTCTCCTGGCCTCCTGCCAGGTCTCCAGCCGCCCACGTGGACTGGCGGTGCAGCCACGTCCCTCCTCCTGGCTACTCTCTCCTGTCCACTCCTGTCCACCCCATCCTGCCACCCTGGGCTGCCCAGTTCCTCTACTGTCCTGCCCACCTGTGGGCCCTTGAGCTCTAATCCGCCGTGCTTTTGGTTTTTTACTGAAACCCTGCCTTCTGTGCTAGATTTTACTCTGGTGCTCACCATTAATCTTTCTCTCAGTGCAGGTGGTGGAGACCTAAAGCTAATGGGGCTTAGGAGGGAAGAAAAGGGCATCAGCTGAGTGCCCACACAGGCCAGGGTCACCTTCAGTGAAGCTGCCAGTTTGGTGACGTCCACAGTAGTGCAGGCAGCTCTGCTGTGTTCTACAGCAACAGATTCTGGCCCTGCCCCTGCCCGTGCCCGTGCATTGGACCGGGTGAGAAAGTGTGGGTGGCGTAGACACTCTACACCCGAGAAAATCAAGCTCAAAGCACATGCCTTCCATAGGCAAAAGGTGGGGCTCCCAGCCATGTATCATGAAGCAGGCAGGTCACTGTCCCCTCTGGTCCCCTCCACCCCTCCAGCAGCCCTGTGCTGCTGTGTTTGCTGTGCCAGCCTTGGCCCCCAGTGCACGCTCCTCTGCTGTGTTTTGGAAGTTGCACTGAGAAAGAAGAGAAATTGTTCCTTGCCCTGAGGAGCTGCCATCCAGCTGGGGACACACAGCGTAAGACAGCAGCCTAGAGTGGAGAAGCGGGTAGGCACTTGGCTTCAGGGAGGTGGCAGGACTTTCCCCGGGCCTTGAGGAATGATGAGAGAAGCACAGAGCAGGCAGCCAGACGTGGGGCCTTGTGGTGCTTCAGGTGTATTTAGAACCAGCGGATGGCGTGGGTTGGTGTGGGACATGCATGTGGAGGACAGTGGTGTGGGAGAAGGGACAGGCTGCTTGGATCAGGATTGTAGATGACCTACAACACCAGGTTAAAAGAATTTGGATTCTATAGGAATTGCAGTAAATGTGAGAGGGTGCAGGGAACCAAACGGCTTTGAATGATCACAAAGGGGGCTGAAGCATGGCGTGCTATAGTCCCAGCTACCCAGGAGGTGGAGGTGGGAGGAATCCGAGGCCAGCTGGGGCAAGTTGAGGGACTCCATAAAGAGGAGGCTTGGGGCACGAGATCCACCATGTACTGACTGCCTGCTGCAGGCGGACACGGTGCCTGGGTATTTAACATGAGTTGTCTTGTTCAATCTTCACAACAGCCCTACAGGGTAAGTGCTTTTTCCCCCTGTTTCACAGATGAGAAAACTAAGTTGAAATTATTTGTCCAAACCAGCTGCTAACAAGCAAAAATGTTTGAAAAAGATTCAAACCCAGGCCTGTTGGACTTCCAGGCCCACATAGATCCTATTACTCTGCAGCTGACACCATGCTATAAATGAATGGCAGAGGTTCATGGACAGGCTTAAGAGGCTCCCTAAACCCTGTAAGGATGTGTGCAAAATTCCTTATGTATATGAATATTTCTAGAGAGAAGATTTCTGCTGTCAAAGCTGGCCAGGTATGGTGGCTCACGCCTGTAATCCCAGCACTCTGGGAGGCCAAGGCAGGTGGATCACTTGAGCTCAGGAATTTGAAACCAGCCTGGCCAACATGGCAAAACCATCTCTACTAAAAATACAAAAATTAGCCGGGTGCGGGGGCAGGCACCTGTAATCCCAGCTACTCAGGAGGCTGAGGCAGGAGAATCATTTGAACCGGCGAGGCGGAGGCTGCAGTGAGCCGATTTCATGCCACTGCACTCCAGCCTGGGTGACAGAGTGAGACTCCGTCTCAAAAAAAAAAAGTGAAGAATTCTTAAGTGAAGGTTACTGGCTCATGAGGTCCCTCCTCCACAGCTTTCCTCCTCTGGGGGCCTGAGAGTCAGGACAGAAGTTCTAGCACAAGTGTTTCACATAGGGGTCCTTGGTAGACCAGGGCTTAGGCTTGGAAGAAGGAAAATGGAGTGAGCACGAGGAAGAGAAAAAGCCTGGAAAAGCAGCTTATTTTGTGCTGAGGAGAGAAGGAAAGGGGCCACCCAGAGCTGCTCTGGGGCTCCAGGGCCTGTGGGCTCCTCCCCTCCTTTGTTCCTCTCTGCTTGGCTCCAGCGAGAGGCCGTTTCCTCTCCTCTCTCTTTCTCCATGACACCCACGCTTCCCTGTGGACTCACCTCTGCAGCCACAACAACACCCTCCTCTCCTTGGCGTGGAAGCCAGCGCTCCTGGCCCACTCCCAGTAGGGGATGTCCTCTGAGTTGTTTTTCCTGTGCGGGGAGGGGTGGACTGAGTCATCCACACTCTTCACCTGGTTCCTCTGGTGACCAAGAACATAGAAGGAGAGGGCACATCCCCAATCAGGTGTTCCGAACATCTCTGCGAAGACTGACCCTCCTCAGCCCAGGTGCTCCTATGGGACTGGCTACACTTCTTGACTCAGTTTTAATCTCTCCTTCTCTGCCTTCCTGTTGGGAATACCCCCTCACTTCTGTGGCTTCTTTCCTGTAGTAGACGATCAAGGGTGGAATCTACAGTCCGTGAGCCCTGACTTCTTGCCTTCGTCTCAAATAGACTCTGCAGCCAGCCATCTATGCAGCGCCCCAGTGGCTTTGAAATGCAACAGAAACCATCACCCCCGGACCGTGGGCTCCATGCCAGTGGGCAAAGCACAGGTGCGTTCACTGAGTTCCCAGCACATAGCTGTGGCAGGCACTTGGTGATATTTTGAAATAAAAGAATGGAAGAATGTGTCCAGGCTGTGCTTCCCCTTTCTACCTTACTCAGGGACATGGTGCCCTCCTCTCTGGTTTCCTGCCCTGTGCCCACCCCCCACCCCCTGCAAGCACAGCTCTTATGTGCAAAGCCCCTGTAGGTGCTGGAGGGATTCACTGATGGCCTTGGCGGAGGTGGCAGTGGGCATGTGCACTTGGCTCTGACACAGCCACTCATGCAACACCCTGTGCAATCTCGGCCTGGGCCTGTGTGTCCTGCCCTCATTCCTCACGGGTGACTGTCTCCCCTGAGCCACTCTTCTCTCTATTGGATTAGCTCCTTTTATTTCCCCCTAGGGATGCAACACATTTTTATGAACAAACAGCAGTGTTCACATGGCTGTGATGAGGACGTACTGGGGTTTCCCCTGGACATGGCATTCATCTGATGCCAGTGGTGGGCAGGACCGTGCTGTATACTTTAAAAAAACCCTAGGGGGTTCTGTTAGGTGCCCCCACTGCAGCATAACGAGTTGCCCCTAGCTGAGAAGCCCTGTCCTGGGGCCTGTCCACACCATCCTCTTCCTGAGATTATTCCTGGTGTGGGCGGTGCTCGGCTCTACCTTTCCTTCCTTCTTCCCTGCTTGGCTCCTGGTCCAATGGCTCTCTCCTCTATGGAATGGCCTCCTGGAGCTTGGCTGGGTCAGCCCCCACTTTCCACTCTTCCCATGCCTGTCCTCACCCTCCCAGCAGCCCTGCCAGCCTCCGACGGGCCCAGGGCACTGCAGCCGGCACTTGGGAGTGAAGACTGGGGCCAGAGCCAGGCTCACCTTTGGCCACTGAATCCTGAAAGAGGAGGAATTTGGCAAGTGGGGTTCTGCCCACCAAGCTTTCTTCCCCCCGCTCCCCTGAGTCTTTTCCCTTCACCCCCACTTCCCAAAAGCAGCAGGGAGTCAGCTGTAGGGCAGTCGCTCCCTGGCCGAAGCCTTCCTGGCTGTTTCCGTCACACCCTGAGGCCACCCCTCTTATCTTGCGAGGAGGGAGGCACACAGAGGCTGTGATTAGCTGTCACAGTAGCAAGACTGTTCCCCTCTCTGTCCTGCGGAGTGAGTGTGAGGGAAAAGAGCTCTCCTTGTCTGCTCATTATGTGCACCTGTTAAATAGTCATTCTTTCCACTAGGGCTATTAGTGGTTTTTATTGTTACTGGTCACCCAGAATTAGAGTCACAGCTTCCTCGACAGGGTGAAAGAGAGCGCCAGGGTGCAGTCTGAACGTGCTCTCGGGAGAGGAGAGGCCGGAAAGACTTGTACCAGGAGGGACTTCTAGGCTGGGCTGGCCCTTGGAGCGCCTAGGAATGGGACTGTGGTGGCCCATCTTCCCTCCTGTGTTCTGGGCTGTCTGAGTGCCTCTGGGTGAGAGTCCTCACAGGAGGGAGCTTCTCCTACTGCCCAGTGTCTCCCTGGCACCTGAGGCATCACCCAGCACACAGAGGTGACCAGGAAACACAGACTCCTGTTAGAGAGGCATCTCGTGTCCCGCTCTGTTCTCTTGGGCCCTGGGACTAGAACATCTTCACCAGAGACCGGCGCCGACTCCTTGGCAGTGTGTAACATTCAGCTCGGTGCCGAGGTCTGCCCATGCAGGACTGATCTCCATTCTCTCAATGACCCTAGGAGACAGGAATTATTATTATTATTATTATTATTATTATTTTGAGATGGAGTTTCGCTCGTAGCCCAGCCTGGCCAACATGATGAAACCCCATCTCTACTAAAAATACAAAAATTAGCCGGGTGTGGTGGTGAACACTTGTAATCCCAGCTACCCGGGAGGCTGAGACAGGAGAATCACTTGAACCCGGGAGGTAGAGGTTGCAGTGAGCTGAGATCGCACCACTGCACTCCAGCCTGGGCGACAAGAGCGAAACTCTGTCTCAAAAAAACACACATACACACACACGTTTGGGACCATCCCTATTTCCTCGCTCTGCCTAAGCTGCGTCACACCATTCATCACTAGGTGACATCCTACTACAGATACCTTGTAAGCATCTGTGTATCTCTCTCCTCCCTCACTGGAAGGCAGCTCCCTGAGGGCAGGGCCCTGATCCCTTTGACTGGCTGTGGTATCCTCTCCTGTAGACCGCTGGCTCATGAAATAATCAGGGAGAGAATGTGTAAATGATGATCGTGAGGTCCACTTGGACAGGCAGCCTGTGCCTGAATTTTCCTGAGGGCTTCAGAGCCTGTCTCGCCTCGCCTCACATGCCTGGCTCACCTTAGAACGGTCACCTTGACGGCTAAAGGGACACCTGTGTGCCTTGATGGTGGACCCAGGGAGTGGATGACATTAGTGAGGGAAAGAGCAAAGGCTCTGGAGGAAAACACCTGAGAGGAGTCTCTAGGCTGCCCTCTGGTGGCAGTTCTTGGAACAAGACCTGAGAGCCGCTACCTTGGCTCTCAGCATTGCACGGGAGTTTAGAGGTTATTAAAGAAATCCCCCTAAAGTCCCATCCCAAGGTCACATAGAGAACGAATGGCTAAGTAGCGACAAGAACCCAAGTCACAGTCTGTTGATCTCACTACCATGCTATCCTGCCTGCCCCCATCACAGGAGTTGAGATTATACTGCAAAAGGAAAGGTGGGGATGGGGTGGGGACTGGGGAATTTGGGGAGGGAATTGATTACTGCCTCTGAGGATATTAGGGGGAAAAACCCACAGGAGGTGCATTTGGCTTAATTCAGCAAGTTTTTTGAGTTTTGATTCAGTGCCAGGCACCTGGTGGGCACTTAATTAAAGATTAGCAGGAGAAGAAAAATGTACAGTAAGAGAGCTTAAGTTTATACCAAAGCGAGTCTTGGGTCTAATAATTTTGAAACATGAAATTGGCAGAGAAGTTAGGAGTCCCTCCTGGGCTCCTACGTCAGGGTTTGCCCCCTCTCTAATTTAACTTTTTATCAAATTTTATTGTCATGATGTATATGTTTGTCCTCCCTAAACACAGAGCCCCTTGAGGGCAGGGAGGACTGAAACTGCTTCCTGGGACTGTCACCATCACATAGCACCCCACAGAGCAGATGCTCAATGAATGTTGATTGTGTGGGCAAATGGATGAACAAATGAATGGTTTGGAGTTTCCCTGGCCAGAGAGCTTCAAAGCAGGGCAGACAACCATCTCTTCTGTCTAGTCCAAAGACATCATTCGCTGCCCAAGGCTCAGGGCTGTGCCTGGTGCTTTCTCAAGGTAACTTAGCTTGTATAATTAGATTTTACCGTGATACTAGTTCTAGGTTCTTTTTTTTTCATTGGCCAAGCATTTAATAACTATCTGTCATGTCCAAGGTTCTGGGCTATTGTTCTGTAAATCTGTGATCCTATTCTGTTATTTAATTCCGTGACTCTGTGTTGACATAGACGTGACGGTGTCCCTGGGGCATTTACTCCTAGGTGAGCTTAGCCAAGGCAGGTAGAGAGGAACCAGCATTGTCTAATCTGAATGGATAAGCCAGCACAATGGGTTTCCCTCTGCAAATACCTCCATACCATCCAGGCCCACTCAGTCTCCTCCCCAGCTAATGAAGACAGCCTGTTTGAGTGCCAAAATCCACTGCCTATTAATAGGTACTAAAATCTCCAATTGCCTCATGCCTCCCCCTTCTCTTTCCCACTCACCTACCTGCCATGTCAGCCTGGGAAGAATTGGTTTGCAGCCAGGCAGTCCTCCATCCAGTCTTGACTTTGGCACTTGTGATATGACTTGCACAGGTGAGTTACCTCTCTCAGTGTTGGTTCCTCTTCTGTGAAATGGGGCTAATCATTTGCTTTATTGAGTGCCTTCTAGGCTGGGTACTAGGAGAGAAGGAAGGGATACAAAGAAAGACAAGGCACAGTTGCTGTCTTCAAGAAGCTCATACTTTCCAAGGAAATAAAGGCATGGAAACCCACATAGTGCTGTGGAATTAAAGAAGGCAGCATGCTGTAAAGAGCCCCAGCTTTTTCCCTAGACAACATCAGGGGCTCAGTTCCTTTCCCTCCTTTCTCTCTTCTTTAAGAATTTCTCTTAGCTGGACATGGTGGCACATGCCTGTGGTCCCAGCTACTCAGGACGCTGTGGTAGGAGGATCCCTTGAGCCCAGGAGGTCAAGGCTGCAGTGAGCTGTAACTGCACCTCTGCACTGTCCAGCCTGGGCGACAGAGCAAGAACCTGTCTCAAAAAATAAAAAATTAATTAATTAATTAATTTTTTTTCCTCCTAACTAATTCCACGTTATTGGCTTGAGGGTCAGTTTGAGGGGTCCAGACCTCCTTCTTCCTTTCTATCCTTAGCTTCCTGCCACAGTATACCCAGAGATGTATGTGTTTCTCCCCACCCTAGGCACAATTTTTTTTTTTTTTCTGAGACAGCTCTGTCATCCAAGCTGGAGTGCAGTGGTGCAATCATATCTCACTCCAGCTTCAACCTCTCATGCTCAGGTGATCTTCCTGCTGAGTAGCTGGGACTACAGGCATGCACTACCATGGCCTGGCTAATTGTTTGTTTTTTTTTTTTGAGATGGAGTCTCACTCTGTCGTCCAGGCTGGAGTGCAGTGGTGCGACCTCGGCTCACTGCAACGTCCGCCTCCCGGGTTCACGCCATTCTCCTACCTCAGCCTCCCGAGTAGCTGGGACTACAGGCGCCCGCCACCACTCCCGGCTAATTTTTTTTGTATTTTTAGTAGAGACAGGGTTTCACCGTGGTCTCGATCTCCTGACCTCGCGATCCGCCCACCTCGGCCTCCCAAAGTGCTGGGATTACAAGCGTGAGCCACTGCGCCTGGCAACCTGGCCAAATGTTAAACATTTTTTTTGTAGAGGTGAGGTCACACTATGTTGCCCACACTGGTATCAAACTCCTGAGCTCAAGCGATCCTCCTGCCTTGGCCTCCCAAAGTGCTAGGATTACAGGTGTGAGCCACTGTGCCTGGCCCTTTTTTAATTTTAATTTTTTTTTTTTTTAGAGATGGGGTCTTGCTGTGTTGCCCAGGCTGGCTTTGACCTCCTGAGCTCAAGCAATCTTCCACCTCAGCCTCTGGAATAGCTGGGATTACAGGTGCGCCCTACCATGTTCAGCTAACTTATTTTGTTTGTTCAGAGACAGGGTCTTGTTATGTTGCCCAGGCCCAGGCACAGTTCTGATAGAGGAGAGAGACTTTCAGATATGAGCTCCTGCACTTGGCACCAAGATCTTCCCTAATTTTCCCCCGACCTGTCTCTCCAACATGTCTCTCTCTTCTTCGGGTTATTTTACTCCAATCATTCCGATCTACTCTTTGTTAATTGGGCCCTTCATTAAATAATTTAGCCTTTCACAAAACACACATTAAGTGTGCATGACGGCCCAGGCACTGTATTCTCTGTCAGGGTTACACAGATGAATAAAGAGCTGGGATGGGCCAGGCGCGGTGGCTTATGCTTGTAATCCCAGCACTTTGGGAAGCCAAGGCTGGTGGATCACGAGGTCGGGAGTTCAAGACCAGCCTGGCCAACATGGTGAAACCCCGTGTCTACTAAAAAAAAACTACAAAAATTAGCCAGGTATGGTGGCGGGTGCCTGTAATCCCAGCCATGTGGGAGGCTGAGGCAGGAGAATTGCTTTAACCCAGGAGGCGGAGGTTGCAGTGAGCCAAGATCGTGCCATTGCACTCTAGCCTGGGTGAAAAGAGCAAGACTCCGTCTCAAAAAAAAAAAAAAAAAAAAAAAGAGCTGGGATGATGTAGTGGTTAAAATCAGTGTTGTTAGCATAGCACAGACCTAAATTGAAATCCCAGTTCTGCCATTTGTCCCCTGTGTGACCTTGCATGGGTCACTGTACCTCTCTAGGCCTGTTTCTGTCTTCTGTGAAATGATCATGATAGCATTGTTATGCAAATTAAACGAGAGCTTAAGCTGTAGAGCATTTACCAACAGTGCCCTATGGCACATGCGCAGTAGAAAGTAGTTGCAATAGTGTGTAGCAAATACTTTGCATCCTAGGTTGGATTCCCCAGAAGCAGGCCCTGAGACAAAGATTCAAGTAAAAGAGATTTATTTAAAACTAATGAGAAGTTGGGCAGGGTGGCTCACGCCTATAATCCCAACACTTTGAGAGGCGGAGGCAGGAGGGTTTCTTGAGCTCAGGAGTTTGAGACCAGGTTGGGCAATATAGTAAGACCCAATCTCTACAAAAAAAATTAGCCAGACGTGGTGGCATGCGCCTGTGATCCAGCTACTTGGGAGGCTTAGGTGGGAGGATCGCTTGGGTCCAGGCTTCAGTGAGCTGTGATCGTGCCACTGTACTCCAGCCTGGGCAACAGAGTGAGAACTGTCTCAAAAATAAATAGGCCAGGCACAGTGGCTCATGCCTGTAATCTCGACACTTTGGGAGGCCAAGGCGGGCAGATCACCTGAGGTCAGGAGTTTGAGACCAGCCTGGCCAACATGGTGAAACCCTGTTTCTACTAAAAATACAAAAATTAGCTGGGCATAGTGGCGCATGCCTGTAATCCCAGCTACTCAGGAAGCAGAGGCAGGAGAATCGCTTGAACTCAGGAGGCGGAGATTGCAGTGGGCTGAGATCACACCACTGCATTCCAGTCTGGGCAACGAGAGGGAGACTCCGTCTCAAAAATTGAATAAATAAATAAATAAATAAATAAAAGTAATGAGGGGACTGGGCATGATGGCTCACACCTGTAATCCCAGTGCTTTGGGAGGCCAAGGCAGGAAGATTGCTTGAGTCCAGGAGTTCCAGACCAGCCTGGGCAACATGGCAAGACATCATTTCTGCAAGAAATTAAAAAATTAGCCCAGTGAGTGGAGTGCATCTATAGTACCAGCTACTCAGAAGGCTGAGGCAGGAGGACCACTTGAGCCCAGGAGGTTGAGACTGCAATGAGTTATGATTGTGCCACTGCACTTTAGCCTGGGTGACAGAGTGAGACCCTGTCTTAAAAAAAAAAAAAAGTAATGAGGGTGGGGAGGAGTGGAAAGGGAGTGGGAAAGTGGGACCCAAGCACATGAGTGGAACCAAGCTAAGTCTCATGGAGGGCTGGGGTACTGACACCTTCATATTTGTCCACCGTTGGTTAAGGTCTGGGGGCGGGCTGGGGGAGTGGGAGGGTGGTGGCATGTGAGGATGTGGGAGAGAAAAATTTCCAAGTGCTTCCAGCTCTCTGCCCCTGGAAAAGGTCCCGGCAGAGGCATAGGCGGGGCTGTTGGGAGTGATTTAGCACTCTGGGAGTCCGTAGGCACAAAAATGGTAAAGGGGTTCAAGAAGAAATGCGTAGAACACAGTCCCTGCCCCACAAGGTTCATGGCCTGGGAAGGGAAGACAGACATGAATAAATCATTGCCATAGGGTGACTGGGGTGAAGGGCGTTGGGGGTCGGGTGGGGTGCGGGAAGGAGTGGTGTAGGCAGAGGCATCCCTGAGGAGAAATGCAGCTGGTTTGGGAGAGGACGGCCATTCCAGACATAGGGAACAGCACACACGAAGGCTGATGCACATACGCGCAAGGGCTGGTCCCTAGAGCTGGTGGTTCTGGCCACGAGAGCTCATCACCTGGGGGCAGCTTTTGTACCTGCACCCTGTATGAGGCTCCGGGTCTGCCCTTCCTGGTCCATCCTCCAGACACACTGCCTGTTCTTCTCTCAGGTCCCGCTCCGGGCCCTCCTCCCAGAAGCCTCCCCTGACTAGTCCAGCTCACCGTGACTCTTCTGAACTCACGGCGTTTACTGCCAAGGCTATTACGTTGGCGCTCGCTCATGTCATTATTAGGAAATATGCATTTTTACTGTCTTTGATGTTATTTAAACTTGCCTGTAAATTCTGTCTCTCTCAATTTTAAGTTCTGAGTAGAAACTACATATTTTTATTATTTATATTCTTATATTCTCCCATGGCACCCGGCATTCGTGGACACATTGAGGAAGTAAGATAATGAATGAATGAATGGGTGAATCCAGTCCAGCTTGGGGCCTATTTAATTCTACTAGGCTCAACCTACAATTCTTATGTGTTCTCAGATTATTCCTAAACCCTAAGCTTAGTTTTGTTTCATTCGGACCACATGTAGTTTTTTTTTGTTTTTTGTTTTCTGAGATGGGGTCTTGCTCTGTCGCCCAGGCTGCAGTGCAGTGGCACGATCTTGGCTCACCGCAACCTCTGCCTCCCAGGTTCAATGGATTCTCCTGCCTCAGCCTCCTGAGAAGCTGGGATTACAGGCGCCCGCCACCATGCCCAGCTAATTTTTTTGTATTTTTAGTAGAGACAGGGATTCACCATGTTGGTGAGGCTGGTCTCGAACTCCTGACCTCAGGTAATCCACCCGCCTCAGCCTCCCAAAGTGCTAGGATTACAGGTGTGAGCCACCACGCCTGATCTCATGTGTAGTTTTTTGGTTTTTTATTTGTTTGTTTTTTTGAGATGGAGTCTCGCTCTGTCGCCCAGGCTGGAGTGCAGTGGCACGATCTCGGCTCACTGCAAGCTCCACCTCCCAGGTTCACGCCATTCTCCTGTCTCAGCCTCCCGAGTAGCTGGGACTACAGGCGCCGGCCACCATGCCCGGCTAATTTTTTTTGTATTTTTTAGTAGAGACTGGGTTTCACCATGTTAGCCAGGATGGTCTCGATCTCCTGACCTCGTGATTCGCCCGCCTTGGCCTCCCGAAGTGCTGGGATTACAGGCGTGAGCCACCGCGCCTGGCCTCTCATATGTAGTTTTTAATGAGAGTTACCACATAAGCAAACTGGGTTCTAAGTGGTGAAATTTAAGGTTATGCAACCTCAGTTTCTTTTAACCCCTCTTCATCCCTAACCCTGGTCGGATACTTGATTGACAGTAGACCATTGGGATCTCTGAGCTCCTGTCCTTCTAACCTGATTGCCTCTTTAAAGGATTTTGAAAAACTATGTCCCTTGCACATTTGTATTGTTTTGAGACACGGTCTCACTCTGTTGCCCAGACTGGAGTGCAGTGGTGCCATCTTGGCTCACTATAGCCTCAACCTCCCAGGGTCAAGCAATCTTCCCACCTCAGCCTCCTGAGTAGCTGGGACTACAGGTGCGGGCCACCACATCTGGCTAATTTCTTAAATTTTCTGTAGAAACAGTTTTGCCATGTTGCCTAGGCTGGTCTCAAACTCCTGGCCACAAGCAATCCACCCGATTCGGCCTCCCGAAGTGCTGGTATTACAGGCATGAGCCACCTTGCCCAGCCCCTTGCACATTTTTAAGTCAACATTTAACATTTGTAATAATTTAATAGCATTCCAAAGGGTATGCTTTTCAAGGAATTGCAAATACATGTTAAAAATCACATCACTATTTATGTATTTATTTATTTATTTATTATTTTTGAGATGGAGTCTCACTCTGTCTCCCAGGCTGGAGTGCAGTGGTGCGATCTCGGCTCACTGCAACCTCTGCCTCCCAGGTTCAAGCAATTCTCATGCCCTAGCTTCCCGAGTAGCTGGGATGCCCAGCTAAGTTTTTTGTATTTTTAGTAGAGACAGAGTTTCACCATTGTCCAGGCTGGTCTTGAATTGCTGACCTCAAGTGATCTGCCTACCTCAGCCTCCCAAATGCTGGGATTACAGGCGTGAGCCACCATGCCTGGCCATGTCAGTTTTTAAAATTAAAAACAATTTGTTGTGCTCAGTCTGTCGGAGACTGCACGTCACTCTAAGTGTAGCAAATTGAATATAATGCCATAGAACTTTCATATCTGTTAGCATCCTTTTAAAAAATACGTGAACAAGCCCTTGAACAAGTGTTAGAAACAGTTATTCTATTTGTATTGCAATTATTGCAGTTAACCAAAACTAGGAATATTCACAAGGATTAAACATAAAAAGTTGGTCAGGCGCGGTGGCTCGTGCCTGTAATCTCAGCACTTTGGGAGGCCAAGATGGGCCGATCACTTGAGCTCCGGAGTTTGAGACAAGCCCGGGCAACACGGTAAAACCCCATCTCTAAAAACAAAACAAAACTAAACTAAACAAATACAAAAAATTAGTCAGGGGTGGTGCACCTGTAGTCTCAGCTACGCCAGAGGCTGAGATAGGAGGATTGCTTGAGCCCAGGAGGTTGAAGCTATACGAGCCATGATCGTGCCACTGCACTCCAGCCTGGATGACAGATGGAGACCCTGTCTCAAACAAACACACAAAAAGACATGAAAAGTAACTTATTGAAAATGCATCTCTTGGCCAGGCGTGGTGGTTTACACCTGTAATCCTAGCACTTTGGGAGGCCAGGGCAAGCAGATCCCATGAGATCAGGAATTCGAGACCAGCCTGGCCAACATGGCAAAATCCCATCTCTACTAAAAATAGAAAACTTATCTGGGTGTGGTGGCACACACCTGTAATCCCAGCTACTCGGGAGGTTGAGGCAGGAGAATCACTTGAATCCAGGAGGCGAAGGTTGCAGTGAGCTGATATCTGTCGTGCCACTGCACTCCAGCCTGGGCGACAGAGAGATAATACGTCTCAAAAAAAAAAAAAAAGAAAAGAAAGAAAATGAATCTCTTAATGAGATGGGAAAGGTTGATTTGTTTCCTATTGACCTTTGGCGGCTCTGGGAAGGGCACTCTGGTCAGGCCCAGGACAAGCAGGAGATTCATTCTAGCGGGGGGCACATATTAATCTGGAAACTGATTCCCTTAAAACTGGTCCTGCCGACACACCCCTGGGAAGGTTTGCATATACCACTAGGGGTATCCAAGCCATAGGCCATTAAACAGAGATGAAACTTGCCTTCCCATTCTTTAATATAGTGTTCTCAGAAAGGGAGAAATGTGGGCCTGAATGTTATTGTGACTTGCATAGTGACATTTCCAACCCTCCTCCTGCTAAGCCCCAGAGCCTTACATGCTGGACATGGGCAAGATAGGAACTCAAGTTACTTCCAGGTCTCCGTAAGTTTAGGACTGTGAAGAGGGCATCCTAATAGTCAAAAACATAAGTGTTGGCCGGGCACGGTGGCTCACGCCTGTAATCCCAGCCCTTTGGGAGGCCGAGGTGGGCAGATCACGATGTCAGGAGTTCGAGACCAGCCTGGCCAACATGGTGAAACCCCATCTCTACTAAAATACAAAAATTAGCCGGGCATGGTGGTGCGCACCTGTAATCCCAGCTACTCAGAAGGCTGAGGCAGGAGAATGGCTTGAACCCGGGAGGCGGAGGTTGCAGTGAGCCGAGATCGTGCCATTGCACTCCAGCCTGGGCATAGAGTGAGACTCCGTCTAAAAAAAAAAGAAAGAAAAAGAAGAAAGAGGCCGGGCGCTGTGGCTCACGCGTGTAATCCCAGCACTTTGGGAGGCCCAGGCGGGCAGATCACGAGGTCAGGAGATCGAGACCACTCTGGCTAACACGGTGAAACCCCGCCTCTACTAAAAAATACAAAAAATTAGCCTGGCGTGGTGGCGGGCGCCTGTAGTCCCAGCTACTCGGGAGGCTGAGGCAGAATAGCGTGAACCCGGGAGGCGGAGCTTGCAGTGAGCCGAGATCGTGCCACTGTACTCCAGCCTGGGCGACAGAGCGAGACTTCGTCTCAAAAAAAGAAAAAAACAAATAAATAAAAATAAATAAAAAAGACCCTAAGTGTTAGTTAAAGCAGCAGCCTAGATTCAGAATTAAGAAAACATGATTTTTATTTTTCCGTTTCATGGAAGCAGCAGCTGTCTACTGATAGTTCCTGCCGCCGGCCACCAGGTGGCAGAAGGGAACACAGTACCATAGCCCTGCCCCAGCGATCGCGCGGGCAGGAAGACCGGGTGGGAGGTAGGTGCGGCCGAGGCCTGGAGGCGAGGTAGGAGAGTAGGCTTAGGCTGTCAGAGGAAAAAACGGGCGATGTGAGGACTAAGTATGGATCTCAGGAGGGGACAGGAAATATTGAGAACACCACCTTACGGGTTCAGAATAAAACCGAGGGAATGAGGAAGAGGTTTAAGGAGACAGGCTAAATTGGGAAGAATTCACGGGGAATCAGAGGGTGGAGAGGGCGTGGGTGCCTGGAGATGCCTGGGAACAGAACGGCTGAGGGGACTCCATTATCTGTACTCTTCCCGGGGTGGGTCTAGGTCTGGCTCCTCCTGAGGTCGGTTGTCCACCTCAGGGGCAGGAGGCCAGGGGTTTTCTGGGGGCTGGGGTCCTGCCGGCCAAGGGTCGTCAGGCCGGGGAGGTTGAGGAGGATCCGTTCTAGGCGGTTCAGGGAGCCAGACTCCAGTTTCAGGCAGGTCTCTCCAGGGACGACTGGGGCGGGTAGGCGGAGGATCTTCAAAGAGAGGGGGTGCCCCTGGCCAAGGGTCACCGGGGACTGGGGGGCCCTGAGGCAATGTTGGGGAGCCTGCCTCCTCTCGGTCCTCTGCGGGTGGGTGAGAGGGGTGGCCCTCGCTGCCTGAGATGCCTGTAAAGGAGGAAGGAGAAAGGTAAGAGGTGGTGAGGGCTTCTCTCCCCAGCCCCACCCAGCCCCAGCCCCAGGAGGAGGAGCCTGTCTGGATGGACGCAGCCTGAACTGACCCACAAACAGACCAAAAAAGTCACTCTCAAAGAGCTCTCGGTAGGTTTGTAAATACTTAACTGATGGTAAAATGTCATGAACCCCTACCCCCGATGGATCTGAACCGTTCACTTGACCCACTTTAAACTGACCAGACTTCTCCAAATAAGCTCCATCCACCCCTGGTTGGGGTACCCCACTAGCTTTGTCCTCAGGCCAACCTGCAACCCAAAGTGGGTTACACCTTGGCCCCCAGGCACACAGACCCCAGCTTTACAAGGACCCCAGCTCCTTAACACAGATCCCAGCTCCGAGGAAACTCGTCCCCCCCACGTTAATCCTGACCGACTTTGCCACATGGAGCCAGCAAACCATTTCTGGTGAGAGCCAAATGCACCTTCTGCACCATGTCCCCCACCCAATGTGTCCAGAAAGCCATTTCTGGTGAGCCAGATGCACCTTCTGCGTCCCCTGAATTCCTGTCCCCAACCCCATGCGTCCAGTTCACCTCCGCCATCTTGAGTATCCCTCATCACCCCAAACTGCAGTCCCTGCCTCTGTTCCCACCTCACCTCTGGTGTGCAGGCAAAGGACCAGGATCCCCAGGAGCTTCCAGTTGAGGATCATGGCTATGTACTGGCCCCCAAAGCTGGGGTGGGCTGAGTCTGGGTGCCTGGGAACCCCAAGAGGCTTTATAGGGGAGGAGTGGAGGAGGGACCAGCCCAGTGGCACAGGAATACCATCAGAACAGAACTGGTCAAACCCGTTGGGAAGGCCTGGGCTGATGTGTCACCCCTGAAGGTGGCGTCCCTTATTTTAGTCCTCCAGCCCAGGACCCAGCTGCCTGCTCTCCCTATCATGACCCAGAGCCTGCGTCACCCCACCCTGGTTTTCACACCCTCCATCCACATCCTGGAGCAGTCAATACCCACTTGGCATCTCCGTAATCACAGAGATGTCCACCTTCATCCCTTGCAACTATTGGAAGCCAAAGAATGGGAGCAAACCACGCGATGGGCGTTGGGAAGCACCGTAATTACAGGGTTGGGAGGCAGGATGCCTGCGCTGAGGGAGGAGGTGCTTTTCAAACCTGGGATGCAGCTGGGACAGTGTCAGCTACTACCCCAGCCTCCCCACTCACCCCCGCACTGAAAGCTCCCCCTGGGGCTTCGTGCTTTCCTGGGCACTTCCCTTCCCCCATGGGATCCAGGCATCCTGCTCTCCACCATGTCCTTCTTCAGGCATGCAGGGGACCTCCAAGCAATGATATCCAAGGAATTCCATCTGGCAGCCACCCAGGATGACTGCAGAAAAGGAAGGACACAGGAGGATATCCTGGTTCCCTCTTCCCACCCAGAGCTGTTTGCATCAGTCCTGCCAATGGCTCCGGAAGAAGCTGCCAGGCTCCAGCAACCTCAGCCCCTTCCTCCTCCCTCAGGAATCCACCTATCCGCCTCTAGGACCTTGGCTCCAACTCTATTGTACTCGTCTCCTCCCTCCCATTCTCCTTTTGGTCTCAGCTCCTTGATCTAAGCCTCCCAGAGAGACCCCTAGAACGTTTCCCTCAAGGACCTTTCTGCCTGGAAGTCTGTTAGCCTTTCAGAAGTAACATGTCCAAAATAAAATTTGATTCCTCCCAGGTTGTTCCCTGCCTGGTCCGCTACCCCACAGTAAGGAACACCTTATTATGCAATGGCGTGATCTCATCTGTTCCCTCCAGGGCTCACCCAGAAACCTTCGTTACACTCCTCCACCATCCACCTGCAAGCCCCTCCACACCCTGTCCAAACCCAGCCCATCATCCTGAGCCACCATCTCCCCTGAGCCTCCCCAACACCCTTCTAATTGGCCCCCTTGCTCCCACTGTTTATCCCTCCCCCTCACACAAAGCCTGTCCTCCACCAGCAAAAGAGGTCTTAAAATATACATCACGCGGGCCTGGTGTGGTGGCTCGCGCCTGTAATCCCAGCACTTTGGGAGGCCGAAGCGGGCGGATCACCTGAGGTCGGGAGTTCAAGACCAGCCTGACCAACATGGAGAAACCCCGTCTCTACTAAAAATACAAAAATATTAGCCGGACATGGTGGCACATGCCTGTAATCCCAGCTACTCAAGAGGCTGAGGCAGGAGAATCGCTTGAACCCAGGAGGCAGAGGTTGTGGTGAGCTGAGATCACACCATTGCACTCCAGCCTGGGCAACGAGTGAAATTCCGTCTCAAAAAAAAAAAACATATATATATATATATATATATCAGGCCAGGCGTAGTGGCTCATGCCAGCACTTTGGGAAGCTGACACAGGAGGACCGCTTGAGCTCAGGAGTTGTGTGCGCTGCTTCACCTGCAGCAAGACTGTGGGCAACACGTGGGAGGCCTACCTGGGGCTGCTGCAGTCCAAGTACGCTGATGGGGACGCCCTGGGCCTGAAGCGCCACAGCCGCTGCCTGCCGCATGCTGCTGGCCCACGTGGACCTGATGCGGAAACTGCTCAATTATGCCCTCCTGGGGAAGTGACCTGGTTAGACCCACCCATCTGCTGCGCTGGGTGCCGGGAGCAATCGCTGACCACAGTGCGTGGATATGTGTACCTCACTCTGGAAGGGACCATCCAGTAAGTCCCTCAGGAAAAAAAATGTACACCAAATCATGTTGCGTCTTCCCTTTGTTTGGGGAGTGAGGACAGGTTCTCGCTCTCTTAGGCTGGGGTGCAGTGGTGCGATCACAGCTCATTGCAGCCTCAACCTCTTGGGCTCAAACAATCCTCCCAACTCAGCCTCTGGAGTAACTAGGACCATGGGTGCACGCCACCATGCCCTCCAATGTTTTTTATTTTTATTTTTTATATAGATGGAGTCTCCCTATGTTGGCTGGTCTCAAACTCCTGGGCTCAAGCGATCCGCTCACCTCGGCCTCCCAAAAAAGTGCTGGGATTCAGCTACTCCGGAGGCTGAGGCAGGAGAATTGCTTGAACCTGGGAGGTGGAGGTTGCAGTGAGCTGAGATTGTGCCACTGCACTCCAGCCTGGCAACAAGAGCAAAACTGTCTCAAAAAAAAAAAGTGCTGGGATTACAGGCAGGAG
The DNA here is from genome assembly GCF_000001405.40 of Homo sapiens. Classification (NCBI taxonomy): domain Eukaryota; kingdom Metazoa; phylum Chordata; class Mammalia; order Primates; family Hominidae; genus Homo; species Homo sapiens. The sequence goes on from NC_000006.12 coordinate 31,141,479, forward strand.
CCACAACACCGGGCCCCCTTCCCTGTTTTTTTTTTTTTTTTTTTAATTCTTCTTCTTTTTTTGAGGCTGAGTCTCGCTCTGTCACCCAGGCTGGAGTGCAGTGGCATGATCACGGCTCACTGCAACCTCCACCTCCCGTGTCCAAGCAATTCTCCTGTGTCAGCCTCCTGAGTAGCTGGGACTACAGGCTCACACCACCACACCTGGCTAATTTTTTGTATTTTAGTAGAGACGAAGTTTCACCATGTTGCCCAGGCTGGTCTCAAACTCCTGAGCTCAGGTGATCCGCGTGCCTCAGCCTCCCAAAGTGTCAGGATTACAGGCGTGAGCCACCACACCTGGCTTTCTTCCCCGTTTTTAAAGAAGTACTCCAATGGCTTTCTATTGACTTACAGTAAAATCCAAACTTGGCCACATCTCGGCCTCGCAGCAGCATCCTTGAGCATTCTCTACAGAGACCTCCTGGCCTCCACAGGAGCCCACTTCAGGCAGGCCTCTGCACAAGGTCCCCTGCTCAGAGGCCTCTCCCCAGAGTCAGTTTCTATCATATCATCGTACTGTACTTTCTCTTCAAGCACTTATTTGAAACGATCTCGTTCATCTGTTTAGGTCCCATCTGCTCGCTCGCTCTCCCACTAGGATGTAGGCTCTCAGGGTCCAAGTGGCCCCCAGGCTAATACAGTGCCTAGCTCTGACATTCCTGTTGAACGAGTGAATGTTTCATCTTCCCCACTCCTAGCATTTATCATCTTCCAGAAGAAAAGAGTTTTAAAACAAAAGTTGAGAATAAAGAAAAGCAGGAGCTTCCCAAACATTTCCAAAGCTGCCTAGAAAAAGGATTTGAAAAGGTGCCACCCATAGAGAGAGCTATGGGTGGGACCACTTCTCACAATCTCCAAGAGAGATGGCTGCAGGGAGAATTCCCACAGATTCCCAGAAATAACATTTCCAAACAATGGCTCCTTCTGTAGTCGTCTTTATTTAGAGCAGAATTCAGACTCAGCTGGTATCCCCCAGGGCAACCCCAGGATGGGGAAGGGCTGGTCTGTCCCCACCCACTTCTCCAGGATCCTCCCAGCCCCCAGGCTGGCTTTCCCTCCAACTGTCAGCTGCTTAGCTGCTCATCTGGGGATTGGAGCTGGAGCATCTGTCAAGGTTGTCTCCTTGACAAACAGCTTCCTCTTTGGAAATGGCTTCACTCAGGTCCTGCAGGTCATCGAGCAGGACAGAGAGGGACCCTGGGAAGGAAGACAGCAGATGAGCACCAGACAAGGGAAGGTGCTCGTGGTTACAGAGGAAACAGGGCTGGCACAGGAAATGAGGAATGGGAGAGAGGAGGCTCTTTGGTCCAAGCTGGGCATCGCTAAAAGAGGCTAAGGGCCTCGAAGGACCGCAGAGAACAACACTCATCATGCGAGAGTCTGAAGAGGAGATTCCTGAAGTGCGCGCATTTGTCCCTTGTCCCTTTGTGCTTGGCCCAAGACCTTTTATGGACTCCCTGGTGGGCACTGCTGCTGCTACAGGTGCAGATGCTGAACACTCTGGAGGCCTGGGGCTGGACACCACAGATTTCTTCTTATCCAGTAGGGAAGGAAGAACTGTCAACAGTCGCTGCTGCTTGTAACGGGAGAGGAGACCTTCCTGCTGCAAGGTGGCCTGGGAAGGAGAGGGTTAAACCTAGCCCGGATAGAGCCTCCCTCACCATCCTCTTTCCACACCTCTAGCCCAGGAACCAGCCCAGGATGGGCCCTAGTGTCTGCCTGTCTGCCCTCCTGTCTCCTACCAGCATGAGGTTCTTATCCCTCTCTAGCTCCTGCAAGCGCCGGGCCAGTCGCTGCCCCTCCTCCTTCCGGGCCTCCTCCTGCAGACGCCTGAGTTCCTGGCTCCGCTCCTTTTCCTGGGCGGCTCTGCGCTGAATCTGGCGTAAGGAGACCACTACAGAGAGGCCAAGGCACAGAGGAGGCAGGTGTGAGTCAGGCCAGAGGCAGCCAGGCACCATGAAGACAGGAACAAACGCTGGGTCACCAACTCTGTGGCTTGGGGAGGCTGTTCTGCTCTGTGGATCTGTCTCTTCTGTACAGTTGGAGGGGTGGGCTGATGCTCTAGGAGCCTGGGAATCTGAACCTAAGTATCTTCCTCATCCCTGAACCATCCTGGAGTTCCTCAGGGGAAATCTGAACATGAACTGGGTTAGATTTTGTGCAATTAGTGTTCACTGTCTTAAAGTGTGATGATTGCAGCTATATAGGAGAATTTACTGGCTTTGGGAGATGCGGCTGAACAACTTATGTTTACAACTTACTTAGGCGTGGTGGCTCACGCCTATAATCCCAGCACTTTGGGATGCCAAGGCGGGCGGATCACGAGGTTAGGAGCTCGAGACCATCCTGGCCAACATGGTGTAATCCCGTCTCTACTGCAAATACAAAAACTAGCTGGGCATGGTGGTGGGCGCCTGTAATCCCAGCTACTTGGGAGGCTGAGCCAGGAGAATGGCTTGAACCCGGGAGGCAGAGGTCACAGTGAGCCAAGATCATGCCACTGCACTCCAGCTGGTGACAGAGGAAGACTCTGTCTCAAACAACAACAACAACAAAACATTAAATGATTACAACTTAAAGTGATTCAAAAGATGTACAAATATGTGTGTATATAGATAAGAGACCAAATGTGGCAAATGTTAACTGCTATATTTAGTTAGAGAAGATACATTCATTACACAATTCTTTTTTTGACACATGGTCTTTCTCTATCACCCAGGCTTGAGTGCAGTGGCACAATCTTGGCTCACTGCAGCCTCGACCTCCCGGGTTCATGTAGTCTTCCCACATCAGCCTCACAAGTAAGCTTGGGGTACAGGTGCCCACCACCAGGCCTAGCTAATTTTTGTATTTTTAGTCGAGACAGGGTTTCGCCATGTTGTCCAGGCTGGCCTCAAACTCCTGACCTCAGGTGATACACCCACCTCGGCCTCCCAAAGTGCTTGGATTACAGGCATAAGCCACCGCGACCGGCCATATGCTGTTTCTTAATCTGGTGCTGGCTACATGGGTGTGTTCACGATGTGATAATTCATCTGTGCTACTCCTGGATACCTTCATTACTTCCTGTAATGAAGCTTTGAACACACTTTGAGGGGAAAATAATAACCTTATGTCTTAACACTTCCTTCTTCCTGGAAGGCCCTATCCACCCTGGCAAGGCTCACCGGCCTTGGCATGCTCCCTCCGAGCCTCGTTCAGCCTCCTCTCTGTGTCTGAGAGTTGCTCCCGCAGCCGAGTTTCCACTTCAGCCACCTTTTCTTGCAGGGCTGGGGTGAAAGTGCAGACGGGGCATATCAGCAGGAGCTTTGATTCGCAGTTCCCACCCCACCCTCCAAGGGAAGCACCCATTTCCCTCTCGACACCTTGCCCGTAGAGTTCCTGCTGCTGGGTCAGCTCCTGCCGCAGACTGGCAGCCTCCTCTGTGCTCTCCTGCTGGCCCTGGCGTGCTACCTCCAGCTGCAGCCCCAAGCTAGCCAGGGACTCCTGGGTCTGCTGCAGCTCCTGCTCCAGCTGCTGGGCCACCTTGCTCAGCTGCTGCCGCTCTGCCTCCCCTAAAAGGAGGGGGTGCTGGGTCAGGCCTCTCCCAGCACCCTAGACACCGGGTTTTTCCTCATCCTCTCCACCCCCTGGCAACCAGGTGTACCTTGCTCCCGAGCCCGGCCCACCTCCTGCTGGATGAGGCGGGCACTCAGCTGCAGTTCTGCATCCAGGCGGTTCCGTTCTTCCCGCAACTGCTGCAACTCAAGGCTCACGTCTGTGACCGGTGGTGGTAGGGGACAGCTGGGACGGGGAAGAGAAAGAGTCAGAAGAAATCACCCAGCTGCCTGATCCCAAAGCCCCCATCCCACCTCAGTCCTCATGGTTTTGGGGGTCCCAGCAGCCAATGCCCTAAAGCCCCATCCACCTCAAAGTGCCCAAACTTCACCTCTCCTGGCGCAGCTGAGCAAGGGCAAGCTTTCGAGCAATCAGGCCTGGAGGGGAAAAAGCAGGGAGAAAAAGAGATGAAGTTTGCATGGGAGAAAGTGGGGACAGGGAGTAAGGGAAAAAGAGATGCAAGGACTGGTGAAAGGAGGAAGGTGAATGGATGTGGGATCAGAGAGAGCTGGGTCAGGAAGAAGAAAGTCCGAGCTGGTGGGGTGGGGGCAGGACGTGGCTCGCAGTTGTCCTACGCACCCCGAATGGTGTGGACCTTGCGGACAGCATAGCTGAGTCGGTTGTTGAGGCTGGGAAGCTGGGCGGCAGCCCCTTCCACCTTAGCCATGGTGGTCTCGAGCCAGATCTGAGAGCTGGAGAGGGCACAAGTCACTGATCCTCCATGCCTCCCCTCATTCCCAAAGGACTTGCTGTGCCTTGTATAGACAACTCCCTCTAATCCTGTCCCATTATACAAGTACAGAACGCACAGCTTCCGTCAATTATCTAAAGGACCCTTGCCCCAAGAATGCATTAAATGACTATCTTTTTAAGCAACCTGTTAAGCTTATTTCTCACAACTGTGTTTTGCTCACTATCGTGTATCAAAGAGTAAAGTTATCCTCTCTGATCAGGGGCAGTGGCTCCTGCCTGTAATCCCAGCACTTTGGGAGGCCGAGGCGGGCGGATCACCTGAAGTCAGGAATTGGAGACTAGCCTGGCCAACATGGTGAAACTCTCTCTACTTAAAAACACAAAAATTAGCCGGGCATGGTGGCTCATGCCTGTAATCCCAGCTACTCCAGAAGCTGAGGCACGAGAATCACTTGAACCTAGGAGGTGGAGGTTCCAGTGAGCCAAGATCGCACCCCTGCCCTCAAGACTGGGTGACAGAGCGAGACTCCATCTCAAAAAAACAAAAGAAAACAAAGTTATCCTCTCCAAGCCCAGGAGTGTCGATCTAGCACCAATGACGGGCAGGTCCACATGCTTTACCAGCTGGCTGTGCCAGAAGTAGGACCAACCTGGCTCATGAAAACTGAGCAGCTTAAACAGGCCCCAGGAGGAGGCCAAGGAGTGTCTGGGGCCGGGCTGGGGTTTCCTCAGGAGAGTCCAGGTCTGCACCCACAGAAAAACACATGATGATGAAGGCTTGCAGCTGCATCCCCAGCAGCACAGCAAAGTTCACTTTGATCTGGAAATTGTTCCAGTAGATGCTTCCAACACCTACCACAGCCCTTATTAAAGTCTCCAATTACCTAGAGACAATCTAATAAACCCAGCAACAATCAGAGTTTGGACTGCTTTAAGCCTGGAGGACTTTCGGCAAATGCATCATTACACAGACCATTTCTGTGATCGCCTGGTACCAAAGTCAAACCCTGTCCACAGTGCATCTTTCTGTTCTCCTGGAGGTAGGGGGCACCCGCGATGGATTGAACCTGGGTGGTAGGTCATTATAACTAGTTTAATTCCGTGCAAGTTTGAAATTTTTCATAATTTTTAAAGCTAAATTAGTCCCTAAGGTACAAATCCAAGAGAAGGAAGTGATGGGCAAGGACTCATCCTGCATCTTAATTTCGCTAAACCAAAAATTATCTTTATCTAAATTAACCCATCAAGAAGAGCCTCACGATAACAATAAACATTTACAAGCCAGAGACTGTGCTAAGAACTACCTGCCGGCCAGGCACGGTGGCTCAAGCCTGTAATCCCAGCACTTTGGGAGGCCGAGGCGGGCGGATCACGAGGTCAGAAGTTTGAGACCAGCCTGGCCAACACAGTGAAACCCTGTCTCTACTAAAAATACAAAAAAGTAGCCGGGTGTGGTGGTGTGCACCTGTAATCCCAGCTACTCAGGAGGCTGAGGCAGGAAAATCGTGTGAACCCGGGAGGCAGAGGTTGCAGTGAGCTGAGATCGTGCCATTGCACTCCAGCCTGGGTGACAGTGCGAGACTCTGTCTCAAAAAAAAAAAAAAAAAAAAAAAGAACTACCTGCCTTGGGTACCTCAGTGTCTAAGGCTGAGGGGAAGTCATCACCAGCACAAAGAAGCTTTGCTGTTTTCTTAGAGGTTTTTCTGAAGGTCATACAACAATTGTAGGTAATGAAACAACTAGGAAGTTGGTAGGAGAGACAAAGGCTGGCAATTGATTTAGAAGGAAACTAACTGGCTTACATTTTAGATGGAATAGTAAGCAAGTTAAGTATATAATAAGCAAGTAAGTATATAGCTTTAAATAAATAGACTAGGCCAGGTGCAGTGGCTCACACCTATAATTCCAGCACTTTGGGAGGCTGAGGTGGGTGGATCACCTGAGGTCAGGAGTTCAAGACCAGCCTGGCCAACATGGTGAAACCCCGTCCCTACTAAAAATGCAAAAATTAGCCGGGTGTAGTGGAGGACACTGGTGGAGGATGCCTGTAATCCAGCTACTCGGGAGGCTGAGGCAGGAGAATCACTTGAACCAGGGAGGTGAGGTTGCAGTGAGCCAAGATTGCGCCATTGCACTCCAGCCTGGGTGACAGAGCGAGACTTTGTCTCAAAATAAATAAATAAATAGACTAAATTTTTCTCCAGTGAAACGGATTGCCCGTAAAATTTTAGAAAAAAAAAGGAAGATGAAGTGTCTACACTCTCCATCCTTGAACAATACTGCAAGTAAAGATCCTCCCGGGTGCTCTATTTAGCTCAAGCCATTACTAGACTGAACTGCAGGAGGAAGCAAGGCCTCACCTCCAGCCAAACATGCAACGGGAAATTCATAACAAGCAATCAGGTATGAATGCAGAAGGGGCTTCCCCAGGAAAAGAAACGAACACAGGAACATTGATAGAGCTAAATCTGCCCAGCCCTGTAGCCTCCAGTGGCCACTTTCCAGCCCCTCTTGCCTGAGGATCCTCAGCAACAAGGTGCCCAGGAACCTGAGGTGGCAGAAACACTACTCCACCCACCCCTCCATCCCTGATACCTGCTGACAGCATTGACCACAAGCCTCAGCTGCTCCTCGGCTGAGGCTGTCTGCTGCTGCCACCGACGCCTGGCCTCCTGAGCACGGCTCAGCTCCAACTGCAGGCCCTGGGGAGGATGCAGCAAAGGACAGGGTCCCTCCCTAAGTCCTGGCTGCAGCCCCGGAACAGGGGCTCCCTTGCCCTCCCCGAGTCTCTAGTAGGCTGACACCAACCTTGGCACCCATACGCTCCACCTCCACCTCTGCGGCTTTGTCCTGCAGGGATCGCTGCAGGATGGCCTGCTCCTGGCTCTGGGATGTCACTTTTTCCTGGAGTGAGGCCACCTGGGGGAGGAGAGAGAGCTAGGCAGGGCCCTCTAGAGCTAAAAGATGAGGGGGGCACTGGAAGCAAAGTGGCAGGTGCAGAGATCTCTGTAAGAATGCCATGCAGGGGCTGGGGGGAGGGGGGGCGGGCGACGGGGGTGGGTTGCAGCACGGTGGCTCACACCTGTAATCCCAGCACTTTGGGAGGCCGAGGCAGATGGATCACTTGAGGTCAGGGGTTCAAGATCAGCCTGACCAACATGGTGAAAGCCTGTCTCTACTAAAAATACAAAAATTAGCTGAGCGTGATGGCATGTGCCTGTAATCCCAGCTACTCGGGAGGCTGAGGCAGGAGAATCACTTGAACCTGGGAGGCGGAGGTTGCAGTGAGCTGAGATCAGGCCACTGCACTCCAGCCTGGTGACAAGAACAAGACTCCTTCTCAAAAAAAAAAAAAAAAAAAAAAGAAAAGAAAAAGAATGAATGCCACGCAGGGAGACAGAAGCTTAGGTTCTGAGGATGGAATCTGAGCCCAGTGTTCCATGTTCCACATTCCATGTGCCCACTCAAAGATGGGAATAGCCCTTGACCCACCCCACAAGACCCACCAACTGACCATGCCACTCTCCTCAGATGCTGTCACCTCCTCAGAGAGGCTGTCTCTGAGCATCCTACCTGAGGCTGACTCACCCCACAGTCTCTCCGTCACATTATCTTTTGAATTTTTCTTACTACTTTCTTTTTTTTTGAGAAAAGATCTCGCTTTGTCACCCAGGCTAGAGTGCAGTGATGGGATCACAGTTCACTGTGGCCTCGCCTCGACCTCCCAGCCTCAGGTGATCCTCCCACCTCATCCTCCAGAGTAGCTGGGACTACAGGAATGAGCCACTATGACCGGCTAATTTTTTGTATTTTTAGTAGAGACGGGATTTCACATGTTGCCCAGGCTGGTCTCGAACTCCTGACCTCCAGTGATCCACCTGCCTCGGTCTCCCAAACTGTTGGCATTACTTGACTGGGCACGGTGGCTCACACCTGTAATCCCATCACTTTGGGAGGCTGAGGCAGGTGAATCACCTGAGGTCAGGAGTTCAAGACCAAAGTGATCGCATTATAGGTGTGAGCCACTGCACCTGGCTTCAATCTTTCTATCGCACATATAATTACCCAACATTATCTGTTTACTTGCGTGTTCTGTGTCTCTGTTCTAGAATGCAAGCTCCACATTTTAGTTTTGTTCAGGGCTGTGTGCCCAGCATGTGGCAACCACTCAATAAACACTGGTTGAATGGATGCCACCTTCATGGAAGGAGCAAGGTGCTGGGAGGGAATACCGGGAGAAAAGAGAGTGCAGTGACCTGTCCCTTCAGCTGCTTAACAGAGTCACTGTGTTCCAGCTCCTGGGCCTTTAGCTGCACCATGAGGGCAAACACCTTCTCCCGCCAGCGGTTCAGCAGGGACTGGCACTTCCTGGTAAACTCAGGCTCCAGGGAATCTGAAGGTTGAACCTGAGGGAGAAGGAGTGGGAGAAAAGTGTGGGCTCCTGGGGGAGGAGAGGAAGGAGGTGGCATCTTTGTTTCTCCTCTGTCCTGCCTGGGCAACATGAGCTACAGCAAGAGGAGTTCACAGGAAGGAGATCTAAGCAGGTTCTGGGGCACATTGACCCCTCCTGCCCACAGGGAGGGAGGCAGGGGACAGTAGATGCAGGATGCGGCTGAGGGTGAGGGGTCTGGGGGTTGGGCTGTACCTTCCTGGTCAGCTCCTCCTCCTGCAGGGCGAGGATGTGTGTGAGGCTCTGCACCCGCACCTGCAGCAGCTCCGCGGTGGCATGCAGGCTGTCCCGGTCCTCCTGCAAGTGCTGCGGGCAGAGGAAAGCAGCCCCTCTGTAGGGCCTCCATGCCGCCTTAGGTACCACCTTCTCTCCCGGAGGCTGTGCTCTACACGCTCCTCCAAGGGCCACGCTTGCCTCCCAACCTGATCCCTAAGTCTGCACACAGATACATTCCTGCACCCTCACCTGCATGGTTTCCAGAAGCTTCTGTCGCTCCAGTTCCCATGTCTGGCTGTGGACCTCAGAAGGCACTTGTTCCCCAACATATTTTCTTAGATTCTCAACCAGGGTCACCTGAGCCTCCAAGTCTTCCTGGGTCTTGCTAGGGTTGGGGTGGGAATGGGACAGCCATCAGTGGGGCGCCCTGCAGATCCACCACATCACTAATTGCTGGGCTCCCGTCGGCGTCCGCCCACCTACCTCAGCTGCTTCCGAAGCAGCTCGGCCTCCCTCTGAGCCTCGGCCAGCTCCTTGGCTTCCCCTGCTCTTCTGGTTTCCAGACTACTCAGAGACTTCTCCAAGCCCTCAGCCTTGCTGGTCAAACTGGAAAGAGCCTCCTCGTGAGCCTGTGTCAAAGAGGACAGCTGCGGAAAGAAGAGGGGGCTCAGCAGAGGCTCGACCCCACATGGAGGCCTTCCTTGTTCCCTTCACTCCCACTTTCTGTGACCTTAGAGAATGACCCAACCAATCAGCCAACTGTGCACAGCAAATGGAGAGCTGGCAACTCACTCTCCGCAGCTGCCCCACAACCCATCAGGAGTTCTTGTCCGATCTCCCCCAAAACATATCTTCACCTCTCTGTCTCCGTCTCCACTGCCACCAACCCTCATCTTTTGCCTGGGCAACAGCGACCATCTCCTAACTAGTCTTTACAAACCCTCAGTGGCTTCTCACAGCATTCACAACAAAACCCAGGTGTCTCTCCACACCTGCAGGCCAGGGGACCCGGCCTCTGCCTACCTCCTGAGCTCACCCTGGAGGCTCTCCCACTGCTCCCCGCTCCGGCCACGGGGAGTCTGCTGAGAACCAGACAGCGGCCCCTCCTTGCTCCACAGACCCCAGGCGATAGCCCCTCCTCAGGGTGGCTTCACTGGGCCCTCTAATACCGTCCCTCCCCACCCTACTCTGCCCCATCAGCTGTTCACGTCCTCCTGAGCACTTAGCACTGACCATATCTTGCTTATGTGTATGTGTTACTATCTGTCGGACCACACTGGAAGGAAAGCTCCAGGAAAGGAGGAATTTTGTGTCTTTTGCTCATGGCACCTCAAAGGGTTGCAGGGGTGTCAGAGCCACCAAGAGTCATGGGATGGACTGGAAAGGAGGGCAAAGTGCCCACCCTGCTTCCTGGTCTGCCTCCTCTAGCCCTGTCTCCATACAACAATAAAATTAATTTGGGGGACATAAATGACAAAATTTTTTAGACATAAAATACAAATCTAATCATGTTATTTCCCTGCTTAAAACCTTTCAACAGGCCGGGCGCAGTGGCTCATTCCTGTAATTCCAGCACTTTGGGAGGCCGAGGTGGGTGGATCACAAGGTCAGGAGATCGAGATCATCCTGGCTAACATGGTGAAACCCCGTCTCTATTAAAATACAAAAAATTAGCTGGGCGTGGTGGCGGGCGCCTGTAGTCCCAGCTACTCGGAAGAATGACTTGAACCCGGGAGGCGGAGCTGGCAGTGAGCCAAGATCGCGCCACTGCACTCCAGCCTGGGCGACAGAGCGAGACTCCATCTCAAAAAAAAAAAAAAAACAACCTTTCAACGGTTGCTTATTACTTGAAAAAACAATTTTTTTTTGTTTGTTTTTTTGGAGATGGAGTTTCACTTTGTTGCCTAGACTGGAGTGCAATGGCACGATCTCAGCTCACTGCAAACGCTGCCTCCCAGGTTCAAGCGATTCTCCTGCCTCACCCTCCTGAGTAGCTGAGATTACAGGCATGAGCCACCACGCCCAGCTAATTTTTGTATTTTTAGTAGAGATGAGGTTTTACCATGTTGGCCAGGCTGGTCTCGAACTCCTGACCTCAAGTGATCCACCCGCCTCAGCTTCCCAAAGTGCTAGGATTACACATGTGAGCAACCATGCCCAGCCCTAATTTCTTCCATAAAATAGAGATGGGGGTCTCGCTTTGTTGCCCAGGCTGGTCTCAAACTCCTGGGCTCAAATGATCCTTCCACCTTGGCCTCCCAAAGTGCTAGGATTACAGGTATGAGCCACTGTGCCCAGCCTGCTCATTGCTCTTATGGGAAAGTAGCAAGTTCTGAAGTGGCCAAAGCCTTGTGCCCTGGGCCCTGGGCTCTGCAGCACACTCAGTGCCCCTCATCTCTGTGCCCCAGCCTTCTGGCCTCCTGTCCCCGCCTTCACCTGTTGTCCCACCAAGTGTCTTCCAGCTACCACTGGACTTCACACGCCTCTTCACTGGCCAACTCCTATTCAGCACAAACGGTAGCTTGTTGTTTTTTTAGTCTCGCTCTGCTGCCCAGGCTGGAGTGTGATGTCAGCTCACTGTAACCTCTGTCTCCCAGGTTCAAGCAATTCTCCTGCCTCAGCCTCCCAAGAAGCTGGGGGATTACAGGCGCCCACGACTATACCCGGCTAATTTTTGTATTTTTTTGTAGAGTTCTTCATGTTGGCCAGGTTGGTCTTTAACTCCTGGCCTCAAGTGATCCGCCCACCTCGGCCTCCCAAAGTGCTGGGATTACAGGCATGAGCCACTGTGCCTGGCCTAGCTTCTTGTTTCTAAGTTTCTTTCATAAATCTCCTTTGTCCATTTTCTGATTGGATTGCTGGTCTTTCCCTTACCAATTTCTAGGCACACATTTTATATTAGGGATATTACCCTTTTCTTGTGATCTGAGCTATAAATATAGCTTTTTTTTTTCTTTTTGGCTATTCCTAATGTTCATGTTATAAAGTCAATGGATCAATTTTTTCCTTTATGGCTTCTAGATTTTGGATTTTGACTCACAGGTAGAAAGGCCTTGCCCACTACAAGGTTATAAAGGAATTCTCCCTTGTTTTCTCCCAGTTCCTTTTTTATTTTATTTTTTGAGACAGAGTCTTGCTCTGTCGCCCAGGCTGGAGTGCAATGGCACAGTCTCGGCTCACTGCAACCTCCACTGCCCAGGTTCAAGTGATTCTCCTGCCTCGGCCTCCCAAGTAGCTGGGATTACAGGTGCGCACCACCACGCCTGGTGAATTTTTGTATTTTTAGTAGAGACAGGGTTTCGCCATGTTGGCCAGGCTGGTCTTGAACTCCTGACCTTGTGATCTGCCTGCTTCGGCCTCCCAAAATGCTGGGATTACAGGCGTGAGCCACTGCGCCCAGGGCTATGGTTTCTTTCCTTGACATGTCAACTGGTTACAGTGGCCTTCCCTGAACCCCAGACTAAGTTAGTGCTTTCTAGTCCTTCTCCTTCAAGGCATTCCTCCTGATTGCAATTAATTATGATTAAATTAAATGTGGATGTGTATATCCCCCACGAGGCTGTCAGTTCCATCCACGAAGGCAGGACTCAGGCTAATTTGGTCACTGAGTCTTAGAGATGGCAAAGAGTAAGTACTGAGTTTGAGGACTGAATAATCTCTCTCTCCCAGTCCACCATAGCCCCCTTATACCCACCTTCCTCACTGCCCTCCACAATACCCCTGATGAATTGGTACCTGGAGTAAAGTAGGGAGGCAAACTATTTCCTACTAGAAAGGGAAGCAGGGCTTCAAGTGGTGGGAGGCCACCTGAGTCTTGGGGGAAAAGTGCAACCTGAATTAAGATAAAAGTACCCAAATTCTCCATCTTTCTAGGCCATGTGTGTTTATTTTCACCAAAGGTCTCATCACTCTACTACTCACTACTCATGGAGGGTCTTTTCTGCAATACCTGTTCTTTGCTTGGAAGCTACTGCCCAGCTCTCCGTTATGAATTTGAATCCTTTCTACCCCTGCATTCACCTGCTCTTGGTGCAGCCTCTGAACCTCTTCCAGCTCCCGCTGGCTCCCCTCTTCCAAGTTCTTCCGGACAACCTCAGCCCCAGCCAAAGCAGCACGCAGGCCCTCAGCCTCAGCTCGGCCGGCCTTCTCCGCCCGTGCCAGAGCCTCTAGCTCCATGGCCTGGGCCTCTAGCCTCATCTTCTGCTGCAGCGAGGTCTCCCGCAGGAGCCGGACCTCCTCCTCCAGCCGCCGCAGCTCTTGCAGCTGCCGAACGATCACCTCAGCCTGCTGGCTCAGGGCCTGTGACCCCTCCAGCCCCCAGGACCTTCAAAGACAGGTTAGTGCAGGTGAGACTTGTCTCCAGTGCTGGAAGGATAGTTGAGGGCATAAACATAGCCAGGAGAAGGAAAAGAGGACCCCTCTGCTTCCGTGTGGGGAGGTGAAGGGGGTGCTGAAGCTGGGGTATGGGGATGTCTGCATTGACATCATCATCATTCATCAAAGCCCTATTGAGCATGTTGAGTCCAGTGCCTGGACTCACAGGACCTAAAGTCTGGCTGAGATCGTGGAACATGATCTCCCTAGAGAGAGCTACATACAGGAGGATTCAACATCAAATGTGTATATCATTAGGCCACACATTCTTTTTGTTTTTTGGTGGTTTTTTTGTCTTATTTATTTTTTTATTTTTAGGCCACACATTTTAAGTGGAAAGGTTGGAAGAACACACAGGGACTTCTCAATTCTAATTTAAGGGCAAGAAGTTTGAGGGAGGAATGGGCATAGAGAGGTCGTAAGCTTCCAGTATCAATATGGTGAGGCCAGGTGCTAGTTAAAAGGCATTTATTGGCTGGGCGCGGTGGCTCATGCCTGTAATCCCAGCACTTTGGGAGGCCGAGGCGGGCGGATCACGAGGTCAGGAGATCGAGATCATCCTGGTTAACACGGTGAAACCCCATCTCTACTAAAAATATAAAAAACTAGCTGGGCATGGTGGCAGGTGCCTGTAGTCCCAGCTGCTTGGGAGGCTGAGGCAGGAGAATGGCGTCAACCTGGGAGGCAGAGCTTGCAGTGAGCCAAGATCTCCCCAGTGCACTCCAGCCTGGGCGACAGAGTGAGACTCCATCTCAAAAAAAAGGCATTTATTGAGTGTTAGGTATACTTTATGAGGAGTCTGAGAGAACAGTACATAAATAACACAGTGCCAGCCTTTAGAGAAATCGTCTACCAATGTCACGTGAAGTTTAATCCAGCTTGGAACATGGCTCCTGAGGCAGCTCTCTGAGACCCAGGACTATAAGAGATTGTTGTTGTTGTCGTTTTTAGAGACAGGGTATCACTGTGTCACCCAGGCCTCAATGCAGTGGCTGGATCATAGGTCACTGCAGTCTTCAACTTCTGAGCTCAAGGGGTCCTACCACCTTAGCCTCCTGAGTAGCTAGGACTACAAATGCATGCCACCACAGCCAGCTAATTATTTTCTGTGGAGACGGAGTCTCGCTTTGTTGCCCACGCTGGTCATGAACTCCTGGGCTCAAGTGATCCTCCTGCCTCAGCTCCCAAAGTGCTAGGATTATAGGTGTGAGCCGCCATATCTGGCTCGCTCTTTCTTTCTTTCTTTAGTAGCAGCGATCTGTAGGCTAGGGAAATTAAGTGACTTGCCAAATGTCCTCTAGCTGGTAGCCAAACTAGAAATAGAGTCTCTGTCTCCTGACACCCAGTCTAGTATTCCTTCTTCATCATGCTGCTTCTTCTAATGTAATCCTATTCTGGAGCAAAATGGCAGAATGATATCCCAGTACATCTGGGAAAAGACACATGAAACAAGAATAAGAATGTTTACAGATAATACGACAGCATGGCCAGCTCCCACAGCATGTCCTCTGTAAAGGCTTTCTTCCATCAGAATGAACCCACACTGCCACAGTGCTGGGTCTCTACCTCTAGTTTGCACTTCTTCATCTTGCCTCATACCATGCTTTACCATCAGCTGGTGGTCAATCTATCTCCCCTCTTAGGATTTTAGATTCCTTATTAATTACAAATTTAAGTCAGGATTTGTCTTATTCACTATTGTTATCCTCATCCCTAGCACTTAGCACACTGCTTTATTATTTATGCACTGTAGGAACTAATTGCTTACATAAAAATGAGTACGTTCTGGAAACTAGGGCCGAAATAGGGTAAGGAGTTTATTCCAGTGAGGAAGGGTCACTAGCAAGCAAGCCTGAGAAAACGGCGTGGATGGATCCCTACCTGCCTCTCCGCCCTGGCTCCTGCCTGTCACTGGAAACATCCCGTTCCCACATGGTCACTTGAGGTCTCTGGGTGTCTAGCCGCCTCTCTGAGACATCTTGATGGCCTGGGGGTTGGACCAGGGGAATGTCTGAGAGCCAGGTGGGAGCCATTCTTGGCAGAGTTGAAAGGGGCCGAGCTTGAAAGTGGGAGGGGGGAATCAGCCCAGTGGAACCTGAAGAATTACAAAAACAAAGATGGTCAGTTTCCCAGGCAGAGACAACCACCACTCCCCTTGTCTGGTCCCACTGACCTGAAGGTGGAAACATCTCCACATTATTTGAAGGCTCTAGATTCTGTCTCCAGCCATCTATGTTCCCCTGGACAAGAGGAGAAACAAAGACACTCCAATTCAATTTTCAGGCCACCTTCCAAAGAGAAAGCCCCTACAATAACAAAGTCATAATCCTTGAATTATAGCCAGGTCCACCCGATGCTTAGCTCTTTTCCTACTTCCCCAAAGTAGGAGATACCCCAAATTCACTTGCTTGTCTCAACCTGGTTCCTCATGGAACCCAAGCAACTATCAAGTGGAGAGAATTTACTGAAAGAGACAGACTGAGAGGGGCTCTGAGGCTTTACTCATACTTTCAGGATTCTGGGCAGTGCCTCTACCCTCCTCCTTAAGTTTCTATGGTCCCTGCTGCTCCTGGCCAGAGGTGAGAAAGGAGGTACACAGTGCAGGGGTCTTGAGCGCCATCTCCAGAGTTCTCTCCATGGCTCAGCAAGGCCTGAGGGAAGCCCATCCAGACACCAGCAGGCCATGACTCTTGGGTCCTTCCCTGTTAAAGTGCTGGCCCAAGGCCTGGCCCCAGCTGAATGTGGCCACATGCAGGGCTAGACCCTCCCCAAGACCTTGGGAATCCAGGCCGCCTAGATCCCCAGGCAGAAAAGCCAGCGTCCTGACATCTTATTCAAATCTTTCCTGCGGCTGTTCTCTCAGCTTCTCTCTACTATCCCCTTAGCTTCCATGCCTGCTGCCCGCCTCCTCTTTCTCGAGTCCTAACACATAGTGGGCACTTTAAGATCTTCCTCCCACCCTCCCACCCTCATTAATCTATTTTTTACCCGAATCTGGGATCCCTACTCCCGTCCCTTTTTACAACCTAATCTACCTTTTTCTGAAGGAATTATTCTGGTCCTGACCCTCACCCCCATCTCTCAATAGCCTGCCCTCGCCCCCTGTACGCTAGCCGGCTCTACTCTCCCACCACTGCTCCCCTAGATACCCGAGGCTTCACCCAGTTAGCCCGTGAGCTCTAAGGCTGTTCTGATCTCTTCATCTGTCCCTTCACCTGGCCCCTGTACCCCCTTCCCCTTTGGACCCCTTGAACCCTCCCAGGACCCCCGCTCAGCCCCTTCCCGCCCCCAACCGACTCTTCCCGAACGTCCCTTACCAACCGCGAGAGCCCCCTACTGCGCTTTGGCCACACCCCCTACGCCTCGCTCCCGGCCCCGCCTCTGCCCCTGACCGCGCCTGCGCAAGGCGGGCGCCCTAAAGTCCTATTTCACTCTGTTGGGAGGAGGGGGAAAGGTGTACGCAGGCGCAGTGGCGTCTAAATTTGGGCCCACTAAATGCGTCGGAGCATCTCCGCGCCCAGGCGGCTCCTCCTCACTGCGGCAACCCGGGAAAACTTGTGAACTAATCAGAAAAAGTGGAAGGCGGGAGATCTTGGGGCGCTGTCCAATGGCGCGGAAGAGAACACATGAGCTGGCCAATCGGGAACGGCACGGGGGCGGGCTCGCTCGGCGCGAAGTTCGGGCCCGGGAATTCCGAAGGAGGGGTAGGCGCTGCCCGCGCGCAGAGGCCGCGCCCCTCCTGGCCCCGGCTTCTTGGCTGTCAAACAGATGCAGCAACGTCGGCTCCTGCCGAGGAGCCCAAGGGGTCCCGGGATCCGCCGCACAGGCTGGCACTGCTTGAAGAGGAGGCTACTCGGAGACTGCGCCGCGCGGGTAGATCCGAAACGGGGCTGGGGCGGAGTGGGAAAAGGCCGGGTATGCCTTGCATGATCGCGGGGAGCTCCTTCCTGTTTTTATCCCACCTAGAGAAGCCGGGAAGTAGGGGTTTAGGTCCAATTTGTTGGAGTACTTAAGGACTCGTTTGCACTTTCTTTTGGGGGATGACAGTGGATTCATTGCCCTCGGAGGTTCAACCAGTTATGAGTGAGGGATTGGCCAGAAGATCGGGGCGCAGGCAAGCAGGAGTGCTCTATTAGGATAAGCAAGTTTGACAGGAAGAAGCTACTCTTCTCCGAATTACACAGAGGTGATGTGTTCGTATTGCACGTAGACGTGTGTATAACAGGACCTCCTTCCCCGCGCCCCGCCACCCCGACACACACAGGAGCTGCCTAAAGTATCCTTGCCTTGCAGATTGGAGGCTCCCCAAATATTTTGCGATCTGAGGATCCAGCTCAAGTGAGGTGCCATAGGACGTGTTCCTGAGTTTGCATTGCACGGAGACCTTCCTGGAATTTTTCATTTGCAAGTCGGCTTAACCAATTTTGCATTGAGTCCTAGGCTGCTTGCACTCTGAATTTGGGCTATTCAGGTAGTGTGCTCAAAGTTGAAACCGCATACAGCACAACTCAAGTTTGCATCAGACTGGGAAGCGAACTTAAGCCAGCGGTGCGTGGCCCAGGAGTGGGAAAGGAAATGGATGCCTGAAGTGGAAGAGGTGGTGCAGAGGGGGCACCGCCCATGCTGCCCTGCTTCCAACTGCTGCGCATAGGGGGCGGCAGGGGCGGTGATCTCTACACCTTCCACCCCCCCGCCGGGGCTGGCTGCACCTATCGCTTGGGCCACAGGGCCGACCTGTGTGATGTGGCCCTGCGGCCCCAGCAGGAGCCTGGCCTCATCTCTGGGATCCACGCCGAACTGCATGCCGAGCCCCGGGGTGATGACTGGAGGGTCAGCCTGGAAGACCACAGCAGCCAAGGTGAGCATTAAGCAGGGCAGCTTTGCCCCTGGGTGGTTGAAGCGCCAGGCTGGAATGAGTAAGGTCTCCACAAGACCCTGCTGCCTGCCTCCCATACTCCCATCAGATTGGATGGATGGTCGTGGTCCAGACCTTCATCTTCCCACCAGAAGTGTGCACAGTCAGAAGCTCTCTGCCAGACTGACCCTTTTTGGTCCCGTTTAGCTCATACAGGACCTGGGATATCATCAGAAAGATATCACAGTGGGGATGTTCTGAGGCCACTAGAGGCCAAGTTTAGACTTGATTCAGTTTCCAGCTTTGCTGAGGCACTCTGTTCCTGGGTTAGGGCAGTTCTATGTTGAATAATGTTTTTAATAATCTGGGCATGTCTTTCTCCGTGACTTGAGGCAGTTAGCCTCAGAAAGCCTAGATTCACATTTGAGTTTTGCCACTGCCTCTTGGTAAAGTCAGCTGTAGGAGTGTTATGGTTATTAGACTATAGTAGCCAACATTCATCTAGTGCTTACTGTTATGAGCCAGGCCCTATTTTAAGTGTATTGAATGTAGGTGGTACTAATATTATCCTCATTTACAGTAAAGGAAAATGAGGCACAAAGAGGTTAAGGAACTTGTCCAGGGCTGGGCATGGTGGTTTACACCTATAATCCAGCACTTTGGGAGGCTAAGGCAGGGTGGATCACTTGAGCTCAGGAGTTCGAGACCAGCCTGGGCAACATGGTGAAAACCTGTCTCTACCAAAAAATTAATTAATTTTTTTAAAAAAGCCTGGGCACGGTGGCTCACGCCTGTAATCCCAGCACTTTGGGAGGCCGAGATGGGCAGATCACGAGGTCAGGAGTTCGAGACCATCCTGACCAACATGTTGAAACCCCATCTGTGCTGAAAAAAAAATACAAAAATTAGCCAGGTGTGGTGGCGTGCACCTGTAACCCCAGCTACTCAGGAGGCTGAAGCAGCAGAATCACTTGAACCCGGGAGGCGGAGGTTGCAGTGAGCTGAGATCGCACCACTGCACTCCAGCTTGGGCGACAGAGCGAGACTCCATCTCAAACAAACAAACAAACAAAAAGCTTGCCCAGGGTCACATAACTGGTAAGTGGTAGAGCTAGGATCTGAACGAGCTGGAGCTGGGGGAGAGTGAGCATGTTTGAAAACTGGACCTTAGGGCGGGGCACGGTGGCTCACGCCTGTAATCCCAGCACTTTGGGAGGCTGAGGCGGGCAGATCAGGAGGTCAGGAGTATGAGACCAGCCTGGCCAACATGGTAAAACCCTGTCTCTGCTAAAAATAAAAAAATTAGCCAGACGTGGTGGCACATGCCTGTAATCCCAGCTACTCAGGAGGCTGAGGCAGGAGAATTGCTTGAACCTGGGAGGCGGAGTGCAGTGAGCTGAGATTGCACTACTGCACTCCAGCTTGGGCAATAGAGCAAAACTCCATCTCAAAAAAAAAAAAAAAGAAAGAAAGAAAAAAAAAGAAGAAAGAAAGAAAATTGGACCTTAGGACAGTGAGGGCAGGGATCCTTTGTAGGAAAGCACAAGAAACACAGACTTGTTCCTAGCTGACAAGGAGTGTACTGCCTGGTACCTGTCACCTGCTGAGGGGCTTAGGATGTGAGGGAGAATCTGACTACAGTTTCATATTCTTCCCCAGAAATCATACAGATTTCTCCACTCCTGACTCTGGTCATTTCTGTTTTTGTCCTCCATATTTGCCTGGTGCCCCACCATCAACAGGTACTTTGGTCAATAATGTCCGACTCCCAAGAGGTCACAGGCTGGAATTGAGTGATGGAGACCTCCTGACCTTTGGCCCTGAAGGGCCCCCAGGAACCAGCCCCTCGGAGTTCTACTTCATGTTCCAACAAGTACGAGTCAAGCCTCAGGACTTTGCTGCCATTACCATCCCACGGTCTAGGGGAGAAGCCCGGGTTGGGGCTGGTTTCCGGCCTATGCTGCCCTCCCAGGGGGCTCCACAGCGGCCTCTCAGCACCTTCTCCCCTGCCCCCAAGGCCACACTGATCCTAAACTCCATAGGCAGCCT
Source organism: Homo sapiens (assembly GCF_000001405.40). Lineage (NCBI taxonomy): Eukaryota > Metazoa > Chordata > Mammalia > Primates > Hominidae > Homo > Homo sapiens. The sequence goes on from NC_000006.12 coordinate 31,161,754, forward strand.
CAGCAAGCTCCGGCCCCAGCCCCTCACCTTCTCCCCTAGTTGGGGTGGACCAAAGAGCCTGCCTGTTCCCGCCCCACCTGGGGAAATGGGGACCACGCCTTCTGCTCCACCACAACGCAATCGGAGGAAATCTGTTCACCGAGTGTTGGCGGAACTGGATGATGAGAGTGAGCCTCCTGAGAACCCGCCACCGGTCCTTATGGAGCCCAGGAAGAAACTCCGTGTAGACAAAGCCCCACTGACTCCCACTGGGTAAGTGGAGTCCTCACTTGGCCCTCTCAGTGTTTTACTGCTTTTCGATTCCTTGTATCCCTAGGCTGTGAGGAGGTCCCCCTGCCTGGGGGGATGGGCACGGGAGGTGGAATAGATGGAATGGCAAGACCTGGGTTAGCTCTGATAGGAAAAGAAAAATATGTGCAGGAGAACATGAGAGGTGGGGTGGGGCAGTGCTTATAAAACAACCGGAGTGAGCATGTCCTGCTTTTTACATTCATATGGCTTTAACCCCATTCTTCTAGTGCCTAAGGATGGGGAACTTTCAGGCTCATACTAGAGGTTTTTAGGCCCACCCTATGTGTTTTTAAGGACAGAGTCCAGGCTCACCTTAGTTCTCAGACCACTGTGCCTCTGTGGCCTCACCCTATGACCAGCCATAGGGTGGCAAGGTCTAGGCCTTCTCCTACAGGTTTCCGGTGACCCTTGTGTCTGTGTCACTTCCTTCAGAAATCGACGTGGCCGTCCTCGGAAGTACCCAGTGAGCGCTCCCATGGCTCCCCCTGCAGTTGGGGGCGGGGAGCCCTGTGCAGCTCCTTGTTGCTGCCTGCCCCAGGAAGAGACAGTGGCCTGGGTTCAGTGTGATGGCTGTGACGTCTGGTTCCATGTGGCCTGTGTTGGCTGCAGCATCCAGGCTGCCAGGGAGGCCGACTTCCGATGCCCAGGGTGCCGGGCTGGCATTCAGACCTAAGGTCCACTGCCAAGGCACCATCGGACACACCTGCCCATGAGTAGACACAGCAGCGAGCAAATAGGTCTGATAAATACCCCCCTTCCCTTCCCTCCCCAGGAGGGAATGACTACAGGGAAGAAGGATGGATTGATGTGGACTCATTCAGGGCCTGGAGCAGACCCTGGTGGCCAAGACAGAAGAGATGGTTTCCTGCCAAAGATATTGCCACCTCCAGGAAATTGCCAGTGAGCTGGAAGTTCCCACTATTACAAGCCATAAGGCCATGTTGCCATGGACACCAGAATATCTGTAGTCAGAGCACCTATCAGTTGCAAAAGCCATGCCTGCAACCGATGGAAAATGTAAGAGGGAGTTCTTAAGGTTCTTGGTGGCATCACCCAAGGCATTCTGGGAAAACCTAGGGCCTGGCCCCAAAACTTCCCTACTCTGTGGCTAGTCCTGCTGCCAACAAAATCGTAGCGACCTGGCTTTTCACAGCTTTGCTTTTATTTCCAAGTCAAGGACAAGCCGCTTCATTCACTCCTGGGCATTTACTCTTCTTGTGGGTCTGTGATATTCCTTGCTTTCCAGGGAGAATGTGCTTGGCAAGGTCTGGAGAACTAATTCAGAATCTTAGGGGAAGGGGAGAGATGGAAATACAAACCTGCTTACTGGAAAGGTGCAAATATATGGGTTGAGCTGGAGGTAGGAATACAGGTAATTAAGGTTTCTAGTTTAAGGGAAAACAGATCTATTGCCATTTAAATAAGGTAACTGGGATTTGGTTAAGTTCACAAAGATAGCAGAAGATTTATTTACAGGCTTCACCTGTACTGTCAGGGCAAGAGAAAGCCTGGTAAACCAGCTACAGCAGTTTACCAGTGTGATGGCTGTGACACAGCTCCACTCCACGGGTGGACACAGCAGAGGGCAACTGGGCTGGCCTGGTTCAGTGTGAATCAAACCGCTTAACCCACACATGGTACATGTGATTTTCTTTTGTGAGCCTTACACCAAGCCAAACTATTGTCAAAGCATCATTTCTATAGAAATAAAGCCTTATCTTGACCTGTTCTATTAAAACCTGCCACACCCGCCCTTTCCTACCTAGATTTAATGAGCCCAAGTTTTTAAAATGGAAGAAATGACTCTGGGGCAAAGACCCCTAATGAACTAGTGGCAGAGCCAGGAATAAAACTTGAGTAACTAATGAGTCACTTATGGGCAGAGTATGCAAAAACCTTAAGTGGAAACCAAATAGACCCTGGTATCAAGAAAGCACAAAGTATTAATAGAAGTTTCTGGTTGGGGTGATCTAGGTTCAACAGAAATAAGATGATTTCTAAGTATAAAGCCATTTAAGAATTCCAGAGTAGGGTGGGAAAGCAAAAAGCCAGCTCTGAACAGGTAACAGCTACATGGTGACTGAGTCTATGGGCAAAAGTTCTTGCATCACAGGCTTTTGGGAACTAGCCTATCACAGGGCCCTGTACAAATAAACTTGGCTGCAATCCCAGCTCTCCCTCTGATGTTGTGTGACCTTAAGGAGTGTAAATGGCACCTTAGTTTCAGGGTCACTTGGGTATGAGCATTGGATATTCCCATCCCTACCTCAGTAACTGAAGGACAAACCAAGATAAGTGTGTCTATCTACTGTGTCCCAGGCTTCTTTATTTAAGAAAAAAGTGATACATGATGTGGGATTAAAATCAAGAGCATCATTGAACTTCACCTTCCCTCCAACCAGTTGCCCCAAACTCCCCTGCCCCCACCCTTTGTGTTCCCAATTCCTTCCTTAGTGAATGAAGAACTTAATCCCAAAAACCCTGGCACAAACTCCAGGTTTTCTTTCCCTAGCTCCTCCCCTCCCCCTGTCCCCCATTCCTAGAAGGGCAGGCACCTCAGTTTGAATGCATGGGAGAGCCCAGAGTGGTGACGGAGACAGGGGGAAAGGCTTCCCCCTCAGGGAAAGGGACCGAGGAGTACAGTGCAGTGAAGTGAGGGCTCCCATAGCCTGGGGTACCAAAATGGGGCCCTGGGGCCAGAGGAAAGGACACTGGTCCCCCTGAGAAAGGAGACCCAGCAGCCTCAAAATCCTCTCGTTGTGCATAGTCGCTGCTTGATCGCTTGCCCTTCTGGCGCCGGTTACAGAACCACACTCGGACCACCTGCAAGTGAATGACAGAAAGGAGAATGACATTAGACAATGAGCTGAGACGGGCCTGACTCTGCTTGGACATTCTATCCAAAGCCAACAGCCCTAGAGCAGTTAGAGGAGGACATTAGAGAATGAGCTGAGACAGGCCTGACTGCTTGGACATTCTGTCCAAAGCCAACAGCCCTAGAGCAGTTGGAGGAGCCAGAGCTAGGGAAAGCGAGGTGGTGACAGGGGAAAGAGATGGAGCCCGCAGAGAGACATGGCACTCACATCCTTCTCGAGCCCAAGCTGCTGGGCGATGTGGCTGATCTGCTGCAGTGTGGGTTTCGGGCACTGCAGGAACAAATTCTCCAGGTTGCCTCTCACTCGGTTCTCGATACTGGTTCGCTTTCTCTTTCGGGCCTGCACGAGGGTTTCTGCTTTGCATATCTGTGCAGGTGGGAAGGGGGTGACAAGGGCAAGCTTTGGACTTGCTGAGTAACAGCATCACAGGGGTCTGTGACTAGATGTGTCAGCAGAGCCAGGTGGTGGTGTGAAAAGGCAGGATCCTGGAAGGGTTGGCTCTGGACCTTATCCCAGCAGAACTGAGGAATTTCACTCCATCCCACTGAGAACCACTGCACCAAAGACGGAGAGCTACGAGCCAGTGATGGAAGCAATGGAAATTAGGCCAAGAAAGGGAAGGTCCCCGGGTATCCCCCTCCCACCCTTACCTCCTGAAGATTTTCATTGTTGTCAGCTTCCTCCACCCACTTCTGCAGCAAGGGCCGCAGCTTACACATGTTCTTGAAGCTAAGCTGCAGAGCCTCAAAGCGGCAGATGGTCGTTTGGCTGAATACCTTCCCTGGGGGAGGCCAGTCAAAAGAGAAGCAAAGTGAGGGAGCACGCAGGGCCCTTGTGACCCTGAGATCCAAGCTTACCACCTCTTCCCAGAGGGAGCTCAAAGCATCTTCTCCCTCTCCCTACTCCTCTTCATGGGTGAGGGTAGTCTGCCCCTGCCCCTCCCCACTAGGTTCAGGGATACTCCTTAGAGGGGAGATGCGGTCAGAATCTGCAGAGGGGAACCCACCAAATAGAACCCCCAGGGTGAGCCCCACATCGGCCTGTGTATATCCCAGGGTGATCCTCTTCTGCTTCAGGAGCTTGGCAAATTGCTCGAGTTCTTTCTGCAGAGCTTTGATGTCCTGGGACTGGATTTTAAAAGGCAGAAGACTTGTAAGAACATAAACACACCAGTTATCAATCTCCCCTTTCCATTCGGGATTCAAGAACCTACGTGTGGCCCCAAGGAATAGTCTGTAGAAGTGCCTCTGCCTTCCAAGCTGCCCACCTAACTTCTAGAAATAACCTACCCACAAATGTCATTCACCCATTCCCTGTTCACTGACTCATGCATGTAACAAAGGACTACTCTTCCCCCAGAAACTGGCACATCCAAGGGATGCAGAGCATCGTGAAAGGACAGAAAGAGAGACCCTGGCCTCGAGAACACCTGTCAGGTTATGAAGGTTAGAAGTTCTTTGCTGGGCGCGGTGGCTCACGCCTATAATTCCAGCACTTTGGGAGGCCGAGGTGGGCAGATCACGAGGTCAGGAGTTCAAGACCAGCATGGCCAACATGGTGAAACCCCGTCTCTACTAAAAACACAAAAATTAGCTGGGCACGGTGGCACGCACCTGTAATCCCAGCTACTCAGGAGGCTGAGGCAGGAGAATCACTTGAACCCGGGAGGCGGAGGTTGCAGTGAGCTGAGATCACGCCACTGCACTCCAGCCTGGGTGACAGAGCAAGACTCTGTCTCAAAGAAAAAAAAAAAAGAAGATAGTTCATTTAATACCTGCAAAATTCTCTCACTCAAGTATCACCCCCAGTTTAAGGATGTTTTGAGATTAGAGAAATAGATAAGCTGCTAAGTTCTGGGTTAATTAAAAAGGAAGAGCATCATGTCTCAGAAGCTAAATTCAGTATATACTCTCCCCAGCTTGCTTTGAGGGTCCCACAAACTATAACATGGCATGCATACACACAAACACAGCAAAAAAGTAACAGGTGTCATAAGAATGGATAAAGTGCTTTGTGTGTACTTACTCATTTTTTAAATTGATTATCCCTCATCTTTACTGTATCTTTTTCACTATAGAGGCATCCTAATTGATTTTTAAATTCAAGAGATTTATCGAGCACCTTCTATAAGCCAGCGGCTATACAAAGTGGACAAAGAGCCCTGACATCCAGCATGACAGAAGTGCTATTTGGCACTTGTTCTTCAAGTTGCCCACTTGGATCTCTTCCAAGTGCACTTTCCTTTTTTCCCTGCCCTATAACTTTTTAATAATAAACTTCCACTCCTGCTCTGAAAAATAAAAAAGTAAATAAAATAAAAAATGGCCAGGCACAGTGGCTCATGTCTGTAAATCCTAGCACTTTGGGAGGCCAAGGTGGGCAGACTGCTTGAGCCCAAGAGTTAGAAAGCAGCCTGGGTAACATAGTGAGACCCGTGCCGCCCCTTCTCCCACCCCTGCTGCCTCTATTTAAAATATATATATATATTATGGAAAAAAGTAAAGCAGTCTGGGCGCAGTGGTCATGCCTGTAATCCCTTCACTTTGGGAGGCCAAGGTGGGTAGATCACTTGAGGTCAGGAGTTCAAGACTAGCCTGGTCAACATAGTGAGACTCTGTCTCTACTAAAAATACAAAAATTAGCTGGGCATCATGGCGCTCCCCTATAATCCCAGCTACTCAGGAGGCTGAGGCAGGAGAATTGCTTGAACCTAGGAGGTGGAGTTTGCAGTGAGCCAAGATCGCACCACTGCACTCCAGCCTGAGGGACAGAGTGAGACTCCATCTCAAAAATTAAAAAAAAAATAAAGCAGTCTATAGGAGTAGGGTAAAGGAGGGAAGGAGATTATGGAGGAGGGTGACACTTTTAAAGACAGAGAAGGTGATTGTTTGAGCAAAGGACAAGAGTCTAATGTGGCAAGGCCCTGAAGTGGGCCTTCCAGAGCCCAAAGCTGGTCTGGTGGCTAGGTAGATCCTGTTGCAGACATAGTGACTTTGTTTTAGTCCAAGCGAAATGATCTCTCACCCTTTTTCTCCCCACCAAGACGGAATCTCGTTCTATCGCCCAGGCTGGAGTGCTGTGGCGTGATCTTGGCTCACTGCAATCTCCGCCTTCTGGGTTCAAGCTATTCTGCCTCAGCCGCCTGAGTAGCTGGGACTACAGGCACCCACCACCATGCCCGGCTAATTTTTGTATTTTTAGTAGATATGGGGTTTCACCATGTTGGCCAGGCTGGTCAGGAGACCTCAAGTGATCTGTCCACCTTGGCCTCCCAAAGTGCTGGGATTACAGGTGTGAACCACCGCACCTAGCCTCACCTTTTTTTTTTTTTTTTTTGAGAGTTTCGCTTTTGTTGCCTAGGCTGGAGTGCACTGGCGCGATCTCGGCTCACCGCAACCTCCATCTCCCAGGTTCAAGCGATTCTCCTGCCTCAGCTTCCTGAGTAGCTGAGATTACAGGCATGCGTCACCACGCCCAGCTAATTTTGTATTTTTAGTAGAGATGGGGTTTCGCCATGTTGGTCAGGCTGGACTCGAACTCCCGACCTCAGGTGATTCGCCTGCCTCGGCCTCCCAAAGTGCCTGGCCACACCTTTTAAAACACTGACTCTAGTTGACGTGTTGGCCACAGACAGTAGGGAGGAAGCAGTATAATTTGAGAAGCTACTGCGGTAATCCCAGCAGAGATGATGGTGGCTGAGGCCAGGGTTAGGTTGTGATTGATTCAGGATGTTTCTTAAGGATAGGATGTAGGACATGAAAGAAACTGAGGATGACTGGGTTTGGCCTTGAGCAACTGGGTGATCAGGGTGGAGCAGTTCAGGGAGCCATCACAAGAGACAGAAAACGCGGTAGTCATCTGGTGTCTAAATGGCATTTAAGCCTTGAGGGTGGGTGAGAGGAAGGAAGGGTAGATAGAGCAGAGGTTGAAGGACTGAGCCCTGGGGCATGCCATATGAGGCTGCCGGCAGACAGAGGTGCACAGCTAGTGAGAAAAAAACAAGGCCTTTTTGTAGTTCTGAAGCCTCAAGGAAGTGTTTCAATGGTGCTTGATCATATCAATTTCAAATAGGCTGTTTTCATCCCCAACTTCTGCTCAGCCAATAACTCAAACTGATAAATGCCCTCTGCTATCTTGGATTTTCCAAATTCTGTTTTGGGGTTTTGGAATAAACACTGGTCCAAATCCTCGCTTCATCATTTAGCAGTTAAAACCCGTTAAATAGGATAATAATACCTCCCCCTAGGAGATTTTGTGCTGGTTAATGAGATAATGATGTATAAACGGAGCACACAGCCAGGCACTTAGGAAGTGGACCACAATTGCCAGCCATTATCATTCAAGGCTCAGCAGTGACCTCCTGCGAAGAGGTTGGGGCTTCTCGGTCACTCCAGAAACCAGTCACACCTTTCTGTGAGGTCTCAAGGCTTAGTATTTAATCTCTAATTGCTTACACTTGTCGCCTTGAAGGACTGGAAGATACATCTTTAATAGTCCTCAGCAGGGCTGGATGCCTTCAATCCCGCAGCAGCTCTATATTTGCAAATGGCCTGGAGAAATCTCTCACCATTTTTCTTGTTTACAACTTTGGAACTGAGGCTGAAGTCAATCAAAATCCAGCTTTCTACAAGGGGTGCCAGGGTGTGCACCTTAACACAGTGGCCAGTCATTGGCCTGAGGCAGAGATCCGGGGAAGACAAGCCCTATACTTGACTGGAGGTAAACCCAGCTCACAACGCGCACACACACAGCCCAAACAGGAGATCCTATCAGAAACGAGTCACACCCTAGACTTTCAGGAACAATAATCCTGGAATGAGCACTGTTTTTACCCTCAGGCTATGCTTAACCCTAAGGCCAAAATCTTGGGTCTGATAAGGGTCAAATTTTCAAGCAGGACTAAGGGTGGGAAAAGGGGCTCAAACCAACCCCAAGCTGGGTCTGGTGCTGGGCCAGTAATGAGTGACCAGACCCTGGGCAGGCCTAGGAGATGTGAGAGACCCTGACAAGGGCTGGGCCAGAGCAAAGGCCAGCCTGGGCCAGCTTCCGACTCTCCCAGGCTGCTCTGCCCTCACCGGCAGTTGTCTCTTCGAAATCCAGCTTCCACTTCCCACCTGGCCCCTGCCTGCCAGGGCTGCCAGCAGTTGATACACACCCCTCCCTGGCCAGGGCAGCTGACCCTGCCTGCTCCTCTCCTGGGTGCCAGGTCTGGGCAGCTGCAGGTGACCACTTCCCCATCAGGCTGCCCTGTCATGACCACCTCCCCACACCCCAACCCCGTCGAAGCTCACTTGCCTCCTCCGGGTTTTGCTCCAGCTTCTCCTTCTCCAGCTTCACGGCACCAGGGGTGACGGTGCAGGGCTCCGGGGAGGCCCCATCGGAGTTGCTCTCCACCCCGACTCCTGCTTCGCCCTCAGGCTGAGAGGTCTCCAAGCCGCCTTGGGGCACTAGCCCCACTCCAACCTGGGGCCCACAGTACGCCATCCCCCCACAGAACTCATACGGCGGGGGGCATGGGGGAATCCCCCACACCTCAGAGCCTGGCCCAACCCCCGGCCCGATTCCTGGCCCTCCAGGAGGGCCTTGGAAGCTTAGCCAGGTCCGAGGATCAACCCAGCCCGGCTCCGGCCCCCCTGGCCCATCACCTCCACCACCTGGAGGGGGCGAGAAGGCGAAATCCGAAGCCAGGTGTCCCGCCATGGGGAAGGAAGGCGCCCCAAGCCGGGGGCCTGGTGAAATGAGGGCTTGCGAAGGGACTACTCAACCCCTCTCTCCCTCCCCAGTCCCACCCACTAGCCTTGACCTCTGGCCCCGCCCCCTGGATGGGTGGAGGAGAGGGAGGTGGGGGGAGAAACTGAGGCGAAGGATGTTTGCCTAATGGTGGTGGCAATGGTGTCTGTGGAAGGGGAAAACCGGGAGACACAACTGGCGCCCCTCCAGGACCTCAGTGCAGGTCCCCCACAGAAACTTTTTTTATTTTTATTTTTTAAGACAGGGTCTCACTTTGTTGCCCAGACTGGAGTGCAGTGGAGTACAATGATGGCTCAATGTAGCCTCGATCTACTGGGCCAAAGCAATCCTTCTGCTCCAGCCTCCTAAGTGGCTGGGACTACAGGCTTGGACCACTGTGCCCTGTTAGTTTTTTTATTTTTAGTAGAGATGGGGCCTTGCTATGTTACCCAGGCTGGTCTTGAATTCCTGTCCTCAAGAAATCCTCCCGCCTCTGCCGCCCAGTGTCATGATTAAAGGCGTGAGCCACCACACCCAACTTTCAACTCCCAACCCGCTCCCTGGCACTCTCTCAGGCTCTGCACATCCCAGCTGTCTGGAATCACTCCCACACCTCCATGTTCTTCAGGAACCCAGGTGCTTGACCCCCTCTCCACAGACCTCTGGCACTGTGCCTTCAGGGGCCAGTCACCCTCTCAGCTCCTCAAATTTATTGAATGTGTGTGTGGCGCTATCCCTCAATGCATCAACAGCCATAAGCACAATGGCCAGCTGCTCCCTTATGCCTTCCCCCGATCCATCCAGAATCCTAGGCATTCCCATCCCGATACTGGCCAAATCCAGCCACCCCGCAGCCTGGGTGCCTGGCACCATCTGCCCAGCCTGCCAAATTTCACCCCATCTTCAAGAGTAGACTGCCAGACAAGGCCTCCGTGCTATATCCCCCCACCCCCCCATCCCCCCACCCCTCCGTCTTCCAGAATCAGACTCCAGACTCTCCTCATCTAACAGACTAAGGGGTTGGTCCCTACTTCCCCTTCAAGGGACCAGACTTTGGACTGACTGGGCCTCAGTTTCCCAACCTTTGCTGAAACAGAGTGATAAGACACCCGCTTTGGGCCCCCTCCACTATGGAACCTGCACATCAGGTTCCTTGCTCCCCTCTCAACCAAAACTCAGACATCTAATACCACGGTAGGCCCCGTTCTCCCTCCCCCACCTCCCTGGCCCAGGCCTCCAGCCCTAGGCCCTGGGTGGGGAAAACCAGGGGGTGGGGGGTGTGGAGAAAAAATATCTGACTTCAGGTTCAAAGAAGCCTGGGAGGGACTGGGGGAAGGGGGCAGGACAATGGCCTTGGCTGGACAATCCCGGTCCCCAGAGGGGGCAGCTCTAACCCTAAACAAGTGCTCAACCCTTGAATGGGCCTGGATGGCTCCCCTGGGGACTGCTTCCTGCTCCCCAACCCCCCAGTCCCAATCCCCTCACACAGAATCCCCTTCAGAGACGCTAAAAGGAGCTCCAGCAACCCCCCTCTGCAATCCCCTCAAAGACTGAGCCTCAGACGGGCACCAAGGGCCCCCCACAGGGACCTAGGTATCTAGTTCCTCCTTCCTCTGGGGGACTCAGGCGTCCAGCTTCATCGTGCGTCCCTCCCCGAGCCTGGCAGATTGAGGGATGTGCTTTGTTTAGTGGGGCTGGCTGGCAGAAAGACGCAGAGGAGGTGGAGAGTGATTTGTGGAGGCGTGCAGGAAGGCTGCCCTAAGCTCCCCTTCAGGGTCTGTTTTTCTGGGCCTGGCCTGAGTATCCTGAGGCTCATGCTGCTGGTCTAGTGCTTGATTCTGTTTGCAAGAGAATAGCCAACGGAATGCCTGTCTGTGAGGGATGATGTTTGTCTGTCTGCTCCCAAAACTTGATCTCAGTGGAGGGCCTGGGGTAAGTCTGGGGGCTCCAGAGGGGGCTCTGGGCCAGGGCTCCCCACAGCTTCGAAGGCCAGAAGGCCAGGTCTGGACTGGGCACGCTGACCTCTGTCGACTTAAGTAAGGCTTCTCATTGCAGGCTCCAGGCTCAGCCCTGCCTGGGCTTGTCTGCTGGGGTCAGTGGCTCTATCTGCCTTCTAAGGGGATGGGTGTCCCGTGGCCAGCTGTCTTCATCTTGGTGGCATCCGTGAGTCTTTTGAGACTTTTCCCCCACTCTTATGTTGCCTCTGTTCGTGTGCCCATCTCCTGTCTGTGTAGACTTTTTGAGCCTAATTGTATGCGTGCATTTCAATACCTGCCACAGGTCTGCCGGAAGGTCTACAAGGCAGTGGGGTTGCAGCTGTGTTCACTTCTCGGCCTTTAACTGCCCAAAAGGCAGGTAGATTATGGGGCCTGGTGGGGGTGGGAGGAACATGCTTCGGAACAGGAGGAGGCCCCTCCCCAGCCATCTCAATCCCCAGGACAGAACCATCACGGCACCTTTGTCATGCATCTCTCTGCTGTCTGCCAAGAAGACGGCCTCTCAGAGGAGGGGGAGGGGCAGGCCTGGGATTTGGCTGGAATCTCCACACCAGTGTTTCTCAGCTTGCCATCCTCCAGGTTCCCCAAAAGCGCTCTTCCCAAGCCAGTCCAGAGAGTCCCTGCTGCCCATTTTCCTAGTGGCTCCTAAAACACCTTCCCCAATTTCCCCACTCAACACCACCCTCTTGTTTTTAGATTATAATTTGTACTGTAGGTGGTGTATTTCTGGCCTGGGCAAGAGGCCCATTCCCGAGAGGGACGCAGACAAGGGGTGGGTGCCTGGATCCCTGGCTGCCTTGTGGCTGGATATGAGCCCAGTCAGGGGTCAGCCTCCTGCATGCCTAGACTCCTAGCCGGCCCCCTTCTGGGGTGCTCAGGGCTGATGGGAGGTTGAGGCAGGCTTTCCTTCCTTCTCACTGTCCTGTTATGCCTGAAGGGTAGGTGGCTTCACTTCAGCCAAGGCCAGCTCTCCCAGGCCCCAACCAGTGCTGGGGGCCACCGTTGGGCCTGGAGGAGACTGGAAGCCAGGCTGAGTCATCAGAACTGGTCCCATGATTCCCTGGGTTTTAGAAAGTCACCATAAAAAGATACTTCACACACACCTTTATTATTACAGTGCAATGTCAAGACCCTTCACAGAGCACTGCCAGGGGACCCAGGTGAGGCCCACCTCTCCCCACCAGGTGAGGCGGCTGGCATGGCTGGGTGGGGAGAGGTGAGATGAGCAGCCTTGCTGCTCTCAGCCCAGCCTTCCCTTCCCCTCACTGGGAGATGAGGTGCTGTTTGGTTGAAAAACCAGCTGAAAAAACTCAGTTGGGACCAATAGAGACTTGCTCTCGACCCGGTCTAGGAAACCACTTATTTTGACTTCCGAGGCCTGTCAATCTGAAGGCAAAAGAAAGGGAAGAAACGGAGGGCTGAGGGTTCAGGCTTGGCCCACCTTGGGAGATGATCTCCCTTAATAGCAATTTAGACAAATTCCTTTGCTCACTGTGGACCAAGTCCCCTCTTCTCAACAAAGGACCCTCTGATCTCCCCCATGAGCCCTGCAAACTGAGGTCACCTTATCCCAAATCCAGACACTCTTACCTCAAATAGAGGAGTCAACTCTCTAGCTGTAGCCTGTAGGGAGTCAGAGGTGAGAGCAAAAGGAGTGGGTGAGCTGGGAGGATTGGTCAGGAACAAACTAGGAGGCATGGACCAGGTTCTAAGTCCTGGCTCTGACTCCCTGGCTAATGGCACCTCCCCCTCCTGTGCCTCAGTTTCCTCACCTAGTAAAGAGGATTTGGACTCAATGAACTCTAAACTTCCTTCCAACTCAGACATAAAATTGCTGCCCCGCTCTCATATGCCCTCCCATCTACCCACCCCCCTTACTTGACATGGGAATGTAGACTTCTCTGCACACCTGTGAAGAGAAATGGGGGTAGGAAAGCTGGGAGTGGTGTTCAATGAGAAGTTGGCATAGGCCTCCCTGTACCCTGCCACCTACCTCCAAGCATCCTTCCTGGGGAATCTGGCAGGTTTTCCCCTGAAGTTTGATCAAGAGATATAGGAGGAGGCCGGGAGCGGTGGCTCATGCCTATAATCCCAGCACTTTAGGAGGCTGAGGCGGGCGGATCACTTCAGATCAGCAGTTCGAGACCAGCCTGGCCAACATGGTGAAACCCTGTCTCTACTAAAAATACCAAAAGGTGGTTTTTTTGTTTGTTTGTTTTGTTTTTTTTGCATGTGGTGGTGCATGCCTGTAATCCCAGCTACTCAGGAGGCTGAGAAACAAAAATCGCTTGAACTCAGGCAGCAGAGGGTGCAGTGAGCTGAGATCGAGCCACTGCACTCGGCAACTGCATTGCTACATGCCTCCAAACCCCAGCTGCTCATCTGAGGTTGCACAGAGACTCAGCATCAGCCTGGTGCATCACCAGACAGGAGAGCCTATGCTCACGTCAAAGGGATCACAGCAGACTGCTGGCTCTGGGCATCTGAGCAGCGCCATGCAAGGGGGCAAGTGGCTTAGGGTTCCAGGGACTCAGGGGCTGGGGCAGCCCATCCCTCAGCTAAGTTAGCTGGACACTGGAGGATAGAAGTCAAGGGCCTAGCATGTTGGGATGGCTCCTCTCCAGGGGCTTTGCAGAGAGTCCCATGCACCAAGGGGGCTAGCGGGACAGGGAAAAGTGGTGGCAAAGACCTCCCAGACAAACTGGCTGCCTCTGGTCCTATCAAGCTGCCGTACATCCTCCACACCAGGGCTTTAGGCACCATTCCACTGTGTTCCATGGTGACTGTAGGTGATGCCCCACCTTGAGAGCCCTTGGGTGCTCAGCCCTGGGTCAGAACTTGAACACCAAGTGGGAAAAGGGCTGACCAAGCACGGGAGAGGGAAGGAAAGCAGAGTGGCTAGGACGGTCAGCAACAGAGCTGTGTTCATTTAGGACATGGGTATTGAAATGGAGTTTTGAAGGCTGGCTGAGGGGCCTGCACTCCATCCCTCCCACAGTGCCCTCAGCTCCTCCACCTTCCCCACATGAACCAGTCCGCACCTATCACACCTACGGTGGGCCGTGGTCCCACCCCAGCTTTCAGGTGTTTCCGGAGAGGGTAGACGCAGCTCTAGGTCAGGAAGGATTGTTTCCTTCCCTTCTCTCCTTCTGCAGCTATGCTTGGTTCTGGCTGGCTTTTGCTGGAGTTGAAAGACTCAAGTGTGCTAAGAAGGGAGTCCTGGCCATCACAGTTGTAGTGCCAGTGTCCCCAGCTGCTCCGGTTCCCCAGCAACTCACAGACAACCGTGGTCTGGAGGGTGTGTGACTCTGAAAAGCCAAAACCCCAGAACTCCAAAGTTACAAGAGGTCAAAACAGTGGCTCTCTCCACCTCCGCTCCTACCTCCTCCCAAAATGCATGAAATTCCCTTCCTCTGACTGATAAACCCTCACTCATTCTCCAAGACATATCTTCTCTGTCAACCACATCCCCACCAAAGTCACACTGCACCCGCTCTCCCTCCCCTGCAGCATGTGGCTCCCTCCCATGTACCCAGCATGCACTGTTCAGCCACATATACTCACCCACCCTCCTGAAGGCCCAGCACAGACAGCATTGTGTTTAAATCCCTGATCTACACATCAGCTACTGGCTATATGCCCACGGCAAATGTAATGGAACCTCTCCAAGCCTTGCTTTCCTCATTTGGCAACTGGACACAATTATAGTCTCTACCACACAAGTAAAGATAACATGAGATAATCCTTGCCAGTGTTAATGTAGGACCTACCAAGAAGAATTCAAGAACTAGTAGCTGCTATTGTAAGGTGTATTATTGGTAACAGCAAAATGAACAGCACTTACTAGGCTTAAATGTTTGCTAGATGAAAAAAAATGATATTGGTTAGAAATATATTTTGCTCAGGTCACCAGGTTTCTTATTAACTACTGGTGGTGGCGAGAGAGGTGAATGTCAGAAAAAGGCCAGTTTTTCCCATTTCCTGGATTTGAGAAAGTTGGATAAATTTTTTTCACCTGGCCGGGTGCGGTGGCTCACGCCTGTAATCCTAGCACTTTGGGAGGCCCAGGCAGGTGGATCACGAGGTCAGGAGTTTGAGACCAGCCTGGCCAACATGGTGAAACCCCATCTCTACTAAAAATATAAAAATTAGCCAGGTGTGGTGGCAGGCGCCTGTAATCCCAGCTACTCAGGAGGCTGAGGCAGGGGAATCGCTTGAACCTGGGAGGCGGAGTTTGCAGTGGGCTGAGATCGGGCCATTGCACTCCAGCTTGGGCAACAAGAGCAAAAAAAAAACAGACTTTTTTCACCTGAAGGGAAGGCTTGGGAGCTTAAGGACAATGGCTTCTTTCTTAGAGACCTAGTCCTTGACTGAGGGAAAGGGTGAGGGTCTTATACTTCTTTTTTTTTTTTTTTTATTGAGACAGAGTCTTGCTCTGTCACCCAGGCTGGAGTGCAGTGGCACGATCTCGGCTCACTGCAAGCTCCACCTCCCGGGTTCATGCCATTCTCCTGCCTCAGCCTCCCGAGTAGCTGGGACTACAGGTGCCTGCCAGCGCACCCGGCTAATTTTTTTTGTATTTTTAGTAGAGACAGGGTTTCACTGTGTTAGCTAGGATGGTCTCGATCTCCTGACCTTGTGATCCACCTGCCTCGGCCTCCCAAACTGCTGGGATTACAGGCATGAGCCACCGCGCCCAGCCAGAGGGTCTTATACTTCTGTCCTACTCTTGCTAATACCTAAGACCCAGTCCTTTTGGCACCACTGGGTACATAAAACAAGGTTTGAGTCAGGGATGAACTCCCCCAGGCAGGAGGAGATAGCATCAGGATCTCAGTGAAGTGGGATGGTATCTGAGTGCCTAGCACAGTGCCCCACGCAGAGCTCAATGCATCTTAGCTGAACAATAACGAATGCAGCTGCACATCTTCAGGCCCATATTGAGCTCTTCTCTCTTTTCTGCCTCCTCCTGAGCCCCCAAGCCCAATCACCTTGGCTCTGGTTGTTGTGTGCCATGATGCTCCCCGGGATGGTGACAAGGTGCTGGGCTCTGGCCTTCAGTCTGAGAACCAGCTTCTCCCAAGCTCTTGGGTCCCTGGCCTGAGCCCAGGATGCACGGGGCTCTGCCCACCTGCCCTCCTTGCAGCATCATAAGAAAGGGTGGTCATCCAGGTAGCCTGAGACTTCGTAAGGGGCTTGCCCAGGGCTGGGCTGGGAAAGAGTAATGAAGTCATAGCACAGAGAGTGGGTTGCTGAGGAAAAGAGAATGATGGGAAAGGGTTATTTTCCAACAGGAGTCTTACCTGGGAGACACTGCACAAGGTGCCTGTGTGGTGAGGCTGTGTGACTATTTTTGAGGGCACCAAAGGAGTGGGTAAGGGGAATGCAGACTGAACAATGGGAAGGGAATCTCTTGTTTCCCTGCAGGGCCTCATCTAGGCTCATTGTTTTAAATAGTAATGACTCCCAAATCTCTTCATCCCTGTTCTTCACATCGGTATATCCAACTACCTACCTGTTGGTCATCTGGACCTAAGGTTCCATATGGCCTTAAATCTGACACATCCAAAACTGAGTATTTCCTCTTGGCCCTGGCCATGGAACAACCTGCCTCTCATCCTATATTCCTGGTGAGTGGCATCATCCTCTCACCTGCCTGCTTACTCAAGCCAGAACTGGGTTGAGGTGTGGGCAACTACCGGATGTCATGTAGCCTCCTGGCACAATAGCATGAAGTGAGCTGAGAGGTCATGGAACAAAAAGGCTCACAGACCAAATGTAAATGCTCAAATAACATCGTTTATTAAATAAATGTAAAACACATTCTGAGAAGCAGGAGGCAGGTGCTGGGGTGGGTCAACACACGGGAGAGGGGGCAAGTTGGGTGGAATGATCACACCAGCTGAACTGTGGGTCATGCAGTGTGCATCCATCCTGTCAAATTGAAACCTCCTGCATCCTGAGTGCCTCATGTCTCACGTATTTAGGGTACCGTGAATATTTAGTGCCTCCTTGGTCTTTCTGTCCCTTTTGATCTCTGTACACACGAATATGTTGTACTATCTACAGATGACTAATTTAGTTATCTATGTGTAACACTTCTTTTGAGTTTATTGTTTTCCTGTCTTCTACAGCAGAATTGGATATTCCCAAACAATCGGCAAGTCTGGTGTTTATCCTAGAGTGCTGCCTCCCTTCACACCCCCTAGTTTCAAACAGTCAGCAAGCCCTGCCCATTTTTAACTTCCTGTTTCTCCAATCTGGACATTCCTCTACCTCCACCAAACCAGCCCATAGTATGGCTTGCTTGGATTATAGCCAGAGTCTTTCTAACTGGTCTCTCTCCCTCCAGTCTTAAGCATATAAAATCTGTCCTCCTTGATATAATCAGAGTGATCTATCCAGAAATACATATCAGACCGCATACCTCTCTGCTCTTCCTCTAAGGATTCCCCTTTTGTCCTCGGGATGGTTTCCAAGCTCCTTAGCAAGCTAAACAAGGCCCCTTGAAGGCTGCCGTCTCCACCCTCATCTCCCACCACACCCTGCCTTCACCTGACCCACTTGGAACAGGAAGGTTGGAGCACCTCCATACTCCTGCAGTTCCACCTCCCAGTGCCTTCCTGAGATGGTCCCCTGAAGGGAAGACCCATCCTCCCCTTCTCCAAACACCACTTAAACCACTTAAACCCTTTCATTAAACCCTTACCCTGGCCTCAAACCATCTACCACGCTGCTGTACCCCTTTATTTCAGAGACGGCTCTGACTTTCACTCAGAGGTGACACTCACCCTACCACTTGTCTATGGCTGTGCATCCCTCTTGGGGCCATCTCTTGTGGACAAGAATATGAGCCACATTCTTCATATATGAGAAAATTACACCAATCTCAGAGGATTAGAGGTCATGCCAAAAAACACACCTGGTAGTTATGTTTAAATATATTTTTAAGGCTGGGTTAAAAACCACGATGAGGCGAAACCCCATCTCTACTAAAAAAATACAAAAATTAGCTGGGCCTGGTGGTGCACGCCTGTAATCCCAGCTACTCGGGAGGCTGAGACAGGAGAATCCCTAGAACCCAGGAGGCGGAGGTTGTAGTGAGCCGAGATTGCACCACTGCACTCCAGCCTGGGCGACTGAGTGATTCTCCGTCTCCAAATATATATATACACACACACACATATACGTATATATATGTGTATATACGTATATATATATATATTTTTTTAACAAACATAGCTGCTATCATTGGCTCCTTTTCTCTTTTTTTTCGAGACGGTCTCACTCTGTCACCCACATTGAAGTGCAGTGGCACAATCATGAGGCCCACCCCAACCTCTGCCTCCCAGGCTCAAGCGATCCTCCCACCTCAGCCTCCAGAGTAACTGGGACTACAGGCGTGCACCACCACGCCTGGCTAATGTTTTTGTATTTTCTGTATTGACAGGTTTTCCTCATGTTCCCTGGGCTGGTCTCAAACTCCTGTGTCCAAGCAATCCTCCGCCCAGCTCGGCCTCCCAAAGTCCTGGGATTACAGGCATAAGGACCTCCTACGGCCAAGTTTAAGCTTCAAGTGGGAGACATGGGACAATTACTTACCAGATACAACCAGTTTCAGAGGAAGCCCTACCTACCCTCTAAGCCTGACCTTATCTTGCAACCTCCATCGCCCCAGACCTCCCCCGGCTCCAAAAAGCACTCCCAAGAGGCCTCATAAAGGCCACAGTTTGGGGAAGGTTATGGCTCAGGGGAAGGGGAGAGGTGCTAAATAATTAAGCCCCCCTACTACTCAGCACCCGCGTGAGGCATCGTCAGGCATCGTCAGGCCTCCAGTGGTGGTGGTGGCACCGGGCCTCAACCTCCCCGGAGGGCTGGACTCTCGCTGCCAGGCTGTGGGGATCAGGCGTTGTGGGGGAGGGGGACACTTAACAGGTATGGAGGGCGGAGCAGAGCCCCGCAGTCACTGGCCTGACTTCCGGAACGAACCGTCGCCAGCAAGCACAGCAGTAGGACCAGGGGGATGCAAGAGCGGGGGCGGCCGGGGATCGTGCTTCTCGCTCAGGTCCAGATTCCCGGCAACCAGGCCGGCGGAATCACGTGCCATGCTCCAGGCCAGCGTAGTCCCGCCCATCTTCCAGCTGAGCGTACCGGGAGGCTCCCATTGGACTGGAGCTGCTACGGAGGCGGGACTTTCCCTTTTTCTTGAACCCCATTGGGTTAAGTCCAGTCCGAGACAAGCGTCTCTCCTCAGCAGTGGGAGGGGTGATTTGGCTCATCCATACTTAGGAATTTGGGGTTTGAGGCCGGGTGCGGTGGCTCACGCCTGTAATCCCAGCACTTTGGGGGGCCGAGGCGGGCGGATCACAAGGTCAGGAGATCGAGACCATCCTGGCTAACACTATGAAACCCCGTCTCTACTAAAAAAATACAAAAAAATTAGCCGGGTGTGGTGGCGGGCACCTGTAGTCCCAGCTACTCGGGAGGCTGAGGCAGGAGAATGGCGTGAACGCTGGAGGCAGAGCTTGCAGTGAGCAGAGATCGCGCCACTGCACTCCAGCCTGGGCGACAGAGCAAGACTCCGTCCCCCCAAAAAAATAATTTGGGGTTTGAGACCCGGCGCGGTGGCTCACGCCTGTAATCCCAGCATAATCCCAGCACTTTGTGGGGGGCCGAAGCGGGCGGATCACCTGAGGTCAGGAGTTGGAGACCAGCCTGGCCAACATAGCGAAACCCTGGCGCGCACTTGTAAACCCAGCTTCTCGGGAGACTGAGGAAGGAGAATCGCTTGAATCCGGGAGGCGGAGGTTGCAGTGAGCCGATATAGCTAGCGCCACTGCACTCCAGCCTGGGCGACAGAGTGAGACTCCGTCTCAAAAAAAGAGAGAGAATTTGAGGTTTAAGTTGTCTCTCCTTGGTCGCTGTGCAGTCGAGTGTTTTTATGTTCAGACCTCTTCCTGCCCATTTTATTTATTTAATTTATTATTTATTTATTTATTTATATTTTTTGATATGGAGTTTCACTCTTGTTGCACAGGCTGGAGTGCAATGGCGCGATCTCGGCTCACTACAACCTCCGCCTCCCAGGTTCAAGCGATTCTCCTGACTCAGCCTCCCTAGTAGCTGGGATTACAGGTGCCTGCCACCATACCCCACTAATTTTTTGTATTTTTAGTAGAGATGGGGTGTGTGTATACATATATATATATATATATATATAGCAAGTAGTCAAGAGCTAGTCTATTTTGATAGATAGCATTTCTCATCAGAGTCTCTTGCCGGGCAAGAACAGTCAAGGTTTGACGGGTTTTATTAGTAATAATTTCTAAACAGCTTGCAACCATATGATTCGGTTGAGCATGTAGATGGGGGTTCGATATCCTCATGAGCCATCTTGTGTCTAAGTGGCAGGCCTATAGTATTATATAATTTTTTTAGGAGGTCATTTATCATCTTTCCAATTACCTATGGCTATGCTTCGTTTTTCGCAGGAAGCATAGACTGGGAAGCCCAGAAGTTTACCTGTTTTTATGGGCAGTAAGAAGAAAGATGGCTTAATGGTGCCAATTACACAGCTACCTGTCCACTGATCAGGGAGCTTAGCATAAGCTCTGCGTATAACCCGGTGGGGGCTGTCCAGTCCCGGTGGAGTTCTGGGTGGGCCCAAACAGTCTGCAACTTTGGAAATTTACTGAATGGATTTCTTTCTGTGTAATTGGAACTCCACCATGTAACTTTTTGTGGTACCATTATACAGTTTTTGCCCAAGACAACTAAGCCGCCAAACAGGATCTTTTTTATCTTCTTTTTAAGTAGCCCAAATGACACAAGACCAGTATTGACACATCTCACATAAATACAATTCTTGACAGATACACTTATTTTTTTTTTACTGTGTCACTTTTTTTTTCCAATTTAGAGAACCGCATCCTATTCCATGCTGCTTACTATCAATAGCGGCACAAGCACCAAATTTTAAGGTTACATTTTTGGGGGCCCCTCTTTTTTCCATTCTAGCTATTACCTTACTTGTGTCACCTAGAAAAGGACCAGTCCTTAATTTTATTTTAAAAACTGTGATCACGGGAGGCTTAAAATGGGTCATAACACACATCAGGTTGGTTATTCCCTGGGCTACATACCTTGGATAGCATTATACAAACAAGTTTCTTTTAGAGTCCTGGTACACTTATGATAACCATAAAATAATAGGACTGTAGCAATTTTTGTCCTACCTCAGTGACTTGATGTATATACTGGAAACAGTTCTCAATCTGAGGAAGGTCAGTTGAAGTCCTTACTGTACAAGTCCAAATTTTAAGGAAAATGAGTCCCGCAATGAGTTTCCTCATGCTTCGCCTGTGCGTGGACCAGTCAGCTTCTGGGTGTGACTGGAGCAGGGCTTGTCTCCTTCTTCAGAGTCACTTTGCAGGGGTTGGCAAAGCCGCTCCCATCCACGTACAGCTCCCAGTCTACTGATGTTTAAGGGTGGTCTCGGAGGTTAGGCCTACTAGAATAAACTGAGTCCAGCACCTCTAAACAGTTATGTTTAACTGGGCTCTCTGTTACCAGGAGTAAGGTGGCTGGGTTAGGGTGTTGGAAACTTCAATGGTTTTGTGGGGATTTTCACAGAGCAAGGTTTGGTATCTAGTTAGTCTAGCATTTATTAGCTAATGATGTCCTTTGGTATTTATTAAAGTCACCACAGCATGGGGAGACTTTCTGTTTAGGTTTTGCCTAAGAGTTAGCTCATCTGCTTCTTGTGCTAACAGGGCAGTTGCTGCCAGGGCCCTTGGACATGGGGGCCAGCCTTTGGAAACCCCGTCTAGTTGTTTTGAGAGATAGGCCCCTGGCCTTGACCAGGGCCCTACAGTCTGGGTTAAAACTCCAACTGTCATTTTTTCTCTTTCTGACACACAGAGTGTAAAGAGTTTTGTCAGGTCAGGTAGCCTCAGGGCTGGGGCCGACATGAGTTTTTCTTTTTAACTAATGAAAAGCTCTTTGCTGTTGGTTGTAATAGATGTAGTTTATCTAATCTACATTTTTGTTGACTGTCATCTACTAAAATATTGACTTAAATCCTGTAACTATTTGATTTCAAGCTTTAAATTGATCTGGTATTCCTTGTGGGGCTCCAATTGCATTTAAGTAGATGTGAGAATTGAAAGACCTATAAGGGGCTTCTCTCGTTTTATGATGTCTTACTTTTTTTTTCCTCTGGTTGATGAAATGCCAGGGTGAAAGGGATAGCCAAATGGACTAAAGCACAAGTGCCACTCTAGTTATTCAGCAGAGTGCCCAGTAAAGGTCCACCCCGATACCACCACACATCCTCTCGGGGATGAACAAGGGCTGACTGATTGATAAGCTCTTGGAAACTCTTAAGCTCACTGCATCCCTTCAGGTCTCCAAGGAATGCTAAATCTCCTCCCTGCCGTGAGAGACAAGAAGTGAACTTAGTGTTGGGAGATGGAAGCTGGATGGCCCTCGGGGGCTGACCCACAGAGACTTCGGGATATAGCAGAGAGAGCTTGGCATGACTTATTACTCCAGGCTGTAGAATCCTGGAAAAGAGCTACCATGCAGCCCACACCTGGTCGACTGGAGGACCACCTTAGTGGAAGAGGGACAATCAGGGCCTCTGGCCTGCCATGTGCACAAGCATAACAATTGATTTTGTTTAACGTGCAGATGGAATATTTAATCCATTCCAACCAGGCATTTGCATCTTGGTATGCTGTCTTAACTGCCAAAGTTTGTTTTAAGTCTTTAACTTCTATGATCCTCTAGTAAAATGAATGTTTCCTTTAGCATCTATTTTTATTAGTTTTTAGACCAAAGAAAGCTAAACACCATTTTATATTTAATAATGCTTCTTGTATGATTTTTATACCAGGTAAGCTAAATTTTACCTTTATATTAGTGTGTTATTAATGTTAAACTTAATTTTAATAAAACTTTGTAGACATATTTATCCAATTTTTCATGTTTGACCATAAGGTAAGGTTTTATAGACTCTTTTTAACCTTTTATAATTTTTGTTAAAGAGCAGGTTGATGCTTTAAGAAAAACCTGTCACATTTTTACTTTAATGTCCAGTTCACAGAAAAACTGGATGATACCTTTTTAACTTTAGCTAATATGTTTACACACAGAATTTTCTTTACAATTAACATTTTAAAATTTGCTTACACTTTCAAAACAATAATTTTTTTAACCTTTTAATGTAGGTAAAAATCCACATTCTTATGCCTCCTTATAATCTTTTTACCAAAGGTATATTTTACTTTTCTTATACACCTTGCACATAAACTGTTTTTTTTTTTAAATAGTACTCAGGAGGCCTTATTACTTTTAAATTACACAATATTTTTTGCATAAATTTTTTTATAACATTTTTTCTTTCACGACTTTCGCCGACAATTCTTCAACATGTCTCAACTTTCTGACTTATTACAAACATTTTTTTTTCTTTAAACAACCAGTTAATTTATTTCAGGACAAGAATTTACCATATAACACTCTTTTTACATAAATTCTGCCTCCCCCGCTTTTTTTTTTTAAAGTGAACTTTTTTTTTGTCTTTGGACTAGACTGTCTAAGGCCACAAGATTAGAAGTTACCATAATACATGTTATACTGTTAATTTTTAGCAAACTTCACTTTTGTTGAAAACCTTGTAAGTTTGGGATTTCAATTATCCTTTGCTATTAATAAGACCTTGTTTAGTCTAAATTAACTTAGAATTGGTATAGATGGCCTTTTTTTCTCTCTGCTGGTCTTTCCTTGCCTCTGCCAGATGCTTATGCTACTGTTCTCTTAACTACTGTAGGGGGAAGGGGGTCTAAAACCAGCTGTAACTGTCTATGTACAGAAACTGGTCTGGATGCCTTGGCTTACAGGTTACTTTGTGTCATACCTTTGAAACAAGGGACCTGTCCAGGCTTCCTTCTGATGGCCAACCCACCTCTAATGCTGGCCAGTCTATTTCACAAGTTCTAAGTTTTCCTGGTGTCACAGTAACATCGTAATCTCCCTTAAATTCTTTCTTGAAAAAAAATTTTTTTTAACATAGTTCCTAGTGGGGTGGGCTTATTTGTGCCTGACCCATGCTTCTTCGAGACAAAACACCACGCTCACACCACACGTGCACTACAAAACAAAAAAACAGGGCACACACACTTTTGCAGTTTACACCAAACCAAAATCAGAGTATCCAAAAACCCAAGCCAGGTCAAAACCAAAACCAAAACCAAAGTATCACACAATCTAAGTCAAGTCAAAACCAGAATAAAAGTGCCAGTACAGGCACACCATGGGTGATCAGGCCATGCTTCCACTCAGATGGAGTGGGGCAAGTTCCAAAGACTAGTCTTACCAAGTTTCAGATGTCCGGACTCCAAGTGCCAGTTCCTTCCCAGTGTTCAGCCAGTGTGTTAATCCTCCTCGGGGGCCTGCTACGTGCTGCTCTGGCGAGGCGTTCCACCCGGGGAATTTCCTACCCGGGAGCGCTCTTTGGATCGCGTCACTCAGGCTGGCCAGAGTCCACCGCAGGGATGCTCCACAGGGCAGGCCTAAGCCACCCAAGGGGCTGCCTTGGCCGTCCGTCAGTTACCTCGCTTCCTGTTCAGGGAACCAAGAAATGTAGCAGGACGAGCCCCAGACAAAACCTTTCAGACACCGAGTTGTAGAAGGAAGGGCTTTATTCAGCTGCGAGCATCGGCAAGCTACTGCCTTAAAATCCAAACTCCCTGAATGCACAATTTCTGTCCCTTTTAAGGTCTCACAACACTAAAGATTTCACATGAAAGTGTCGTGATTGATTTGAGTACGCAGGTGGTACGTGACAGGGGCTGCATGCACTGGTGGTCAGAGAGAAACAGAACAGGGCAGGGAGTGTCACAATGTTCTTCTATACAATGTCTGGAATCTAGGAATAACATCGCGTTCTAAGTCATGGGTTGATTTTTAACTACTGGGTTTAGGCCAGGCAGGCCCAGGCCTGGTTTCGGGCCTGGCGCCAGGCTGCCTGTCTTTGGTTTTACTTCCTTGTTTTTTCTTAAAACAGGTACTGAGTATAAAGCAATATAAAACAATACGAAAGGGTCTCTCTCTTCCCTCAAAGGGAATAGGCTGCTGTGGAGAAAGGTAAATAAATGGTGGAAAGAATTACATGGGGGATTAACTAATCTGTATACCAAATCCCCATGACAGGCAATTTACTTCTATAACAAACCTGCTCATGTAAAAGGTTTTTGGCCGGGCATGGTGGCTCACGCCTGTAATCCCAGCACTTTGGGAGGCTGAGGTGGGTGGATCACTTGAGGTCAGTAGTTTAAGACAAGCCTGGCCAACATGGTGAAACTCCATCTCTACTAAAAATACGAAAATTAGCTGGGCATGGTGGCACGCACCCGTAGTCCCAGCTACTCGGGAGGCTGAGGAAAGGGAATGGCTTGAACCTGGGAGGGGGAGGTTGCAGTGAGTCGAGATCATGCCACTGCACTCCAGGCTGGGTGACAGAGTGAGACTGTGTCTCAAAAAAAAAAAAAAAAAAAAGCAAAAAGTTTTTAAAAGAAAATAGTGGAAAGACAGAGACCCTAGAAGAGGGAGAAGGCCTAAGGCAATTTCTTCTTCCTCTCTTCCCCATCATTCTTTCAGCCACTGTGGAGAGAGGGAGAGTACGGGGTGCAGGGTAGATGAGAGTAGACAATTCTGATTATTTGAGGAGGGTTTGTGGTTTAGGAAGTGAGCTTCTCACCGATTTTATTTATTTATTTTGAGACGGAGTCTCACTCTGTCACCCAGGCTGGAGTGAGATCTCAGCTCACTGCAACCTCCACCTCCCGGGTTCAAGTGATTCTCCTGCCTCAGCCTCACGAGTAGCTGGGACTACAGGCATGCACCACCATGCCTGGCTAATTTTTTGTATTTTTAGTAGAGATGGGGATTTCACCATGTTGGCCAGGCTGGTCTCAAATTTCTGACCTCAGGTGATCTGCCCACCTCGGCCTCCCAGAGTGCTGGGATTACAGGCGTGAGCCCCGCACCTGGCCTAAAAACTTTTATATTAAGTTCAGGGGTATATGAGCAGGTTTGTTATAGAGATAAATTTCCTGTCACAGGGGTTTAGTGTACAGATTAGTTAATTCCCCTTGTAATTTTTTCCATCATTTATTTACCTTTCTCCACAGCAGCCTATTCACCTAACAATAAACTGAGTGCCCATTATGTGCCAAGAACTGGAGATAAGGATATGAGTAAGGAATCTTACTTATCTCCAGTTCTTATAGCATATACTCATTCTGTTTCTCTTTCCTTTGGCCTAGTTTGAGTGCCCAGCAGGTGTTTCAAGTCACTGATTACGTATCTACTCTGCGAAAGTTGTTTGTGCAGCCTGTTTATCCTCTCCTTTGGAACTTCAGTACTCTTTTTTTTTTTTTTGAGACGGAGTCTTGCTCTGTTGCCCAGGCTAGAGTTCAGTGGTGTGATCTCGGCTCACTGCAAGCTCTGCTTCCCGGGTTCATGCCATTCTCCTGCCTCAGCCTCCCGAGTAGCTGGGATTATGGGTGCCTGCCACCACGCCTGGCTAATTTTTTTGTATTTTTAGTAGAGACGGGGTTTCACCATGTTAGCCAGGATGGTCTCGATCTCCTGACCTTGTGATCCGCCTGCCTCAGCCTCCCAAAGTGCTGGGATTACAGGCTTGAGCCACCGTGCCCGGTGTGCCCTGCTAATTTTTTGTATTTTTTTTTTTTGAGATAGAGTCTCGCTCTGTCGCCCAGGCTGGAGTGCAATGGTGTGATCTGGCTCACTGCAATCTCCACCTCTCGGGTTCAAGTGATTCTCCTGCCTCAGCCTCCCAGGTAGCTGGGACTACAGGCATGTGCCACTACGCCCAGCTAATTTCTTGTATTTTTAGTAGAGATGGGGTTTTACTGTGTTAGCCAGGATAGTCTCGATCTCCTGACCTCGTGGTCCACTGGTCCACCTGCCTTGGCCTCCCAAAGTACAGGAATTACAAGCGTGAGTCACCACACCCAGCCAATTTTTTGTATTTTTAATAGAGATGAGGTTGCACCATGTTGGCCAGGCTGGTCTTGAACTCCTGACCTCAGGTGATCCTTCCACCTCGGCCTCCTAAAATGCTGAGATTACAGGTGTGAGCCACCACACCTGGCACAATTATCTTATTTATTATCATTATTATTTTTGAGACGGAGTTTTGTTCTTGTTGCCCAGGCTGGAGTGCAATGGCACAATCTCAGCTCACCGCAACCTCTGCCTCCTGGGTTCAAGTGATTTTTCTGCCTCAGCCTCCTGAGTAGCTGGGATCACAAACCCCTGCCACCACCCTCGGCTAATTTTGTATTTTTGGTAGAGACAGGGTTTCTCCATGTGGGCCAGGCTAGTCTCAAACTCCTGACCTCAGGTGATCCGCCCACCTCGGCCTCCCAAAGTGCTGGGATTACAGGCATGAGCCACAGCCCCCGGCTACTTTTTATTATTAACATTAAAATATTTTTGTTTAATTAATTTATTTATTTTTAAAATTATTATTATTACTTTTTTTACTTTAAGTTCCAGGATACATGTGCAGAATGTGCAGGTTTGTTACATAAGTATACATGTGCCATGGTGATTTCTGCACCTATCAACCTGTCATCCAGGTTTTAAGCCCCGCCTGCATTGGGTATTTGTCCTAATGCTCTCCCTCCCTTTGTCCCCAACCCTATTTTATTTTTTTGAGACAGAGTCTCCCTCTATTGCTCAGGCTGGAGTGCAGTGGTGTGATCTCAGCTCACTGCAACTTCCACCTCCCAGGGTCAAGCGATTTTCCTCTCTCAGCCTCCTGAGTAGCTGGGACTACAGGTACACACCACACACCTGGATGATTTTTGTATTTGCTTGCAGAGACAGGGTTTCGCCAGGCTGGTCTCAAATTCCTGACCTCAAGTGATCCACCCACTTTGGCCTCCCAAAATGCTGGGATTACAGGCGTGAGACACCGTGCCCAGCAAAAATATTTTTATTTTAAAATTTATTAAATTTATTAAAATTTTATTTTAAAATTTCACCATTTACAAAAAGTGAAATGATCAGATCTTTAGCAAATCCATCAATGAATTTTGACAAGTACATGTCACCCACACCCCTGTCAAGATATAGAAAGTTCTCTTTGCCCTCTTTGATTCTGCCCTACCCCTGAGTAGCCATGGATCTGATGACTATCACTATAGAGCAGTTTTTCCTAATTTTTTTTTTTTTTTGAGATGGAGTCTCACTCTGCCACCCAGGCTGGAGTGCAATGGCACGATCTCGGCTCACTGCAACCTCTGCCTCCTGGGTTCAAGAGATTCTCCTGCCTCAGCCTCCTGAGTAGCTGGGAGTACAGGTGTGAGCCACCATGACTGGCTAATTTTGTACTTCCAGTAGAGATGGGGTTTCGCTATGTTCACCAGGCTGGTCTCAAACTCCTGACCTCAGGTGATCCACCCGCCTCGGCCTCCCAAAGTGCTGGGATTACAGGTGTGAGCCACTGTGCTGGGCTGCCTGTTTTAAAACTTCCTATAAATGCATGCATAGGTATGGCCTCTTTTGTGTCTGGCTTTTTGTATTTGGCATAATATCTATGTAATCCATCCATGTTGTTGCACCTATCAGTAGTTCATTCTTTCTTTAAAAAAAATTTTTTTTTTTAAATTTTGAGACAGTCTCACTGTCTTAGGCTGCAGTGCAGTGGTGAGATCTCAGGTCACTGCAACCTCCACCTCCCAGGTACAAGCATTTCTTCTGCCTCAGCCCCCTGAGTAGCTGGAACTACAGGTGTGTGCACCACCACGCCTGGCTAATTTTTGTATTTTTAGTACAGATGGGATTTCCCAGCTACTCCAGAGGCTGAGGCAGGAGAATCACTTGAACCCAGAAGGCAGAGGTTGCAGTAAGCCGAGATCGCACCACTGCACTCTAGCCTGGGCGGCAAGAGTGAAACTCTGTCTCAAAAAAAAGCCAGGTGTTGTGGCTCACACCTGTGGTCCCAGCTAGTGGGGAGCCCAAGAGTTCAAGCCTTCAGTGAGTGGTAGTCATACTAGTATACCCCAGCCTGGGTGACAGAGTGAAACCTTGTCTCAGAAAGAAAAAAAAAACAAGATGAAGGAAAGCATATGTAGTTTGCTAAAATTTATGTGGAAAGAGGGAAATTATATGTATATACACACACACTTATATTTGCTTGCATATGCATAAAACGTCTAAGTTTGTTTGGTTTTTTTGGGACAGAATCTGACTGTCACCCAGGCTGGAGTGCAATGGTGCAATCTCAGCTCACTGCAACCTCCGCCTCCCGGGTTCAAGTGATTCTTCTGCCTCAGCCTCCCAAGTAGCTGGATTACAGCCTTCTGCCACCATGCCCACTAATGTTTTGTATTTTTAGTAGAGACAGGGTTTTGCCATGTTTTCCAGGCTAGTCTCGAACTCCTTACCTCAGGTGATCCGCCCGCCTCGGCCTCCCAAAGTGCTGGAATTACAGGCGTGGGCCACCAAGCCCGAACAAATGTCTTAAGTTTGTTTTCTTTCTTTCTTTAATTAATTAATTTATTTATTTATTTTTCGAGACGGAGTCTTGCTCTTGTCGCCCAGGCTGGAGTGCAATGGCAAGATCTCGGCTCACTGCAACCTCTGCCTCCCGGGTTCAAGTGATTCTCCTGCCTCAGCCTCCCAAGTAGCTGGGATTACAGATGCCCACCACCACACCCGACTAATTTTTGTATTTTTAGTAGAGACGGGGGTTTCATCATGTTGGCCAGGCTGGTCTCGAACTCTTGACCTTGTAATCCACCTGCTTCGGCCTCCCAAAGTGCTGGGATTACAGGCTTGAGCCACTGCACCCGGCCAAGACAGAGACTTTTTGCCTTTTGAACCTTTTGAATTTTTAACCAAGTGAAAACACAAAAGGTAATTCCAAGGAGGAAAAAAACCCAAAAAACTCATAGTGAAAATTTAAGAAAAAAACTCAGCCTGATAGAATTCTCTTACCTTCATTAAGAGAAAACAAAAATTGTAGCTGGGGCCAGGCGCGGTGGCTCACGCCTGTAATCCCAGCACTTTGCGAGGCAGAGGCAAGCGGATCACGAGGTCAGGAGATGGAGACCATCCTGGCTAACACGGTGAAACCCTGTCTCTACTAAAAATACAAAAAATTAGCCAGGTGTGGTGGCGGGCACCTATAGTCCCAGCTACTCAGGAGGCTGAGGCAGGAGAATGGCGTAAACCCGGGAGGCAGAGCTTGCAGTGAGCCAAGATCGTGCCACTGCACTCCAGCCTGGGTGACAGAGCGAGACTCCATCTCAAAAAAAAAAAAAAATTGTCTAAAAATTATATCACTCCTTTTTTTTTTTTTTTTTTTGAGATGGAGTCTTGCTGTGTTGGCCAGGCTGGAGTGCAGTGATGCAATCTTGGCTCACTGCAACCTCTGCCTTAAGAGCTCAAGCAATTCTCTTGCCTCCTGAGTAGCAGGGACTACAGTTGCATGCCACCATGCCCAGCTAATTTTTGTATTTCTAGTAGAGATGGGGTTGCACCATGTTGACTAGGCTGGTCTTGAACTCCTGACCTCAAGCGATCCACCGTGGCCCACCCTCAGCCTTTCAAATTTCTGGCATTACAGGCATGAGCCACTGCTCCCAGCCAAACCGCAGTCTTTACAAGGGATTCTTTTTTTTTTTTTTTTCTGATGGAGTTTTGCTGTTGTTGCCCAGGCTGGAATGCAAGGATGCAATCTTGGCTCACTGCAACCTCTGCCTTCCATGTTCAAGTGATTCTCCTGCTTCAGCCTCCCCAGTAGCTGAGATTACTGGTGCATGCTACCACACCCGGCTAATTTTTAGTAGAGATGGGGTTTCACCATGTTGGCCCGGCTGGTCTCGAACTCCTGACCTCAGATGATCCACCCTCCGCGGTCTCCCAAAGTGCTGTGATTACAGGTGTGAGCCACCATGCCTGGCCTTTACAAGGGATTCTAATGGTCTAATGCGACAGTTGTGGCTTCAGTGAGCTCAGGGTGCCCTCTGGTGTCCATGTGGGCCCAAGGATGTGATATTTAGAAAAAACACTTGTAATTCTGGGGGACATGTAATTGAAGCCACTTGCCAACTTTTCAAGATTCTTATTTATTTATTTATTTTTTTTTTTGGAGACAGAGTCTCGCTCTGTTGCCCCATCTGGAGTGCAGTGGTGCAATCTTCTCGGTTCACTGCAACCTCCGCCTCCCTGGTTCAAGCGATTCTCTGCCTCAGCCTCTGGAGTAGCTGGGACTACAGGTGCATGCCACCATGCCTGGCTACTTTTTGTATTTTTTGCAGAGACAGGGTTTCACCATGTTGGCCAAGGTGGTCTGGAACTCCTGGCCTCAAGTGATCCATTGGCCTTGGTCTCCCAAAGTGCTGGGATTACAGGTGTGAGCCACCATGCCCGGCCTTTTTATTTTATTTTATTTTATTTGAAACAGAGTCTCACTTTTTTGCCCAGGCTGGAATGTTGGTGGCCTGATCTCTGCTCACTGTAACCTCCACCTCCCGGGCTCCAGCGATCCTCCCACCTCAGCCTCCCAAGTGGCTGGGATTACAGGCGTGCGCAACCAAAGATTCTCATTCTTAGCCCATTCTGTTATCCCTATGAGTCTGCTAATAGTTGTCATACTAGGTCACCCTGTATTTGGATCAGAAGGTACGGTAGGAGCGCCTAGGGTCATATACCAGGCCCAAACAGCTGAGGGCAGTAGAGTAAGTCCTGCAGGTCAATGCTTCGAGGAGGGGTGGGAAGGATTGAGGGTGTGGGGGCCAGACTGTGTAGTGGCAGGAACCCCAGGTGCTGTGTGAAGCAGAGAGCATGCATCACCCTCTGACCCACATTCAGTTTCTTCCTAGGTGTCTGCAATTCCCGGGACTCCCAAGGAATTCAAATGCTGCAGCCTTGGGCTTGCGAATTCTCCAGGATGGGCAGAGTATGGTCTTATTTATCCTACACTTCTGCCTCATAGTGCTCTCCCAGTCCTCTTCTGTTATTAGAGATCAAACCAGGTTGCTTTAGGGCAGTGATTCTCAAAGTGTAGTCCTGGGACAAACAGCACTGGCATCACCTGGAAACTTGTTAGAAATGCAATTCTCAGCTGGGCGCAGTGGCTCACGCCTGTAATCCCAGCACTTTGGGAGGCTGAGGCGGGCGGATCACCTGAGGTCAGGAGTTCGAGACCAGCCTGGCCAACATGGTGAAACCCTGTCTCTACTAAAAATACAAAAAATTAGCCGAGCGTGGTGGCAGGCGTCTGTAATCCCAGCTACCTGGGAGGCTGAGACAGGAGAATCACTTGAACCCGGGAGGCGGAGGTTGCAGTGAGCCAAGATTGCGCCATCGCACTCCAGCCTGGGGGACAATAGCAAGACTTCGTCTCAAAATAAATAAATAAATAAATAAAAAAGGAAATGCAATTCTCTGGCCTGGCCCACACATATTATATCAGAAACTGCAGTTTAACCTCCCCCCACCCCTGGAGAATTCTGCTTTTCGAATCAGGCCTTTCTCTTTTTCTGTCTGTCTTAAGTCTCAACATTGAGTAGCTGTGATTTTGGAATAGTCAGATGTGGGACACCCTTTCTTGCCAGGAAGCATCTGGCTCCTCAGTCAGCTTAGTCTGATTCTTGGCCTGGCCCAGGGAAAGAAATTCATGTTCTGGATTCTGAGCAATGCTCTCTTGTCCCAGGTGCCTGTTGGGCTCCTACTTACACCTCAAAACATAGCTTGAACATTGTCTCTTTTGTGAACTTTCTGTGACTCCTAGGTCAGAGAAGATGGTCTACTTGTGAGTTTGCAAAGCATGTGTACATGTCCTGCCAACCATTAGTGTTACAATTTCCTGACTGATCTCTGCCTGAGCAAGACTGGGACAACCTTGAGCGCAAGGGGGGTTTGGTTCCTCTTACCTCAGCCCCAGCTCCTTAAACACAATGCCTGGCACGTGGTAGGTATTTGATAAATATTTATTCAATGAAGGAACTGCCTGCAATGGCCTGGTAGACAGGAAAGCGGAATGAAAGCAGGTCAAAAGTGGCTGGGAGAAGATTTTCTAAATCCCGATGTTGGGCACAGGGACCCCTGAAGTTTTCTTTTGGAACCTTCCTATCTGTCTTGTTCTCCTCTCACCAGGCACATCCCTGCCCTCCAGAGCCCACTTAGTCACACACTACCTTTCAGGACTACCTTCCACATCAGCCAGGTGCAAACCCCACAATGACTTCTGCCATGGCTCCCAATGCTTGGCTGCAACTCTGAGGCCAATTTCAGTGAGAGTAAGGAGCTTATCCAATGGAAGTGTCACTAGGAGTGACAATGGCTGGCTTGAAGATTAGGGAAATAGTGTCTACATTTCAAAAGAGAAGACTGCTCCACAAGGAATGTACAGTTTTGATATGTGCAGGGCTCAGGTCTTCAGGGGATAAATAAGTTCCTAAATGCGCCATCAACAGGAATTTCCTTCAGGATAAATAGGAAAAGAACATTTAGGCTTTTTAATTAAAATTTTATTTTACATGTTTTTAAAATTCACAATAGATATTTTATCCTAAAATAAAGTAAAACCGAGAGGTGACAGCGTGCTGGCAGTCCTCACAGCCCTCGCTTGCTCTCCCCGCCTCCTCTGCCTGGGCTCCTACTTTGGCGGCACTTGAGGAGCCCTTCAGCCCACCGCTGCACTGTGGGAGCCCCTTTCTGGGCTGGCCAAGGCCGGAGCCCTCTCCTTCAGCTTGCGGGGAGGTGTGGAGGGAGAGGCGCGAGCGGGAACCGGGGCTGTGTGCCGCGCTTGCCGGCCAGCTGGAGTTCCGGGTGGGCGTGGGCTTGGCGGGCCCCGCACTCGGAGCAGCCGGCCAGCCCTGCTGGCCCCTGGCAATGAGGGACTTAGCACCCGGGCCAGCAGCTGCGGAGGGTGTACTGGGTCCCCCAGCAGTGCCAGCCCACCAGCGCTGCGCTCGATTTCTCACCGAGCCTTAGCTGCCTTCCCGCGGGGCAGGGCTGGGGACCTGCAGCCCGCCATGCCTAAGCCTCCCACCCACTCCAAGGGCTCCTGTGCGGCCCGAGCCTCCTCGACGAGCACCACCCCCTGCTCCACGGCGCCCAGTCCCATCGACCACCCAAGGGCTGAGGAATGCAAGCGCACCGTGCGGGACTGGTAGGCAGCTCCACCTGCAGCCCCGGTGCGGGATCCACTAAGTGAAGCCAGCTGGGCTCCTGAGTCTGGTGGGGACGTGGAGAGTCTTTATGTCTAGCTCAGGGATTGTAAACACACCAATCAGCACCTTGTGCCTAGCTCAGGGTTTGTGAGTGCACCAATCCACACTCTATCTAGCTGCTCTGGTGGGGCCTTGGAGAACCTTTATGTCTAGCTCAGGGATTGTAAATACACCAATCGGCACTCTGTATCTAGCTCAAGGTTTGTAAACACACCAATCAGCACCCTGTGTTTAGCTCAAGGTTTGTGAATGCACCAATCTACACTCTGTATCTAGCTGCTCTGGTGGGGCCTTGGAGAACCTTTGTGTCCATACTGTGTATCTAACTAATCTGATGGGGACTTGGAGAACCTTTGTGTCTAGCTCAGGGATTGCAAACGCACCAATCAGCACCCTGTCAAAACAGACCACTCGGCTCTACCAATCAGCAGGATGTGGGTGGGGCCAGATAAGAGAATAAAAGCAGGCTGCCCGAGCCAGCAGTGGCAACCCAGTCGGGTTCTCTTCCACACTGCTAAAGCTTTGTTCTTTTGCTCTGCAATAAATCTTGCTACTGCTCACTCTTTGGGTCCATAGTGCTTTTATGAGCTGTAACACTCACTGTGAAGGTCTACAGCTTCACTCCTGAAGCCAGCAAGACCAAAAGCCCACCGGGAGAAACAAACAACTCCAGACGTGCCGCCTTAAGAGCTATAACACTGACCGCAAAGCTCTGTAGCTTCACTCCTGAGCCAGCGAGACCACGAACCCACCAGAAGGAAAAAACTCCGGACACGTCCGAACATCAGAAGGAACAAACTCCAGACGCGCCACCTTAAGAGCTGTAACACTCACCGCGAGGGTCCACAGTTTCATTCTTGAAGTCAGTGAGATCAAGAACCCACCAATTCCGGACACAAAACTTGCTTAATTACAGAAAATATGAAAAGTATATAAAAGCAGGGTCTCACTCTGTCGTCCAGGCTGGAGTGCAGTGGTGTGATCACGGCTCACTGCGACCTCAAACTCCTGGTCTCACACGATCCTCCTGCCTCGCCTCCGAAAACTCTAGTTTTACAGATATGAACCATAGCGCTAGCTCTTACTGTCTTTCTTCAACACGTCCTCCCATCCTTCCCTCCTTTCTCCACTCTGCATTTGACCCCGGTGTATTCCAGCCTCCAGGCCAACACACGTGACCACGTCTGCCTGGGGCAGTTGAAGTAAAGGACGCGAGGCGGCGCTGTCACCGCATTCTGTGAACCGCAGCGCTCTGGGTCCCTCCCGCTGGTCTAGTATCATTTCAGTGAACGTCACTCTACATTTTTTGTGTGTGTGTGAGATGGAGTCTCTGTCGCCCAGGCTGGAGTGCAGTGGCGCGATCTCGGCTCCCTGCAAGCTCCGCCTCCCGCGTTCAAGCCATTTTTCTGCCTCAGCCTCCGAGTAGCTGGGACTACAGGCGCCTACGACCACACCCGGCTAATTTTTGTATTTCTAGTAGAGAAGGGGCTTCACCATGTTGGCCAAGCTGGTCTCGAACTCCTGACCTCAAGTGATCCGCCCGCCATGGTCTCCCAAAGTGCCGGGATTACAGACGTGAGCCACCGCGCTCGGCTGTCACTGCAGACTTTGATGGGGGCCACACTCGGGGTATAAATTAGGATCCTCACTGAAAGGGCGGGACCATGGAGGCTTTTTCTTGGCCCCTTAGTTGTGGGTTTTCCTCTGGGCGGCGAAGCCAGTTTCCATCAGAACTGCCCAGAGGCGGGCGCTGCCTTCCTGGGGTGACGCAGCAGCAGGAAGAGTTTCCGGATCCTGGAATCCGTGGGCGGCCCGTGGGAGGGGCTGAGGCTCATTTCTCTACTCACCTGTCTCCGAATCCGTCGTGGTGTTTCAAGCGAGTCAAGATTCCAGATCGCGCCCCAGGCTGGACTCGGAATTACTGCCCCGCGGGTCTGCATTTTCACAGCGGCAGGTGTGAGTTCCCCGCCGCTGGAGACCAGAAGCCTGAAGGCAGCTCCGCCCACCCCAGCCCACAGCGCCGTTATTCCGTTTCTATATCAGTAAACACTTGTCATTTTCCGTAGACCAGGGCGGGGTGACGGGTGATCCCAGTCCTCGCAGTGAACTCTGGGGCGCAGAATTCAAAACGCTTGCGGTCGCCGAGCGCAGCCCCGCCCTGGGTTATGTAAGTGACAGCGCTGGGCCGTTTCTCTTTTTTTTCCGGACCCCGCAGTGGCGCCTAAAGTCTGCAAGGAGGAGGTCGCCTCTGTGCTGTGGGTCCAGGAATCTAAGGCGAGTGCTGAGGGAGAAAATGTAGTTGATGGGGCAGAGCAGAAGGGGCTGTAGGTGGGTTGGAGGGGGAGGGGAACGGGCAGCCAGGCCTGGACCCTGGGGAGTGACTCACCCGGAGCCGAAGACCATCTCAGCTTTCCCTAGCCCAGAAAGGGTGGGACTGGCTTTATTTCTGCCTGCCATCACCTCAAAATGCCGTGGGACAAATCTTACATATTATTATTGTTATTTATTTATGTATTTTATTTTTTTTGAGACAGTCTTGGTCTGTCACCCAGACTGGAGTGCAGTGGCGCCATCTGGGCTCACTGCAACCCCCACCCCCCCGGGTTCAAGCAATTCTTCCTGCCTCAGCCTCCCAAGTAGCTGCGATTACAGGCACCCCCCACCACGCCCGGCTGATTTTTATATTTTTAGTAGAGACGGGGTTTTGCCATGTTGTCCAGGCTAGTCTCGAACTCCTGACCTTAGGTGATCCACCCGCCTCGGCCTCCCAAAGTGCTGGGATTACAGGTGTAAGCCACCGCGCCTGGCCGGGAAATATCTCTTACAGAAATAAAGGCAGTTGGCTGGGTGTGGTGGCTCACCTGTAATCCTAGCACTTTGGGAGGGTGAGGCAGGCAGATGGTTTGAGCCTAGGAGTTTAAGACCAGCCTGGGCAAAATGGTGAAACCCCTTCTCCACCAGAAATACAAAAAATTAGCCGGGTGAGGTGGCTCATGCCTGTAGTCCCAGCTACTCCGGAAGCTGAGGTGGGAGGATCACCTGAGCCTGGGGAGGTCGCGGCTGCAGTGAGCCATGATTAACCCACAACTGCACTCCGCCTGGGTGACAGAGTGAGGCCCTGTGTCAAAAAATAAGAAAGAAAGAAGAGAGAGAGAGAGGAAGGGAGGGAGGGAGGGAGTTGAGGTTCAGAATATGTAACAGTGTTTATTGCTATACTCCATTCAATGGACTATGGACTATTATGCAGTGATTTAAAAGTAGGAGTTTGGGCTCACACCTGTAATCTCAGCATTTGGGAGGCTGAGGTGGGCGGATCACTTGAGGTCAGGAGTTCGAAACCAGCCTGGTCAACATGGTGAAACCTCGTTTCTACTAAAAATACAAAAATTACCCTGGCATGGTGGCACACGCCTGTAATCTCAGTTACTTGGGAGGCTGAGGCAGGAGAATCACTTGAACTTGGGAGATGGAGGTTGCAGTGAGCTG
The DNA here is from genome assembly GCF_000001405.40 of Homo sapiens. NCBI lineage: Eukaryota > Metazoa > Chordata > Mammalia > Primates > Hominidae > Homo > Homo sapiens. Next base: position 31,199,413 of record NC_000006.12, read on the forward strand.
AGATTGCATCACTGCACTCCAGCCTGGGGGACAAGAGCAAAACTCCGTCTCAAAAAAAAAAAAGATATTTCCCACCTTGGATTGCTGGGTCGGGGGGTGGTGGGTATTTTCATTCATAATTGTCAGATTACTTTCATAAACAATGGAAACAGTTTCAGGCTCCTCAGCTTCTCACCTCCAAAATGGGCCTTTTCCTGTATCATTAACAGTCCTCAATGTTCTGGCTAATCAACTGAGCGACTGTTTATAGATTTGCAGGCCATTTGGATTTACAATTAATCTTATTAATGAGGCTGAAATGTGAAGTTTATCTCAGCCTCAAAGAAGTAATTCAGCAAGGATCAGTGGTTTCACTTAACAGTCTGGCTCTGAGGCTGGCTGTGGCCCTGTTATCCATGGTGAGCACCATGGGAATGCAGGCAAGGGCTGTGAGAGGCTTGGAACAAGGCTCCACCCAGGAGAGATCTGGGTGGGCGTTGGTGACCAGTAGAACCTAGGTGTCCTGGGCCAGTGCCCTTGGAGACTAGTCTTCTTTACCCCAGGCATCTTCTTTATTCTGGAATGAGCCTGCCCATCCCTCAGGAAGACTGAAAGGAATTCGGTCAGAAGAATATTATTGACTTTTATCCAGACTTGATTTCAGTAGAGTTCTGGGACCTGCCATATCCTATGGGTGAGCTCTATCCAGGTCCCCTTCCCTGAATTACCTGTCCTCTCCCCACTGACTGGGATGACACCTAATTTTACAACCTGCTGTAGCATCTTTGCTCCCACTGTGACAGTAAACTCCTTGAGACTGGTGGCCATCTTGGGAAGTGATTAGATTCAGAAGAGGTTGAGAGGTTGGGGCCCCCATGATGGGATTAGTGTCCTTTTAAGAAAAAGAAGAGACTGGAGCTCCCACTCTCTTCACCACGTGAGGATATGGCAAGAAGGCAGCTGTCTGCCAGGCAGGAAGAGGGCCCTCACCAGGAACTGAATCTGCTGGTTCCCTAACCTCAGATTTCCAGGGTCCAGAATTGTGAGAAAGAAATGTCTGTTGTTAACCAATCCATCTGTGGTGTTTTGTTATGGCAGCACAAGCTGACTAAACAAGTGCCAAAACCAAACCAGTAACTCCCACTTTCTAGTCTCGGACCCAGTATTAAGGAATTCTGGTCACATAGTTTATTCATCCATTTAACAAATATTTAGTAAGTGCTTCTGTGCCAGGCATTTTTCTAGGCCTGGTGATCATTTAATCAAAAGAGACTAACACCTGCTCCCTGATGCTTACAATCTGAAAGACAATAAAGAAAAATATAGTAACAGTAGTGAATTATATGGATGTGTTCCAGCAATTGATTGCTGAGCAAAAAATAATCTTAACGCATACAAACGCCGGGCATGGTGGCTCACGCCTGTAATTCCAGCACTTTGGGAGGCTGAGGTGGGCAGATCACAAGGTCAAGAGTTCGAGACCAGCCTGGCCAGCATGATGAAACCCTGTTTCTACTAAAAATACAAAAATTAGCTGGGCGTGGTGGTAGGTGCCTGTAATCCCAGCTGCTTGGGAGGCTGAGGCAGGAGAATCGCTTGAAACCAGAACGTGGAGGTTGCAGTGAGCCAAGATTGTGCCACTGCACTCCAGCCTGGGTGACAGAGTGAGACTCCATCCCCCCCAAAATATATATATATGTATATATATATTATAAACAACCTTTATATTATCTCTCATTCTGTGGGCTGATTGGGCTCAGCTGGGCAGCTCTTCCGCTCCATACAACATGGGCTGGGCCACCATCATCTGGAGCCCAGCTGGTCCAACACATTCAAGAGGCTCCTGCACAGGGCTGCAGTTGGTGCTGGCTTGTTGGCTGGGAACTCACTGAGGCTGTGAACCAGGTGACTTGGTTTCTCCTCCACCTGCTCCTCCACGTGCCCTGGCTGCTTCTGGCTCTGCACCTGGGGTCCGGGTGTTTCAAGTGGCCAAGTCAGAACCACAAGGCATCTTATGCTGGAACCTCAGAAGTCAGGCAGCATCACGTTCCTCATGTTCTAGTCACCAAAGCAAGTCCCAGATCCAAAAAGGGGGATTAGCATCAGCTCTTGATAGAGGATGGCAAGGTCACATTGCTAAAGAGCATGTGGGATGGGAGATATTGTTGAGGCCATCTTTGGAAAAGGACTTTTATGTTTACAAAGTGATAGGTGATAAAAAGAAAAAATAGGCCAGGTGCGGTGGCTCACGCCTGTAACCCCAGCACTTCGGGAGACCGAGATGGGTGGATCACGAGGTCAAGAGATCGAGACCATCCTGGCCAATATGGTGAAACTCTGTCTCTACTTAAAAATACAAAAATTAGCTGCATGTGGTGGCGTGCACCTGTAGTCCCAGCTACCCTGGAGGCTGAGGCAGGAGAATCGCTTGAACCCAGGAGGTGAAGGTTGCAGTGAGCCAATATCGCACCACTGCCCTCCAGCCTGGTGACAGAGCAAGACTCCACCTCAAAAAAAAAGAAAAAAAGTAAAAAAAAAAAAATGCAAAGTTGACAATCAATGCAAAGTAATAGAGGTGGCATTTTAAGTAGGGTGGTCAGGGTGGGCCTCATGAAGGTGCCATTTGAGCAGACTTGAAGAGGAGAGAAACTGAGACACGCAGGTATGTGCAAAGGAAGAACCTTCCAGAATCACCCTCATGTACACCTATGCTCTGTACATACCCAGGGCTCTGCACTGAGGCAGACCCTAAAGCTGCAGTGGGAATGGAGGTGGACACACTTATGGAAAGACTTCTTCAAAGAATGTTGGGGACCCAGGTCTACCCTTCCTGCTGTGGCTCTTATACGACGTGGAGTTGGGGAGGGAAAGGCACTGGCATGTGGAGGAAGACTAGGAGAGGAGGGGAGGCCAAAGCGTGTCCCACCCTCACTCCACCTCTCTGCTCTCTGTCTCCTACATCGAGTGCCTCCTTCCCCAGGGCTTGTGGTCCCTGACAAGGAGGACCCTGAGGGCAACCACACCTTGCCATGCAGAGCACCTGGCTTCTCATCTGCCAAGCTCACTCTGACCCGGCTGCAGGAAGGGAAGGAGCCAACCCCGGACTCAAGACTCAAGGGGACCAGAACCAGGGAGATGAGACATACCAGGGCTGGGCAGCTGTGGGGGTCCTTCCAGAGAGGAGCTGAGATACGCCTACCTGGAGGGGCCCCTGGGCCTGGAGGGGCTCCTCAGTGTGACTGGGTGAAGTGTTTTCAGAGGACCAGGGTTGAGGTTGGGGGCATCTCATCCAGACCCTGCCGGCATCTGCCCCAGAACCCAAGGGCCCCTCCTTCCTCCCTCCTCAATGGAAATGCTGGAGATGTCCTCAGTCACCCTCTGAGCACTCACACATCACCCCTTATTTGGAAATTTTTCTCACTCTAACCTTCCTTCCTGCCGCACCTTCTGCCCCATCCCCAGGCTCTGGCCTCTCTCTCTCCTCTTCTACCCTTTAGCAGGTAATGACTCAGTTCCCACTGAGGAGCCAGCTGTAGGTGAGAGTTTGGGCTCTCGGTGAGGTTGGGAGAAGGAAAAGGCTTATGGGCCAGGGGGTGGGAGGGAGAATGGGCACAGCCAGAGCAGAGTGGAAGGGTTGGGGGAGGCGATAAAGACAGATGTTTCCGTATTACCATTTTTCTTTCATGGTCCGAGGGAGCTGCCCTTCCCCCAAGCCCAGGAAAGTGAAAAGAGAAGCAGGAACAGTAAAATACTCCACAGGAAAGAAAAATCTTAGTGATCCCTCCTGCTGTCTCTTTCCTTTTGCCTATTCTGGCAAATTTTGTAAGTGAAATTTGTTACCAAGATGTGAAAATCTTATAAGAAAGTCTCTAAATATTTGAGAATAAAATTATCAATGTCTCAGCTCTGCAGGCTGAAAAAACGGAGGCTTTACAAAATAAAATCATGCTTGGAAAACTTCTCCTCTGAGGGATGTCAAAGGCTGCACTGAATAAGCTCTAAGGTGGTGCTGAAATGAGTCATTTATTTGCCTGTGTAAGCTCAGGCAGGTGTTGGAATTGAGGAAGTATAGGTAATGAAAAAAGTAAACATGTCCTCGGGACATAGCGACTGGTGATGACCACACAATCAACACAATAAACTCTAGCATTCACATTGTAGTCCAGCTCATTCAAGCAAAGCTATCTCCAATAGGGAGTTTACCCTGTACAGAACACGTGCATTTCCACCTGTTCTCAGACTGACCCTTTGCTCATCACAATAGTGAAAAAAAACACAGCCCTGGGTGGAGATTTAAGATGCTAATGAGTCATGAGATGTATGAACAAGCATGTACAGCTACTGCACACGTGCACCCAGAAGACCGCCCAGAACATGCTTGCTAGTAACACCTCTTCCCACCCACCTCCTGTGAATAATCATGTAAGACTCCCATAAAGGGAGTTTCTCCAGCAGTGATCAATGCTGTCTCATCCTTAGGAGCAGCCCACCCTGAATCCTCTCAGGGTGTACAGTTTATTTTGCACTTAACTTTCAAAATAATATTTTTCCTTTGTAATAAATTGCTTTGTACTTCATCTCCTTTGCTGCGTGTTTCTTGTTTAAATTCTTTTAAATGAAGAAGTCAAGAACCAAGGTATTACAACAGCCGTCAACATTTCCGGTGCCATGACTCAGAGGTTTGTCTGCTTCGTTGGTTTCAGTTTCCCTTCACTACTGGTGAGTACTATGGCAGCCAGAGACCCCTGATTGACTATCACTGCTTTCCCCAGATCTATTAAGGTTTTGGGGGAGGACCTTTTAACTCACTCACATTCTTTGAGCAACTAATTGTGATTGCTTTCCATTTGGCTGCTGCTTTTACAGTGTTTACAATTACCTTATTTGGATGGAACGCCCTGATTATTCAGCCTTGGGACTTTTGCTGCTTCTGTTTCACTTTTTGTTTTGCTGTTCCTCCCAGGACTGCACCTGATCTGTACTTACTGGCTATTGTAACTTTTTTTTTTTTTTTTTTTTTGAGACAAGAGTCTCACTCTGTCACCCAGACTGGAGTGCAGTGGCTCTATCTCGGCTCACTGCAACCTCCACCTCCTGGGCTCAAGCGATTCTCCTGCCTCAGCCTCCCAAGTAGCTGGGATTACAGGCGTGCACCATCACGCCCGGCTAATTTTTGTATTTTCAATAGAGTCGGGGTCTCACCATACTGGCTCAGCTGGTCTCGAACTCCTGACCTTATGATCAGCCCACCTTGGCCTCCCAAAGTGCTGGGATTACAGACATGAGCCACCGCGCCCAGCACTTGTTTGTTAATCAAGTAATCTCTTCAAAGATTTTTGTTCACCTTGAGGGACACATTAGATCTACTTTTGCCAACAGTCCCCATTCCTCCAGGCTCTGTGTGTTCTGAGACTCCTCTGAGTCTCAGAGGAGTGTGTTCTGAACGTCTCCTCTGAGAACAGGAGACGTTCCAAGAGGCCATCCATGTTGAGTGCAGGATGTGTGGCCACATGGATGTGTAGTCATGGGGACTATAACCAGGCATTCCAAGCATGATGACTGGACATTAAAAATGGCAGATCAGTGAAATAAGGAAGGGCTTGTTGGTGAGACATCCAGGCTCCCCGGCTGGCAGCAGAGATCACTTCAGTTCAGCTTGGAGACGTCCAGCACCAGTGAGACCTAGAATGGTGCATGGCAAATGCCCATGACCTCCTAGGGCCTCAGTTTCATGGGGATTCAAGGGAACACCCTGGACTCCATCGTCCGGCTTAGCTCACAGGGATGCCGATGACCTCCTGGATTTTGGTACATGTTTCTGTGGTTGCAGGATTCTCTTGTTACCTAGAAAGCCACCTCCTCTACTGTCACTGAAACACCTCTAGGGTATATACTAAACATTGGAATATTTTGAAACTGTATAAATTAAAAGATAATAGGTGGGTGCGATGGCTTACACCTGTAATCTCAGCACTTTGCGAGGCCGAGGTGGGCAGATCACCTGAGGTTGGGATTTTGAGACCAGCCTGACCAACATGGAGAAACCCCATCTCTACTAAAAATACAAAATTAGCTGGGCATGGCGGCACATTCCTGTAATCCCAGCTACTCGGGAGGCTGAGGCAGGAGAATTGCTTGAACCAGGAGGCGGAGGTTGCAGTAAGCCGAGATTATGCCATTGCACTCCAGCCTGGGCAACAAGAGCAAAACTCCGTCTCAAAAAAAAATTTTTTTTAAATAAATATAATAAACAATTGCCAAAGAGTAAAACTATTGATACAATCCTCACCACTTTAAGGCTTAAGGTTTTCTTTTCCATCACTGAGTCTCTCCCTTTCCTCTCATTCTTCCACTTACAAATCTCCAAAACAATTCTCACGCACTGTGACTTTGCTCCCTTCAGCTGATTTATCAGTTCATCCTGATAGCCTGATAGGTGACAAGCAGAGGTGAGGACTTCAAAGTTCACACCAAGTAGATCTAGTTCACTGTGGCCCTCCTTGACAGGAAGTTTGTGAAGCTGGCAGGGCTTCCGTCCAGGCTGTGCACTGTCTGGGAATCCTCATTTGCAATGTCTGGAGATCTTCATTTTTCTTACTACTAACAATCATCTTGTTATGTTTGCACTTCTTTGCATTTCACCCCTTTTGAATTCTGTCCTTCCATGAAAATTTATTGTCCTTTTTGATCCATCTGTATTCACAGACTTTCATTTGCTTTCTTTTTCTCTCTAACCCGTAAGACTGATAAAAATTGTCCTAAAGTTTCTTTCTTTCTGCTTTGTGTGTCAGGGCTCCTCTGCCTTTGGTGAGAGCAGAGTTTTATCTTTACCGGAAGAAAACTTTTTTTTTTTTTTTTTTTTGAGATGAAATCTCACTCTGTCACCCAGGCTGGAGTGCAGTGGCCCGATCTCAGCTCACTGCAACCTCCACCTCCCTGGTTCGAGCAATTCCCCTGCCTCAGCCTCCCGAGTAGCTGGGACTACAGGTGTGTGCCACCACGCCTGGCTAATTTTTTTGTATTTTTAGTAGAGATGGGGTTTCACCATATTGGCCAGACTGCTCTGGAACTCCTGACCTCAGGCAATCTGCCTGCCTCAGCCTCCCAAAATGCTGTGATTACAGGTGTGAGCCACAGTGCCCAGCCCTGGAAGAAAACTAATTGCTGGGTGAAATATATTTTCTACCAAATTCCCCTTACGAGACCTAGAAAGCCTAATGAACATAGCTACTTACATGTCCTAAGCTGTTATTTTAAGGCCAAAATTAAAACATTAAGGGCACATATAAGGTTGGCCATTACTAACCTGAAAAAAAAGATAAATAAATTTCCATGATTAGGTCTTTTCAACATTGCATAGTCCCAAACAATACTGTTTTACAATTAGAGTTTTTGTTGTTGTTGCTGTTTTTAAATAAAAAGAAAGGAAGTTTGGGTGCAGTGGCTCATGCCTGTAATCCCAGCACTTTGGGAGGCCAAGGCGGGCAGATCACGAGGTCAGGAATTTGAGACCAGCCTGGCCAATATGGTGAAACCCCGTCTCTACTAAAAATACAAAAATTAGCTGGGCATGGTGGCACGTGCCTGTAGTCCCAGCTACTCGGGAGGCTGAGGCAGGAGAATCACTGGAACCTGGGAGGCAGAGGTTGCAGTGAGACAAGATTCAGCCACTGCACTCTAGCCTGGGTGACAGAGAGAGACGCCATCTCAAAAAAAAAAAAAAAAAAAAAAAAAAAAAAGAGGATGATCAGGGATTTTCCAAGGGCCCAGGGGAACCTGACATTATTCCCCCTACTAACCAGACAGCTCTATACTAAGACCAGTCCCTTAGAGACTGATACCAAATCTATTATGCTCATGTTATTCAAAAGAATTTGGGAGGCCGGGCGCAGTGGCTCACGCCTGTAATCCCAGCACTTTGGGAGGCCGAGGCAGGTGGATCATGAGGTCAGGAGTTCGAGACCAGCCTGACCAACATGGTGAAACCCCATCTCTACTAAAAATACAAACATTAGCCAGGCGTGGTGGCTTGCACCTATAATCCCAGCTACTCAGGAGGCTGAGGCAAGATAATCACTTGAACGTGGGAGGCGGAGGTTGCAGTGAGCCGAGATCGCACCACTGCACTCCATCCTGGGTGACAGAGCGAGACTCTGTCTCAAAAAAGAATTTGGGGAAATCTAACATAATTAATGACTCTATAATAAGAAATATACCAGCTGGGTGCAACAGTGGCCCTTTGGGAGGCCAAGGTGGGTGGATCACTTGAGGTTAGGAGTTCGAGACCAGCCTGGCCAACATGGTGAAACCCTGTCTCTACTAAAAATAAAAAAATTAGTCGGGTGTGGTGGCGCAGGCCTGTAATCCCAGCTACTTAGGAGGCTGAGGCAGGAGAATCACTTGAGTCCAGGAGGCGGAGGTTGCAGCGAGCTGAGATCATACCAATGCACTCCTGCCTGGGTGATGAGTGAGACTCTGTCTCAAAAAAAAAAAAAAAAAAAAGAAAGAAAAATACCTCCTACCAACAACTTTCCTCCCTTACAATCTAGTCCAGGGTTACTCTTCAAACCTCTTAAGCTTCTACTCCTGTAGTCCTTCCTCACTTGACACACAGTCTTCTGCACCCCGTCCTTATCAGCTTGTTCACCAAACACTCCCTAAAGAGCCCAGTCCTGCTGGGACAACTCATAGCAGAGTATCCTATTGCCCCCCTAAAACAAAAAGCAACCTACTCTCACTCTCTATCTGTATCTCCCTCTCTCAGGTAACACACAGAAAAACAACCAAATCCTCTTAGAGACCTACTTCATGAGTCAGTCTGTCCCAGATATCAGGAAAAAGTCACAAAACTAGTCATAAATCCCCAAGTCCCAATAAATGAACTGCTAAACCTAACTTTTGGTGTCTTTAATTACCAAGACAGAGTGGAAAAGGCACATAGAGATCAAAGGGAAGAAAAGAGAGACAAAAGATAGTCCCAATTTTTGGCCTTCACTCACTATGCGAAAACTCCCACCTCCAGGTCATCCTGAGTGGAACCCAAGGGCTATTCCTGCATTTATAAAAAGCCTGGACACCGGAGCTAAGTAAGTAACAAAGGCCTTCAGGCTTGCAAACCCTCTGGAGCCTGTCATCAATGTGACAAAGAAGGGCAATGGAAGAAGGACTGTCTCCAACTCTGAAGGGAGGAGGGACTCCTAATTCCTTATTGTCCCTGGCTAAAGACTAAAGAGACCAAAGGCAAAAAACAGCTCCTATGTGGCAATCAGCCCCAGTCACAGCAATGGAGCCTCGGATGACCCTGGACATGACAGGCAAAAATATCAATATCCTTTTAAAGACAGAGGCTGGCCTGTCAGTTCTCACTGTCTGCCCTGGGCCTCTGTCTACCAAACACGACACTGTCATTGGTGTTAATAGCAAACTCCAGACTAGGATTTTCACTCTACCATGCAGCTGACCAACTTCTGCTGCAGTAAAACTTAGGGGTGTAGGCCTTTGGTGTGTTTATCAAAAATAAAAAATGATTCCTTTTAAGTCATCACAGAAACTTGAAACAAAGACTCCAAGCTATTCCTATGAAGCACTGGAGGATCTAAGGCTCCTGTCCAAAAACAGCCAAGACCCAAAACATCAGGCAATTAATGTTGCCTCAGCATAAGCTTCTATTCAAGAAAACAACTCACAGTGAAATGTGATGTTTTTATTTTTTTCTTATTTATTTACTGTATTTTAGGCGCTTTTAGTAAAACGACCTTATCTGCTAAAGAAATAATAAACCATACTACTAATTTATAAAAATTAACTCAGTCTTGCTGGCTTTGCATGACTACCAAAATTTAAAAATGTGCAAAACCTGTTTCTCGGGAAGAATGGGCCAACATTCCTATACACCTCCTGGAACAAACTTTGGACCATAATGTGGGAATATCTGACTAAACAAACAATACAAAGAGAGTTCCTTGGACCTGGCCACTGCCAGTTCAAACTTCCATTTTTATCTATGAATAATAGCTTCACTCTGCCAAGGGGAAAATTGCTTTCTTACCTTGCTTTTTACCCAGAGCAATTCCCCTTCTGCCTTTACAGCAACCATGCCAGTTTCACTCCTTTTATAGAAAAACTCCACAAGAGAGTCAGTATATCTAAACCTTTCTCACAGAATCATTTATACACCTCATGATAGAACCCTAAAGGGGGAACTTTATTTCAAAAAGCTTATTAACACCACTCAACTCTACCATCCTCTAATTAGTCCAGTGACCACCAAATTTCCATTACTTTTACCACCTCGATGCAAAATGCTTTTGCAGCACAAATTTCACCATCACATAGAATTTGCTTGTGTTGGCCGGGCGCAGTGGCTCACGCCTGTAATCCCAGCACTTTGGGAGGCTGAGGCGGGTGGATCACGAGGTCAGGAAATTGAGACAATCCTGGCCAACATGGTGAAACCCTGTCTCTACTAAAAATACAAAAATTAGCTAGATATGGTGGCATGTGCCTGTAATCCCAGCTACTCAGGAGGCTGAGGCAGGAGAATCGCTTGAACCAGGGAGTCGGAGGTTGCAATGAGCTGAGATCGCACTACTGTACTCCAGCCTGGCGACAGAGTGAGACTGTCTCAAAAAAAAAAAAAAAAAAAGAATTTGTTGGTATTTGTGGATCTTCAGCACGTCTACAACTCCCTCCACAATGGAAGGGACGATGTCCCATAGTTTACATTTCCCCTTATCTACCTTTTGCGTTGGCTAACAAATCTCTCCCTTTCCCCATGTACCAACATCACAAGATCCACCGCTGAGCAGGATTCCTTGTTCCCTTGGGATTAATGCTATCCTCTCTATCGGGACTAGCAGAGCCAGCCACAGAGACAGAGCCTTGGGAACCCAGCATAAACTGTCTCAGGAGACCACAGTGGCCCTCTGACAAACAGCAGAGAGCCTCACTAGACTTCAGCAACAGCTGGACTTCCTGGCAGTCCTACAAAACCGAAGAGCCTTAGACCTTCTCACAGTTGGACAACGAGGAACATGTTTGTATCTAGAAGAAGAATGTTGTTTTCGCATCAATCAAATTACAAATATATATTAATAGCATTTTCTTGGAATAAGAAAATCATTACCCAGGCAGACAAAATTGAATATTTAGGAGCTTCCGTGGGAACTTGGAAGCAATGGCTGTTTTCTGCCTTGCTCCCTTTAACAATGCCAGTCATTACCATATGTTTAGCTCTAACTTTTGGTCCAACTTTGTTTAAAATGCTGATTTCCCAGCCTGGCCAACATGTCGAAACACTGTCTCTACTAAAAATACAAAAAATTAGCCAGGTGTGGTGGCAGGCGTCTGTAATCTCAGCTACTTGGGAGGCTGAAGCAAGAGAATTACTTGAACCTGGGAGGCAGAGGTTGCAGTGAGCTGAGAGCTGAGATCACTCCATTGCACTCCAGCCTGGGCATCAGAGCCAGACTGTCTCAAAAAAAAAAAAAAATTGCTGATTTCTTGCTTTGTCACCTACAGCAAATCCCGGTTCATGTGATGGTTTTGCAAGGCTTCCAACCTTTGGCTGCTAATTAGCTATCTCACATCTTGCCCACCAGTCCCCTGAAAGACATGGCTTACACACTGTTAGACTAGGCAGGAAAAGACTTCAGGGCCCAGGTTAGGCAAGGACAATGCCGCACTCAGCAGGAAGCAGCTCTGGAAGAAATGACCTAGCCTCTCATCCTCCCGTATGATTATGGGTCCTAAGATCTTTTAGGGAGGAATTGAGGCAGGATAGGGAGTCAAGGAAGTAACTGTGTCCTTGGGATGCAGCAACAGTGATAACCATACAGACAACACAATAAGCTCCAGCATTCACATTGTAGACCAGCTCATTCAAGCAAAGCTATCTCCAGTAGGGAATTTACCCTGTAGAGAGCATGCGCATTTTGATTTTACCTACCGTCAAACTGACCCTTAGCTCATTACAATAGTAAGAAACACACACCTGGGTGGAGATTTAAGATGCTTATGAGACATGAGATGCATGAACAAGCATGTATAGCTACTGCACATGTGCATCCAGAGGACCACCCACCCAGAGGACCACCCAGAACATGCTGACTAGTAACACCTCTTCCCACCTCCTTATGAATAATCATGTAAGACCCCCATAAAGGGAGTTTCTGCAGCAATAATCAATGCTGTCTCATCCTTAGGAGCAGCCCACCCTGAATCCTCTCTCTCAGGGCATACTATCTATTCTGCACTTAACTTTCAAAATATCATTTTTCCTTTGCAATAAATTGCTCTGTACTGCATCTCCTTTGCTGTGTGTCCCTTGTTTACATTCTTTTAAATGAAGAAGACAAAGACAGAGGTATCACAGATGTCATCAACAGAACCTCTATGTCCTCCTTAGGAAAGTGAAATGAGCACCCAATGCCCAGATTTTGGTTATAATACATCAATCTCCAATAGAAGGAACCAGGGCTCCTTAGAAAAATAGCTGATTCTAGGGGTGAAGTAGGAAAAATACAAGATAAGCCTGGAACATCTTGAAATGCTACAAAAGAACTGGGCATGGTGGCTCACGCCTGTAATCCCAGCACTTTGGGAGGCTGAGGCAGGCGAATCACAAGGTCAGGAATTCGAGACCAGCCTGGTCAACATGGTGAAACCCCATCTCTACTAAAAATACAAAAAATTAGCCAGGCGTAGTGGTGGGCACCTGTAATCTCAGCTACTCGGGAGGCTGAGGCAGGAGAATAGCTTGAACGTGGGATGCAAGACCAGGAAGACTCAATATTGTTAATATGTCATTTCTTCCCAACCTGATCTATAGAATCAATGCAATCCCAGTCAAAACCCCAGGACGTTATTTTGTGTATACTCACAAGCTGATTTAAAAATTTATATGGAGAGGCCGGGCACAGTGGCTCATGCCTGTAATCCCAGCACTTTGGGAGGCCGAGGTGGGCAGATGACCTGAGGTCAGGAGTTCAAGACCAGCCTCGCCAACATGGTGAAACCCCGTCTCTACTAAAAATACAAAAATTAGCTGGGTGTGGTGGCGGGTGCCTGTAATCCCAGCTACTTGGGAGGCTGAGGCAGGAGAATCGCTTGAACCCAGGAGGTGGAGGTTGCAGTGAGCTGAGATTGCACTCCAGCCTGGGCAACAGGAGCGAAACTCTGTCTCAAAAAAACAAAAAACAAACAAACAAAAAAGGTTTATATGGAGAGGCAAAAGGCCTAGCCAGCACAATATAGAAGGAAAACAAAGTCAAAGTACTGCCACACCTGACTTCAAGACTTTCTATAAAACTGCAGTAATCCAGACAGATAATTGGTATAGTCATTGCTGGAAGGAGTATGAAGGTTCCTCAAAAAATTAAAATATAGAACTACCATATGATCCAGCAATCCTACCACTGAATATATATTCAAAGGATATAAAATCTGTGTGTCAAAGAGATGTCTGCACTTCCATGTTCATTGCAGCATTATTCTTTCTTCTTTCTTTAGAGTTAGGGTGTCACTGCATTGCCCAGCTTGGTCTCAGAATCCTGGCCTTAAGTGGTCATCTTGCCTCAGCCTCCTGAGTAGCTGGATTCCATGTGCGAGCCACCACACCTGGCTGCAGTGTTATTCTCAAGAGCCAAGATATGGAATCAACCTAAGTATCCATTAATGGATGAATGTATAAAGAAAATGTGGTATATATACACAGTGGGATACTATTCAGTCAACAACATGAATGAACCTAGAAGACATTATGTTAAGTGAAATAAGCCAGGCGCAAAAAGACAAACATGATCTCACATATATGTGGAATGTAAAAAAAGCCAAACTCATATACATGGTGAGTAAACCGGTAGTTGTCAGAGGCTGGGAGGTGGGAGGATTGGGGAGGGGTAAGCAAATGACACAAAATTTCTTTTCTTTCTTTCTTTTTTTTTTTTTAAAGACAGAGTCTCGGCTGGGCGCAGTGGCTCAAGCCTGTAATCCTAGCACTTTGGGAGGCCGAGGCAGGCAAATTGCCTGAGCTCAGGAGTTAGAGACTAGCCTGGGCAACATGGTGAAACCCTGTCTCTACTAAAATACAAAAGAAATTAGCCGGGTGTCGTGGCATGCGCCTGTAGTCCCAGCTACTCGGGAGGCTGAGACAGGAGAATTGCTTGAACCCGGGAGGTGGAAGTTGCAGTGAGCTGAGATTGCACCACTGAACCACTGAACTCCAGCCTGGGCAACAGAGAGAGACTCTACCAAAAAAAAAAAAAAAAAAAAAAAAAAAAGACAAGAGTCTCTCTCTGTCACCCAGTCTGGAGTGCAGTGGCATGATCTTGGCTCATTGCAGTCTCTGAATCACTCGGGTTCAAGTGATTCTTGTGCCTCAACCTCCCAAGTAGCTGGGACTATATGCATGTGACACCACATCCAGCTAATTTTTGTATTTTTAGTTTCACCATGTTGACCAGTCTGGTCTCGAACTCCTGACCTCAAGTGATCCACCCGCCTCGGCCTCCCAAAGTGCTGGGATTACAGGCATGAGCCATCATGCCCGACCAACACAAAATTTCAATTAGATAGGAAGAATAAGTTTAAGAGATCTATTGTACTTTATGGTGATTAAACTTAGTAACCACATATTGTATATTTCAAAATTATAAGATAAATTATTTGAAGCATTATTACCACAAAAAGTATGTGAGGTAATGTATATGTTAATGGCTTGCTTTAGCCATTTTACAATGTATACGTATATGAAAACATGATGCTATACACCCAAATATAACTTTTATTTGTCAACCAAAATAATTTAATTTAAAAAAGACAGTGTTGTATTGGCAAAAGAATAGACAAATAGATCAATGAAACAGAATAGAGAACCAAGAAATAGACCCACGTAAATACAGATAAAGGAGCAAAGACAATACAGTGGAGAAAAGACTGTCTTTTCAATAAATGGCACTGGAAAAACTGGACATCCACATGCAAGAAAAGTGAAATGAAAAGAGCTCTCTTGAAAGGTTGTTGTGAAGGTCATCTGTGACAGGAACAAAAAGTGCCCAGCAGGGTCTCTGACAGCAAGCTCCTACATTAATCTAATGGCTGGACTTCAATAGCCTTAGCCCCGTCTCCATAAAACTTTGCTATGAAGGCTACAATGATTCCTGTCAGTCATGCAGTCCTACTAACCTGCTGGGTAGGATACAATATCGAAGGGGCCAGTATACTGCCCTCAGGGGGCTCTGTGGCCTCTTGACCTTGTGGATGATGCTGACCATAATGTTCTGCTTGTCCCTGGCTGAAGACAGGCCCCTCCTGCAGAGGCCAGGCATGAATGCACATCTGAGTAAGACTCTATTATGACTCAAGAATAACAAACATAAATAAATAAACATGATAACATAACAAACTAGGTTTCATTTTCTGCTGCTGTAACAGAATACCACAGACTGGGCAATTTATTAAAATATGTATTTCTTACAGTTCTGGAGGCTGGGAAGTCCAAGAGCATGGTATCAGCATCTTGTGGGGGCCTTCCTGTAGTGTCATCCCATGGTGAAAGAGGTAGGGCAAAGGGGCCAAACATACTTTTTATCAGGAGCCCACTCCCACAATAATGACATTAATCTATTCAACCTAATCAACTCTTAAAGGTCTCCCCTCTTAATACTATCAGAATAGCAATTAAATGTCAACATGAGTTTTGGGGGGTCATTCAAACTGTCAGAGGCATGTGAACCAGAGCAACTCCATCTTGAATAGGGGCTGAGTAAAATAAGGCTGAACCCTACTGGGCCACATTCCCAGACGGTTAAGGCATTCTAAGTCATAGGATGAGACAGAAGGTCAGCACAAGATACAGGTCCTAAAGACCTTGCTGATAAAATGGGTTGCAGTAAAGAAGCTAGCCAAAACCCACCAAAACCAAGATGGTGATGAGAGTGACCTCTGGTCGTCCTCACTGCTACACTCCCACCAGCACCATGACAGTTTACAAATGCTGTGGCAACGACAGGAAGTTACTCTATATGGTCTAAAAAGGGAAGGCATAAATAACCCACCCCTTGTTTAGCATATCATCAAGAAATAACCATAAAGATGGGCAACCAGCAGCCCTCAGGGGTGCTCTGTTGATGGAGTAGCCATTCTTTTGTTCTTTTACTTTTCTAATAAACTTGGTTTACTTTACTCTATGGACTTGCCCTGAATTCTTCCTTGTGCAAGATCCAAGAGCCCTCTCTTGGGGTCTGAATCAAGACTCCTTTCCTGTAACAAAACCTTAGCATTAGGTAATCTGTGGTTTACTTTTTTTTTTTTTTTTTTTTTGAGACAGAGTTTCTACTCTTGTTGCCCAGGCTAGAGTGCAATGGCACGATCTTGGCTCAACGCAACCTCCACCTCCAGGGTTCAAGCGATTCTCCAGCCTCAGCTTACCGAGTAGCTGGGATTACAGGCATGTGCCACCATGCCTGGCTAATTTTGTATTTTTGGTAGAGATGGGGTTTCTCCATGTTGGTCAGGCTGGTCCCAACCTCAGGTGATCCTCCTGCCTTGGCTTCCCAAAGTGCTGGGATTACAGGAGTCAGCCACCGAGCCTGGCCTGGTTTATGTATATTTATCTTTATTCCTACATTTCCATGATTATGAGATTCACAGTTCATCCAATAGACTTGAACTGACCCAATGCCCAGCACTTTCTTAAGTTCTTACAGATGAACAAAGCTAATATTCACAGATTCTATTTATTTATGGCTTAGGACTACCTACTGTAAATTACTGGGGGCCAGTCCATTTTGGAGTTCATAACCTAAAGCAGAAACTCAGGTGGCTAATATGTTACTTTCATGAAGGATTGTTATGAGTGTATCATTTCAATTGTCTTGCAGAAGCCTCATTTGTTCTGTTAGATACAGTAAGTTCCTCTTCAAAGGTTCAGCTTCTTCAACTTCCTTGTTCTTTGTTTTCTATTTCTAAAACCCAACTTCCTTGTACTCTCTTGTTCCTAGTTACCCGCTCTGTAAACACCAACTCCCACCAGTTCCAATCTGTAACTTGCAGAGGGCTCTTCCTGCCTTTGCCATGCCCTGACATGTTTTGCACAGTAAAGGATGGCCTCTCTCTTCTCGCTGAAACAGCCCTTCCCGCCCTACTTACTCACACTCCTGCTCCATTTGAAATAGCCAATTGGGATCAGCTTAGATTGTGCAGTCTGACTTCAGCAAATGGGGACAGGACACAGTAGCAGGGGCTGATTGCGTTAGGGATAAAACCCGCTTCTGTCCATTGTTCGGTGTGCTCTCACAGCAGCCAGAAGTGCAAGCAGCACCCTTCTGCAGAAGTAAACTTGCCTTGCTGAGAAATCCTTTTGTTTGAGTGCTTGTCTTCTTTGCGACTCCAAGCTCTTGTTTTTTTTTTTCTAAATAGCTGCTATCTTTTTGTTTTTGTTTTTGTTTTTGTTTTTTTTGAGATGGGGTCTCACCTTGTTGCCCAGGCTGGAGTGCAATGGTGTGATCTCAGCTCATTGCAACCTTGGCCTCCTGGGTTCAAGTGATTCTCCTGCCTCAGTCTCCCGAGTAGCTGGGATTACAGGTGTGTGCCACCATGCCTGGCTAATTTTTTGTATCTTTAGTACAGATGGGGTTTCTCCATGTTGGCCAGGCTGGTCTTGAACTCCTGACCTCATGATCTGCCTGCCTTGGCCTCCCAAAGTGCTGTGATTACAGGCATGAGCCAATGTGCCCAGCCTCTTTTTTTTTTTTTTTTTTGAGACGGAGTTTCACTCTGTTGTCCAGGCTGGAGTGCAGTGGTGTGATCTTGGCTCACTGCAACCTCTGCCTCCTGCCTCAGCCTCCCGAGTAGCTGGGATGACAGGTGCCTGCCACCATGCCTGGCCAATTTTTGTATTTTTAGTAAAGACAGGGTTTTGCCATGTTGGCAAGGCTGGTCTCCTGACCTCAGGTGATTCACCCACCTCGGCCTCCCAAAGTGCTAGGATTACAGGCATGAGCCACTGCACCTGGCCCCTTGTTTTTAATTTACAAATGTAATTAATTTAGCTTTGTAAACCAAAAAGTGACTGAGGCAGATCTCAATCAATTCGGTGTTCATTTTGCCAAGGTTGAAAATATGCTGGGGGAAAAGAAACATAAGCCACAATAGGACCTGTGACCTGTGCTTTTTCCAAGGAGGATTTTGGGACCTTCAATATTTAAAGGAGAAAGGGCAAGCAGGAGAGGAAAGAAAAAAAAAGGAAGGACAGGTAGGCAATGATGCGAGTGGTTACATACTTGTGAGGCTGTGATTAGTCCTTAGTGAATCTACATTTTACATGTGAAAAGAAGGGAGGGAGGAAGAAGTCAGTTATGCATTCACATCATGTTCAGTAAATCTATATTTTACATAAGCTAAAGTAAGCATGTAAAATTACAGTTATATGTTTGGGAACAAAAGGAAGGCAAATTTTGCATGACTCAGTTTCCAAGCTTAATTTCTTGCATAGCAGTTTGGGGTCCTGAGATTCTATTTTCTTTTCACATTTCTCCCTTGTTATTCAAAATCTTTCAGAGAAAGCATGGTAGAAGAAAATGGGTGTCTGCTCATGGGTTTAGTCTAACCTCTTCTGCTAGAATGATTTATTCCTGGAAGATTAGATCCCATGTTGCTAGGAAGGCTTATTCTTAGGGGCTTGTAAAGTCTCTTGTCCCATGGAGAAAAATAGAGGGAGGAAGAGAGAAAGAAAAAAGGGAAAGAGAGAAAGAAAAAAGGGAAAAAGAGAAACAAAAGGGAGGGACCAAGACCAGATTATAGAAACAAATGGAATGCAATCCTGGAAAAGTAATTTAGGATATGCTACCGAGAAGTCCATACTTCAGTAGGCAGGCACAAAGGTGGGGTGTGTGAGGCTCTGATTAGTGCTCAGTGAATCTACATTTTATAGGTGAAAAGAAGGGAGTAGAGAAAAAATCTATTATGCATTTGTCTTGCACTTAGTAAGTCTACATTGTACATAAGAAAAAGTAAGCTTGTGAAAATACAGTTATCTGCAAATGCTACTATTTCTGCTATTACGCTACAAAGTTTAAATTTTCTAGCTTCAGTTTGCAGGGCTGTAAGAAAAGCACAGTTTTAATTTCTAGTGATTCCAAGTGAGAAAAATGGGAGAAATTTTTCTTTTGAAAATGTTACTTTGGAGACTTATAGCCAGGGAAGAATTCAGGATCTAGTCTGAATAAATTGTAGACAAATAGTGAAAACTGAAAAACAATGGACAAGGCTAGAATCTTATAATGAGTATACTATAATTTTCTTTGAAATAATTTTTCTCTCTCCAGTCCCCTATTTTTACCAAAATCAAAATCATAGTGGGACCAACGTATCTGCAAAATAAGTTTTAGTCTTATTATACTTGGTCTGATTATTTGCATAAAGCGCAGCAAGAATAATTATTGGCCAATAGGCTCTTTTTTTTTTTTGAGACAGAGTTTCCACTCTTGTTGCCCATGCTGAGTGCAATGGTGCAATCTCAGCTCACTGCAACCTCTGCCTCCCGGGTTCAAGCGAGTCTCCTGCCTCAACCTCCCGAGTAGCTGGGATTACAGGCATGCGCCACCAAGCCCAGCTAATTTTGTATTTTTAGTCAGGACGGGGTTACTCCATGTTTGTCAAGCTGGTCTCGAACTCCCAACCTCAGGTGATCCATCCGCCTTGGCTTCCCAAAGTTCTGGGATTACAGGCCTGAGCCACTGTGCATGGCCCTAGGCTCTTTTTGAATTGGTTTTGCTAGAGCTTTTCATAAGGAATCTCAGATTAGAGTTTTTCTTGAGTCCAGCCAAGGATTTATCTGTGCCTGCAGATACTTGTATGAATGAGGTAAATTTCTGTCTTCTCAAGGTCTCAAAATAACGTGTGGTTCCTAGGTCTGTGAGAAAGTGATATTCTTACTTACTACCTGTCAGGAACCCTGTAAAGGAAATGCGTAGACAAAGTATGAGGTCAGTTTTTCCAAGGGTTTTTTTTTTTTTTAATCAGTTCTATAACATCAATCTCAAGTTCTCAAAGCAGTCTGCTTATATCTTAAAATATGGCATTCTAGCCAAAGCCTTGGTAAAATAATCAGTGTCAAAATTATGTCCTGTTAAGAAAGAAAACAGATTTTTATTAAACTCATGCAACTAAGTATATTGCCATAAATCATGAATACTCAGAAATAAGGCCAGGCGTGGTGGCTCATGCCTGTAATCCCAGCACTTTGGGAGGCTGAGGCAGGCAGATCATGAGGTCAGGAGATCGAGACCAGCCTGACCAACATGGTGAAACCCTGTCTCTACTAAAAATACAAAAATTAGCCAGGCGTGGTGGCGGGTGCCTGTAATTCCAGCTACTCAGGAGGCTGAGACAGGAGAATCACTTGAACCCGGGAAGCAGACATTGCAGTGAGCTGAGATCGCCCCACTGCACTCCAGCCTGGGAGATAGAGCAAGACTCCTTCTCAAAAAACAAACAAACAAACAAAATCTCAGAAATAGTTTCTGAATTCTGGAGAAATCAGGTAGAGAGAAAGAAATATGCCTCAAATTTTGCTTACAAGAGTACGCTTCATTGTGAAAAGCTGTAAATGTTCAAAAGAAAAGTTTTCTTGACTCTGAAAAACAAAGCAAAAAGAATCAGCAATGTTTCCAACAAAAAAAGTTATAAAAGATTATTTTGGCCAGGCGTGGTGGCTCACCTGTAATCCCAGCACTTTGGGAGGCCAAGGCGGGTGGATCAGAAGGTCAGGAGTTTCAGACCAGCTTGGCCAACATGGTGAAACCCCATCTCTACTAAAAATACAAAAAATTAGCTGAGCGTGGTGGTGCACATCTGTAGTCCCAGCTACTTGGGAGGCTGAGGCAGGAGAATCACTTGAACCCAGCAGGTGGAGGTTGATGGTGAGCTGAGATCATGCCACTGCACTCCAGCCTGGGCAACAGAGCGAGACTCCATCTCAAAATAAATAAAATAAAATAAAATAAAATAAAATAAAATAAACCCCTCTAACTAGGCAGAATTACTTTTCCTTTAACAAAAGCCCTATTTCCATGCCTTCTTATGTTTCTACCAAAAACCACATTCTACTTTTCTTTGCATGTTGCTTGTAGAATTATTTATCTTATATCTAGTAATTTAAATTACATCTATGAATTGTAATGTTAACTCTTAGTAACTCTTATTTTTAGTGAAAAAACTAGGAGGTACACAATTTTAATTAGTACCTCCTGCAGAACGCAATCTCGGCTCACTGCAACCTCCGCCTCCCAGGTTCAAGCGATTCTCCTGCCTCAGTCTCCCAAGTAGCTGGGACTACAGGTGTGTGCCACTACGCCCGGCTACTTTTTTTTATTTTTAGCAGAGATGGAGTTTCACCATGTTACCCAGGACGGTCTCAATCTCCTGACCTTGTGATCCGCCCTCCTTGGCCTCTGAAAGTGCTGGGATTACAGGCGTGAGCCACCGTGCCCGGTCTATCATAGGATCTTATAAGGAGATCAACTGCATTTAGATAGGTGCTTTTAATTTGGCCTGTATCTTTTAACTGGACCATTGAACTCAGGGTAGAGCCCACACTGAATTTTCAGTGCCCAGAAAGAGAGTAATGCCATGGGGACCTGGCCATACAATATTTTTAGTGTGTTTTGCTACAAAAACTTTCTCTCAAGGCTGGTGGGCAACCCAGTGCCAATCAGCCCACTCTGTGATCAGCCCATTTCCCAGCCATTGTATACGCCAAAGTCAAGTTTTCTCACAATATAAAGTGATTTCTGATCCCATTCAAAGCCAAAATCAGGTCATGCAAGGCAAAGGAACAGAGTTTTTGACCTGAGAGGATTTTGTCCTCTCTTGGATTCCCTCTTGGGATTCCCTGAGGAAAAAACAGCAGTTTCTCACAAAAATGCGTCTGTGGTGCCTTTTGCATTTTTCTTAAGGGATCCCAGGCTATTAGAATTTTATTTAATTTAATTTTTTTCTTATGTGGCACCAAGGTTGGCAAGAGGAAGGAGGGGCTGATAGAAATAAATAGGGGAGGCCGGGCGCAGTGGCTCATGCCTGTAATCCCAGTACTTTGGGGGGCCGAGGTGGGTGGATCACTAGGTCAGGAGTTCGAGATCAGCCTCGCCAATATAGTGAAACCCCGTCTCTACTAAAAATACAAAAATTAGCTGGGTGTGGTGGCAGGCGCCTGTAGTCCCAGCTACTTGGGAGGCTGAGGTGGGAGAATCGCTTGAACCTGGGAGGTGGAGGTTGCAGTGAGCTGAGACCACGCCATTGCACTCCAGCCTGGGTGACAGAGTGAGACTCCGTCTCAAAAAAAAAAAAAAAAACAAAGAAATAGGGAAACAGAGGAAGTGCATGTGGCTAGCAGGGGGTTGAAAAAGAGAGACATTTAGTTGACTGAGAAATGTTTACCCAGGGAGAAAAGAGACCTTAAAGCAATATGTACACACTGAAGTCTAAAATATCAGTTTTAATTAAGTCAAATTTTGACTATAGAGCTCTAAAAAAATCCTTTGACATCTCTTATTACCAGATTTTAGCCAGGAGGAACAGTTGATATTCCTGGCTTTTCACCTTCTTTACCAAAAGGTATCCTCCCAAGTGCCTTAACCAAAGTTATGACTATTAGGCCACAAGGTGGGTGGCCCTTAGTTGTTCCCTGATGAGGTGGCAAACCTGAGCCATGGCAGAAGTGTTTAATGTTTTTTTTTTTAGTTTTGCTCTGTTGCCCAGGCTGGAGCACAGTGGTGTGATCTCGCCTCACTGCAGCCTCCGCCTCTCAGGTTCAAGCGATTCTCCTGCCTCAGCCTCCTGAGTAGCTGGGACTACAGGTGCCCACCACCACACCCGACTAATTTTTGTATTTTTAGTAGAGACAGGGTTTCACCATGTTGGCCAGGATGGTCTCAATCTCTTGACCTCGTGATCTGCCCATCTCGGCCTCCCAAAGTGCTGGGATTACAGGCATGAGCCACCGCACCCGGCTGAGAAGTGTTTAATTTTAACTACCAGAAGTGTTTGAAGTGATTTTTTTGCTCTTAATTTAGTCAAGGGAATTTTTGAAGACTAGCCATGACACTACTATGTGTCCTTTTAAGACTTGATGTTTTCATTAATTGTTTAGAATAAGAAATCTCTGAAATCTTTAATAGCCCACAGAGAGAGGCTGGGAAGGTGTTCCTGTTATATAAATGAAACCTCTCAGGTAGTCAAATTTTATCTTTTTTTAACCAGCTGGGGGTTTTACAGGTGCAACCTGACTTTCTGCAGCTGTGGGCTTTCCAGTATAGCTCCTGGGCCAGGGATCTCTATCTGCTCCCCAGAGGCTTGTACCTAAGATACAGGGCTCCCTGGGCTTCTCAGTACAGGTGGACTTAAACTAATGGGCTAGAAACAGAGAAAGGGAGGTAGAATTTCCCACTTACAGCCAGACCCTGCAGCACAGCTTTCCAGAGCCTCAGCCCCCCTGCCCTGGCTGATGCTCCCTCCCTGACTCCCCTCACCAGGGCCCTGGCCCCACCACACAGCTGAGCTGGCCCAAGCCAAAGAGTTGCTGGAGCAGCAGCTGGAGTGGATCAGGCTCTGCTGGAGGGGGTGGGGGCCCCAGGCCCTGATGGTCAAGATCCAGAACCTGAAGAAACAGATAAGGAAGGAGGCACCAAGAGAGCCTGGGAGGAGACACCCAAGCTTCCCACCAGTGCCTGTGGCACCCCTCAGCATTGGAAATACTGTGCACCACCCCCAGGAACCCCAGGATCAGAAATATCCCAGCTGCTCCCAGGCCACTGGGAAAATGGAAGAGACCACAAAAGGCCAGAAGTTAGCAGTGTGATGGTTAATACTGAGTGTCAACTTGGTTGGATTGAAGGACGCAAAATACTGATCCTGGGCATGTCTGTGAGGGTGTTGCCAAAGGAGATTAACATTTGAGTCAGTGGACTGGGAAAGGCAGACCCACCCTAAATCTGGGTGGGCACCATCTAATCAGCTGCTAGCGTGGCCAGAATATAAAGCAGGGAGAAAAATGTGAAAAGGCTAGACTGGCCTCCCAGCCTACATCTTTCTCCCATACTGGATGCTTCCTGCCCTCGAACATCGAACTCCAAGTTCTTCCGCTTTGGGACTCGGACTGGCTTCCTTGCTCCTCAGCTTGCAGGCGACCTATTGTGGGACCATGTGATCATGCGAGTTAATACTACTTAATAAATCCCCCTTTATATATATATTTATTCTGTTAGTTCTAGAGAACCCTGACTAATACAGGCAGGTAGTGGGGAGCCAGGGCTCTGCAGTCTCAGTCCCATGCCTCCTTTGACCTCACAGCAGTGCACCTCAGCCTTACAGGAATTTACCCTGGATCATGTCCTACAATAACCTCTCCCCAAACACAGTAAGAAGATGTAGCATGCAGATACCACAGACACACATGTGTTCCATTTTTCGTTAGGATTTTTTTTTTTTTTTGAGATGGAGTTTCCCTCTTGTTGACCAGGCTGGAGTGCAAAGGTGCGATCTTGGCTCACTGCAACCTCTGCCTCCTGGGTTCAAGCGATTCTTGAGCCTCAGCCTCTCGAGTAGCTGGGATTACAGGCGCTCGTCATCACGCCCGGTTATTTTTGTATTTGTAGTAGACGCTGGGTTTCTCCATATTGGTCAGGCTGGTCTTGAACTTCCGACTTCAGGTGATCCACCCGCCTCGACCTCCCAAAGTGCAGGGATTATATGCGTGAGCCACCGCGCCCAGCCTAGTTAGGATTTTTAAAATTCTGACAATCAGGAATGGGGGTTCAGGAGTGGTGCTGATGCAGAGGAGGGAAGCCATGGGGTGGGGGCTGTTAGGGGTGGAGGCAGTAGTGTCTCCTTCACCCCCACCTGGGGTCTTCTCCTGAAGGACAGACTATCACATCCCAGAATTGGTGAGTCCTCTACTGTGTCTGTTCAACTGAAGAGAAAATATGGCACAGTCAGAATAAGGCATGAAAAGGGGAAAGTGAGGCAGGAACACACGGCACACATGCAGACGCTGGTGTACTGTGTGGGTTCAGAGGACGGACGTGGGGGTGAGGGAAGGGATGTAATATGATGAGAGAAGACAGAAACCCCACATAAAGGTCAGGAAAACATCCCAACACAGCATCAAAGGCCAGGGGGCATGAACCAGTCAAGTGTCCATTATGCATCAGATGCCCATGACCTATGTGATGAGATTGAAGAAAAACATACTAAGGTTCAGGGAGGAACTAAGTGTTTCATGAGATCAGCACTCACCGTGGAGGAGACATCTGTCTCATCAGGCAGCTCACTAACACTGACCTCGAAGCGATGCTGCCCATCACACTGGATCCTTGCATGATTCTCATCTGACACAAACGCTGATGGCCAAGCCCTGTTCCAAACCAGCCTGCTCTAGTCACCTGAAAGGAGGCAGAGGGTAGAAACAGAAGACCCAAAGAGGGAAGACACCCAGAGGGAGGGAAGAGGATGTAAGGTGTGAAAAGATAGAAAACATAAGGAATGGGAGAGTAGGTGTCCTTCTGGGTGTGGGGCTCACCTGTCATTGATAAAGGCAATGCTCATCCACTTGATGTCTATGACGTGGCCCAATAGGTTGGTAACCATAGAACTGGTCATTGAAAATCTTTTGGGGTCATTCTTGGACATGTGCAGAACAGCAAACAATTTTAGTCACCTGATGTGTTTCCTTGGCTTCCTGTTCAGTTTTCCTTAGGCCTCAGCTGCTGCTATTGCTGCTGGCTGCTCTCCACATTCTCCTAAATTCCAGATGGGTGTGAGGAGGTAAGGGCGGGAAGAAATAGTGGATTGTGGATTGAGGTGCGATTTCCCACCACTGGAGGGGACAGATTCATAAGCTGGCATTGAAGAGGTTCCTGCCCTTTGCACAGTGTGTTTGGTCACCCCAGTGCTCAGGCTGAACCCTGAGAAGAAAGAGGAACTTGACTGTCTGAAGGCTCTTGGGTGGTGTTTAAGACCCCTGGCCACTGTGTCCTGGCTGAATGCATACATGCAGATGGAATCTCTTTCTTTCTTTTTTTTTTTGAGACGGAGTCTCGCTCTGTCTCCAAGGCTGGAGTGCAGTGGCGCAATCTTGGCTCACTGCAAGCTCCGCCTCCTGGGTTCACGCCATTCTCCTGCCTCAGCCTCCTGAGTAGCTGGGACTACAGGCACCCGCCACCACACCCGGCTAATTTTTTGTATTTTTAGTAGAGACAGGGTTTCACTGTGTTAGAATGGTCTCGATCTCCTGACCTGGCGATCCGCCTGCCTCGGCCTCCCAAAGTGCTGGGATTACAGGCATGATCCATTGCACCCGGCCTCGATATAGAAGTTTTTAAGAGCCAGACGCTTGAACTTGTGGGCATCGGTTTGGGGAAAGAGTCAGTTGGAGTAAAGTTATCTTGAGGCATTAACTTTTTTGCTTCTTAAGGCCATTGGTCTTTTATGCTAGTCTTTCTACAAACATAACATGAGGAAACGCCTAGGCTGGCAGCAATGTTTTCAGCCAGCTGAACAAATAGGTTTTTGGCTAAAGGAGGAGGCTCTGATAACTTCCGGTTTATATGCTCAAAGAATGACTTAAAGACTCAGAATTGCTCCTGGGCTGACTGCTTGGTTCAAGTCTTCTTTATAATATACAAAGTTGTTTTAGCTTTTTGACCGTAGCTTTGTAATGCCATGGAGTAGCCTATAGTCCATACAGGTAGGTTTGGCCTTAAGATAGTAAGATTTACAGGATTGCAAATGCTTGTCTTACAATCTGGTTTTGCTGGTACTTTGATGAGCAAGATTGGCTTTGGCCTCAGTGATGATCGGTCAGTGAACTGCATTGTGCAGTTCCAGCAAGCTATTGCTAGGGCCTTGGAGGGACAAACAGGGAGTGTACATACAATTTTATACTGGCAGTTTTTATAGTACTTTGTAGGACTAGAGATTGTGAGATAGGTTGGGTTCATGGATGTTAACTGACAAATATCAAAGTATATGGATATAGCCCCCACCCTGGGAAGGAGAGGCTTGGGTTTGACTTACAAGACTTCTTTTTTTTTTTTTTTACTTGTATGAATCTTAAACTAAGTCCTAGGTAAAGACTTCGGTCATAGCATATATAAGGCTGGCCATTTCTTGGGTCACAAATTGAACAGGTGGTCTGATTATAAGTACAAGTTCTTTTTTTTTTTTTTGAGACGGAGTCTCGCTCTGTCTCCAAGGCTGGAGTGCAGTGGCGCAATCTTGGCTCACTGCAAGCTCCGCCTCCCGGGTTCACGCCATTCTCCTGCCTCAGCCTCCCGAGTAGCTGGGACTATAGGAGCCCACCACCACGCCCGGCTAATTTTTTTTTTTTTTATTTTTAGTAGAGACGGGGGTTTCACCGTGTTAGCCAGGATGGTCTCGATCTCCTGACCTTGTGATCCACCCGCCTCGGCCTCCCAAAGTGCTGGGATTACAGGCGTGAGCCACCGCGCCCGGCCTTATAAGTACAAGTTCTTAAGCGAGTCTTTGTACACTTATAAGTATGGTACAACAGAGTTCTAGTTGTACTGTTCTTTGACTAAGTAGTATGTGTACAGTGGGGACACTTTTCTGTCAGTGTTTCTTCTAGTATGGTTAAGGGGGTAACAACATCAAAACAATGTACAGCATATTTAAATCTAGCAAGGACAAAAGAGGTCTTTATTTGGGGGAGGAGGTTGAGCACAGTGACAGAACAATAGGAAAACAGTTAGTATTACAGGAAAACTACTAGTCTTAAGATTTCTAACTACATTTACTTGCTTGATGAGTCTTTAAGCTTCAGCCGTGCATAGACTAGTCAGCTTCCGGTGTGTGACTAGAGCAAGGCTTGTTGTTTCTTCAAACTTCAGCTGTGCGTAGACTGGTCAGCCTCTGGAGTGACCAGAGCAGGGCTGTTGTCTTCAGCAGCAGCTTGGTCTTGTCTCAGGATCAGCCGGGTTGGATGATCTGGGTGTTGCTGGCTGGTTCACTTGTCCTGAGCTGCCGATTTTAGCCGACTGTGATGGAGTTAAGGCACGATTCTTGCAACTTTAACAGCAGTGGGAGTGGACAAGATTACTCTGTGGGGCTTATCTTACATGGGTCTTAGAGAAGTTGGGTTCTACTTTTTAACTTAAACAAAGCTACTAGGTTTAAAGGGTGTACTGGGTCTGTTAGACTTCTAGGCATTCTTTTATGTACTTAACTATGAACACTTTGCATGGCTGTTTCTAAAGCCTGCATTTGATTTCTTAAGGTTAGTTCTTTTAGTTCTTGGAGATCACTTTTAATTTGACGGTGGCTGATTGAACAAAATCTTATAGGGTAAATACTTAGTTTGTTTGGTGGGGGTGCGCTTGGCTCAGAGGAGGACTATAGGCAAGACTTGATTCTGTCTCAGATGAGTTTCTTGGCAATATTTCTTCAGTAGCTGCTTGAGTGTCTGGTTCATGCATTCTACAGTAAAATAATCTTTTTTTCTCTTTTTTTCCTTCAACTTTGCTCTAGAAAAAAGAAGTGTCCAAGGCCTATTTTTTTAGCCCTAGCTATTCAGACAGTGTTATCTTATAACTGTCCTTGGGTTGGGCACGGTAGCTCACGCCTGTAATCCCAGCACTTTGGGAGACCGAGGTGGGCAGATCACGAGGTCAGGAGATCGAGACCATCCTGGCTAACATGGTGAAACCCTGTCTCTACTAAAAATACAAAAAATTACCCAGGTGTGGTGGTGGGTGCCTGTAGTCCCAGCTACTCGGGAGGCTGAGGCGGGAGAATGGCGTGAACCTGGGAGGCGGAGCTTGCAGTGAGCCGAGATTGTGTCATGGCACTCCAGCCTGGGTGACAAAGCGAGACACCATCTAAAAAAAAATATATGTATAAAACTGTCCTTGAGGTAAGCTTGCTAAGCAGAAAAAAACTTGTTCTTTTCTTTTTCTTTTTAACTTTTGCCTTGCCACATTCTAAGCCTTAGCTTTAACTTAAAGTAAGTAAATGCAATACTTATTATTATTATTATTATTTTTAAATTTCTGCCTCAGAATGAATAAATTACATGTATTTTTTTTTTGAAGCCATGCCTTTGGATTAGGGCAAACTCTAGGATATTTAAGTGAATTCCCTGAGGAATGTGGACTCTGTAAGCAGGTGAGTGCATTATTCTCTGCTTCTCTCTCTCCACAGGGCCGTCGTTCACCCTCCTCCACCTTGTCCCCTGCACTGGGAGGCAACCACAACAGGCACGGCCCATGCTCCTGCACCACCTGGCTTCTGCTTGGGTGTGGATGATAACAGGCACCTGCAGGAGATGGGAGCATGCGGGGAGAAGTAACTCAGGGTTTTCATTTCCCTCACTCCCTCTGGACAGCTCTGTGGTTCCGTAATCATTGCCGTCCTCTACCTACAGCCACAGGCATGTGGGTCTGCCCCTAGTGAAAGCTACAGATTTCCTTGGGTTCTGGAAACTGCTCCCTTCGTTGCTCTTTCAAGCTTCAAGATGAAAACAGTTTCCTGCCAGGAATAATCCCAGGGAGCTTCAGCGCCCTTTGTGGCTTTCTTAGCCCTGCCGGCACCTGTGTAGAAGGTGCCATCTCAGGCCAGCGCGGTGGCTCAAACGTGTAATCTCAGCACCTTGAGAGGCTGAGGCCAGAGGATCACCTGAGGTTGGGAGTTCAAGACCAGCCTGACCAACATGGAGAAACCCTGTCTCTACTAAAAATAAAAAATTAGCTGGGCGTGGTGGCGCATGCCTGTAATCCCAGCTACTCGGGAGGCTGAGGCAGGAGAATTGCTTGAACCCAGGAGGCAGAGGTTGTGGTGAGCCGAGATCACACCATTGCACTCCAGCCTGGGCAACAAGAGTGAAACTCAGTCTCGGAAAAAAAAAAAAGGTGCCATCTCTTTCCTGCCAGGTCCCTGACTGACCACAGGGTGCTCCCACAAAAGGAGAAGTGACAAGAATGTATTTAAGACATTGCACTAACACATCTATTCATGATGTTAATTCAAAAAATTGACTTACTACAATAAAAGGGAAAAATAAGAGTATTCTGGAAACAGAGCAGGAAGGAAGGCAAAGGTGAAAACAATCAATCTGGGGCATCTGAGAAGCCCCAAGTGCAGAGGCTGCCCTGAGTCTTTAGAGGACAAGAAACAGAACACACGACCCAAAAGTGAGAGACAGAGCCTGGCCGGAGCAGGATGATAACGGCTCTCCTACAGAGTACTATTCCTGTAAATCTCTGACGAGAGGGGTGAGATCAACATGTAAAAATACACACACACAAAGTGGAGCTGAGGGCAGGATGGAGAACTCTCATTCTCAGCCCATGACCTCCATGGACTTGGAGAAAGACTCAGCCTGGAGATGTGTGAGGCCTCCGACCTGGAGCAGCACCCGCCCCTAAAGACCAGGCACAAATCCCAGCACACGGGGGGATCCAGACAAATACACAAGAAATGACCACAGCAGGAACTTTATTGAGCACGGAGCAAGGGTGCACACCACTCAGCACCTGCCCCTCCACCTGTCCTTCTCTCCCCACCTGCCTCTGCCCCAGCACAGCAGGTCCTCAGAATCCAAAAAGAGAACCTAACCTGCATGTTCTCTCTCTCTCTTTCTTTTTTTTTTTTTTTTTTTTTGAGACAGAGTTTATCTCTTGTTGCCAGGCTGGAGTGCAATGGCGTGATTTCGGCTCACTGCAACCTCCACCTCCTGGTTCAAGCAATTCTCTTGCCTCAGCATCCCGAGTAGCTGGGATTACAGGCAGCTGCCACCACACCCAGCTAATTTGTGTATTTTTAGAGATGGGGTTTTCACCATGTTAGCCAGGCTGGTCTCGAATTCCTGACCTCAGGTGATCTGCCTGTCTTGGCTTCCCAAAGTGCTGGGATTACAGGCGTGAGCCACCACGCCTAGCCTCCATGTTCTCTTAATAGTTTGTAATATCTTATCACAGCTTCAAAGAAAGGATATGAGAATAATAACTCATAGAGCAAGATATCTGTTTAGAGTGAGTGAGTCACAGGGGAGATCTGGGAGGGAAACACTGCAACTCTTTCATTCCCAGAAAAAGAAGGTTGATCCAGGGAAGGGGACACCGGGCCTGGATATTGGGATTATGTGGAAGGGGTTCTGGGACATCAGGGGAATGGGCCCCTCTCCCTGTATCCTTCCTGGGCTATGCTTGGGAGGAGACACAGTTTATCAGCTGTGCAGCTGGGGGAAGAGAAGTCAGGGTCCAGAGACAAGGGGAGCTGAGAACAATCTGTGTCTTGCTGGTCTGCAGAAGGCAGCTCTCAAACTGTAGAGAACAGTTTGGGATGATGAAAATGTTCTAAAATTAGATATGGTGATTTAAAAATCCAAATATGTGAAAAACCATTGAATTGTATACTTTAAATGGGTGAATGATATGTGAATTATATCTTAATAAAGTTTAAGGAAAGAAATATAATGATATGTCATGACAAATCCACTAGAATTTCTAAATTAAAATCACTGACTATTCCAAATGTTGGTGCGAATATGGACCATCAAGAGCTGTCACACACTTTGTCTAGCAGTGTGGCATCATCTCTTTGGGTAGGATATCATATACATACACCAGTAATTCCACTCTTAGGCATATAATTTTGAAAGATATATGCTCATTGTGCCAACATACATGTGCAAGAAGGCTTACAACAGCATTGTTTGTAATTTTTAAAACCTGAAAACAAATAAAATGACCACAAACAAAGAAGGATTAATTTAATGTGTGGAATTCTATGAATAATAAACATGAATGCTCTAGAGACACCTATAACAACTTAGCAAACATACATTTGAGCTAAAATAAGGTCTCATAAGAATACACATAGCACGATTCCATTTGTATCAAAAGATTCAAAATCTATATGAAGTTTGAGATAACCTATATTGTTTTAGAGATGTATGCATGGGAGTAAAGCTTTAAAGAAAGGCGTGAACAGGATTACTATGAAATCAGGATGAGGGTGAACTCTCACGACAGCAAAGGGATTGTTATTGCTATCAGGATTGGTATGGAAACTTCCGTGTGTTTTTTTTCCTGACTTTTGTTTCTTTTTCACATGGATTTTCCCTTTAAAACCATTTGTTAAAATGTAAATATAATTCAGGCACTTCACTTTTGGTTGTAACTTACACTGTAAGACTGCTAAAAAAAAAATAATATTAGCTACTTACGTGTAATTGGAAAAATTAACCTTTATTCACAAAAGAGATGGGCTGCCCCCTATACCACGAATCAGAGAAGAGACCATGAATTGAAATGGGAACTTGGAATTGTCATTATTCCGTAATTATACTCAGGATCCTGTCCATGAAACATTGGAATACCACTGTCCAACCCCCTTCTGCAGTGATGGAGTGTCTATATCTGAGCTATTCATTATGGCACAGATACAGACATTCATATTCTGTGAATTCTGAGTACTTGAAATATATGGCTGGTGCAAATAAGAAACTGGCTTTTAAAATCCATTTAATTTTAATTAATTAAAGTGTAAATAGTGCCATGTGGACAAGGCAGAATTACAGTGCCGAGACCAGCTCAGTCGGGGAGACCCTAACCCAGTGGCGCTAGAGGAATTAAAGACACACACACAGAAATATGGCGTGTGGGGTGGGAAATGAGGAGTCTCACAGCCTTCATTCCAGTAAACAGTCATTGTGACCGGTTGTCCCGCTTTCCTCAGGTTTTCTTCCACCATCTGTGACAGCTTCTTGATCTGTCCCCAGGTGGGTGGCTGTGTTCAACGGGTGTTGCTCGTGACAGTTAGGGTCCTCCTCAGCATCAGTCTCGACATGGCTGCAACCAGGGGGTCCTCGGGATCCTCCTGGAATCTCTTCCTTGGCATCTGGCTCATGATAAGGTTTTAGGTGTCTTGATAGTATCCAAATTGGCTGCTGGTTTTGGCCTGGAGAAACACAAGCATAACCTCTACCCAAGTTATTATTTTACCTATGTCCCAACTTTTTGTTATTGGATCTCTTCACCAAACCAGTTGTTCTGCTCCTGTCTTTGCAGCTGGTTTCTGTAGATGCTGTTCAGCTGCTGATAACATCTGGCCTTTGGGCAGCCTCAAAAAATTTAAAGTTAATAATGCTAGATTCAGTTGTGTATGGGCTGTCTCGTAATCCCTGTTTCTCCCCCTTTTTTGTCATCAGTTGTTCATCTGTATAAATCATAACTGAGCATTTTCAATTAATTGCATGGAATGAACCATGTATAAAGAATCAGAAATCACATTAACAGGCATATCAAAAGCAGTCAGCACCTCAATTACAGCTACAAGCTCTGCTTTCTGAGCTGAAGTATAGGTTGCCTGGAAAGCTTTACCTTTTGATCCAGAATAAGAAGCTTTACCATTGCTAGACCCATCTGTGAAATAATGAAAATGCTTAGCAGGCTGCAGATTGTTTACCACAGGAATTGTAAATGCAAACCGTTCACTGTCTTGCTTAGCTAAGGGTATAGTAAAGAAAGAGTCCTTCCTGGCTGTAATGCTCCTATAGCTTGTATAACTGAATTAATGGCTCCTAAATCAGTTAACATTCTCCATTTACCTGATTTTTTCTTAATTACAAAAGCTGGAGAATTCCAAGGGGAAAGTGTTGTAGCTATGTTCTCATTTTCTAATTGTACATTAACGAAGTTCTCTAAAGTCTCCAGTTTCTCTTTACTTAGCAGCCACTGTTCTATCCAAATTGGCTTATCTGTTAACCATTTTAAAGGTATAGGTTCTGGAGGCTTAACAATGACTGCCATCAAAAATGATACCCTAAACCTTGGCGGGAACTTTGTCTCTCCACTTGAAGCATTTTTTTTCAAACCTTGCAAATTTTTTCCTAGTCCCATACCAGGGACATGCCCCATTTCATGCATCATATGTTGACTTTGAGGGCTATATAATTGCTCTGGAAGTAGAACTTGTGCTCCCCATTGTTGTAATAAATCTCTCCCCCATAAATTTATAGATACGGAAGTTATAATTG
The DNA here is from genome assembly GCF_000001405.40 of Homo sapiens. NCBI lineage: Eukaryota > Metazoa > Chordata > Mammalia > Primates > Hominidae > Homo > Homo sapiens. The sequence goes on from NC_000006.12 coordinate 31,233,443, forward strand.
GTTGAATAGTCCCAGGTTGTCCATCGGGCCCTTCACAATGCAAAATATAATGGCTTTGATATACTTCAGGGGCTTTACCAACTCCAACTGTTTTAAGTTGAGTGTGTTGAACTGGCCACGCAGACGGCCAGTGCTGTAGAGAAATGATTGAAATGTCCGCTCCTGTATCTACCAAATCTTTACATTTCTTTCCCTGAATAGTTATTTCACAGGTAGGACGTTTATCAGTAATTTGATTCACCCAATAAGCTGCTTTGCCTTGTTTATTTGTGCTTCCAAATCCTCCTGTTTGTTTAATTTCACTTTTCCCATTCCCACATACGGCACAATCAGGAGCTGTGCTATACACTCTCCTGGCTCTGCTTTCCAGGGAACAGAAGTAGATATAACAATTTGAATTTCCCCATTGTAATCTGAATCAATGACCCCTGTATGTATTTGTACTCCTTTTAAACTTAAACTAGGCCTTCCTAGAAATAATCCTATCGTTCCCGCTGGCAAGGGTCCACAGACCCCTGTTGGGACCTTTTGCAGGGTTTCCCCAGGCAGAAGCCTCACAGCTTTTGTGCAACATAAATCTACTGTGGTGCTACTGGCTGTGGCGGGGGACAGATATTGTACAAGGATGAGGGAATGGCCTGAGCCAGAAATGCCCCGGTTTGGAATGGGGCCCCGGGATGGGCCCCTCATGGTGTTTCCTGAAATCAGGTTCCCATCTTTATCAAACTTAGAGTGACACTGATTAGCCCAATGTTTTCCTTTTTTGCATTTTGGACATATTTCAGGCTCAGTAGTTTTCTTTTTTTCCCCTATATGGTGGCCTGACTTGCTGATTTTTTCTACATTGTTTTTTAGTGTGATCATGCTTCAAACAGTTAAAACAAGCTCCAGGAAATGGAGTATTTCCTTTATCCACTCTCAGTCCTGCCATTGCCTGTGCCAACAAAGTAGCTTTATGCAGATTACCTCCGATACCGTCACAGGCCTTGATATAATCAACTAAATGTGCTTTCCCTCTAATAGGTCACAAAGCAGCCTGGCAATCGAGATTAACATTGCCAAAAGCTAATAACTGCAACACTATACTCTGAGCAGCTGAATCTGAAATCACCTTTTTAAGAGACTCCTGTCTTAAGAGATTCCAAGCTATAAAATCTGCATACAGTTCTTTTGGTCCCTGTTTTACAGCACTAAAGGAAGGGTATTGTTCTCCACCTGAAGTGATTTTTTCCCAAGCTCTAATGCACACTCCTCTAAGCTGCTCTACGGCATCATCCTGTATGACCACTTGTGCGTCTAAACCAGCCCAGCAGCCGACCCCCAAAAGTTGGTCCATGTTATATTAATTTGAGTTTCGGCCTGGGCATTGCAAGCAGCCTGAATGGAAGCTTCATCTGCCCACCAAGTTTTAAATTGTAAGAATTGAGCAGGACTTAGACAAGCTCGAATAAGAGTGTCCCCGTCAGCAGGAATCATCCGACTGGAAACAGCAACATTCTTTAACAGTCCCATTACAAAAGGAGAACCTGGTCCATACTGATTAATAGCTTGTTTAAATTATTTGAGTAATTTAAAAGGAAAAGGCTCAAATGTAGCTATAATATTTCCCTGTTGATCAGGTGGTGTATTCTAACAGGGAACTGCCAAGCCTCTATATCACCCTCTCGTCTAGCCTGCTGAACTCCTGCCTGAATAGAACTGACAGCAGTCGCTCGAGGTGCTGCTCAGTCACTGGGGCAACTACTTTTCGCCCAGTGTCCTCCAGAAAAGAAAGATCTGGAGGGTCTGGCCACTCTTTTTCTTCAAAATAATAATGAGGGGGTGCAGAAGGGTAGGGATGAACCTCTTCCTCCTTTGCCGCTTTAGCTTTAGCTGGCAAATAAACCTGCTCTGTAACCTCTTCTGTTACTTCGTCATACTCTCCTTCCTCCTCATCATCAGTGTGAAAAAGTTCCAAGGTGGAACGAACCAGAGCCCACACTTGTCCCATTGTTACCGGATGCTTCCAAGCTCCCCATCTTACTCACTACGAGGATTGCTTAAGAGTACTTGGGTGTCCTCCAGCTTAGTTCCCCATTCTCCAACTGTTGCTCTGGCGACCCTTCAACCTGGATTCGAGCCCCCACGTATGGGTGCTGCTTACTGAGACCAGCTTGGTGGGGGAGACCCTAACCCAGCAGAGCTAGAGGAATTAAAGATACACACACAGAAATATAGAGGTGTGGAGTGGGAAATCAGGGGTTTCACAGCCTTCAGAGCCAAGAGCCTTGAACAGAGATTTACCCATGTATTTATTGACAGCAAGCCAGTGATAAGCATTGTTTCTATAGATTATAGATTAACTAAAAGTATTCCTTACAGGAAACAAAGGGATGGGCTGAAATGAAGGGATGGGCTCTGGCTAGTTATCTGCAGCAGGAGCATGTCCTTAAGGCACAGATTGCTCACGCTACTGTTTGTGGTTTAAGAACACCTTTAAGTGGTTTTCCACTCTGGGTGGGCCAGGTGTTCCTTGCCCCCATTCTGGTAAACCCACAACATTCCAGCGTGGGCATCATGGCCATCACGAACATGTCACAGTGCTGCAGAGATTTTGTTTATGGCCAGTTTTGGGGCCAGTTTATGGCCATATTTTGGGGGGCCCGTTCCCAACATTACAGAAACAAAATGCAGCATCTACTATCACTATCTTTTTGTTCAGTCATCCATTATGTGAATGACAACTTCATTGTTACTAACTTTGGAAAGATCCCATTTCAAAGAAAAATGGGATTTCAGCTTCTTCAGTGGTAGATTTTCTTACACTCAGCAGCTAATAAAATATCTGAACCCCACAAAAAACCCCTGTTTATCTCTGTTATCTCTGGGTATAGAAAAATGCTGAATTCTTATTTGTATGTGAAATAAAGTGGTTTTTCAATAAGAAATTTTGCTATAAGGTAAGAATTTTATTCTAAATATAATTTCTTTCTTTCTTTCTTTCTTTCTTTCTTTCTTTCTTTCTTTCTTTCTTTCTTTCTTTCTTTCTTTCTTTCTTTCCTCCTTCCTTCCTTCCTTGTTTTTTGTTTTTGAGACAGGTTCTCACTCTGTTGCCGTGTCTGGAGTGCAGTGGTGCGATCTTGGCTCACTGCAACCTCTGCCTCCCAGGTTTAAGTGGTTCTCTTGCCTCAGCCTCCCGAGTAGCTGGGATTACAGGTGCCCACCACCATGCCCGGCTAATTTTTGAATTTTTAGTAGAGACGGGGTTTCACCATGTTGGCCAGGCTGGTCTCGAACTCTTGACCTCATTCCTAGAGCATTTTTTCCATTCATCTTTTATTAGTATTCAGATACACCTAGCAGCTGGTATGTTTTGTAGGATAGTTTTTGGTCATTCATTCTACCATGATTTAGCTTAGTATTAAAGGTTTATAGAATTTCCTTTTAGTTTGTAATTTAGAAACAAGATTGACATTTACTTCTTGTTCATATTCTCTAAGTTTTCACAACAGCTTCTCTCAGATAAGATCTCAAGGCCAGACATGGTGGCTCATGCTTGTAATCCCAGCACTTTGGGAGGCCCATATCACCTGGGGTCGGGAGTTCGAGACCAGCCTGGCCAGCATGGTGAAACCCCGTCTCTACTAAAAATACAAAAATTAGCCAGGCATGGTGACAGGTGCCTGTAGTCCCAGCTACTCAGGAGACTGAGGCAGGAGAATCGCTTGAACCCAGGAGGCGAGGTTGCAGTGAGCCGAGATCATGCCATTGCACTCCAGCCTGGCGGTAGAGTGAGACTTTGTCTCAAAAAAAAAAAAAACAAAAAAAAAAAACTCCAATAATCAGTTCAAGGTTGAACTGCTAACAATAAGATTTGAAGTTAACATTTAATTAATTTATTTATTTTTTAGACTCAGGGCCTCACTCTGTTGCCCAGGCTGGTATGCAGTGGCACCATCAGAGCTTCCTGCAGCCTTGAACTCCTGGGCTTAAGGGATCCTCCCACTCAGCCTCCTGAGTAGCTGGGACTGCAGGTGTGCACCACCATGTCCAGCTTAACATTTTATTTTATCTGATAGTAGAGTGAAGCACTTGCATTACAAAAATAAAATACATACAAATTACAACAACTTTGCCAATCTAACATATGACCTCGAATGATAGTTAAATTAGGAGCCAGTCAGCCACTTTCAAACATGTTTTTCAAAGTGAAATTTTAAAGGCAGTGTCATTGTTTACTTCTACTAATGCTCATAGGTTTAGCTGTGGTCCTGCTATAGAGTTTGTTAAGAAAACTTCCCTGAGTTGTTTTAAATGGTCTTATCAAAGCCAAACACTGAAATCCTATAATCATTGGAATTGGGAACAAAAGATACATTTCTAGGCTTTATTTTATTATAAATTAAAATCTTAGTGATGGTAGGATCATTTTTCCTTATGGATTTTTTCTAATATATTTAAAGCATAGATAATTGTGTTCAATCAGTTGTATTTTATGCTGAATCATTTGACCATGTGAGGAAAGCATATTTTTGGACTCTTATCCCATCTTGACTAGAGGGATCAGTAAAAACCTGGAATGAAGAAGTTCTTCATGTGCACATCTTTTTTTCTTGTGTGCACTGCCCTTCATTCACACTTCTGTGCATTCACACATTTGTGATTGCACGTTTTGGTATTGATTTAGAATCATTTATTAATTCCACAGTCAAGTTAATAAAATGCCATTGGGAATTAAAGATAAATTTTACATGCATTTTCTCAAAATTCATTACTTGATCCATTTATTCATTCTAAACCCATGTCAAATGCCATTCTTTAAACCTCATGTTTTATTAAAGTTGATTTCACTTATTAATTCAATCAAAAGCCATTGAAGTTTATAGCAAGAGGCATCAAAGAAGGCAGAATGTTTCTATCTGTTCTGGGATTAACGGGGGTAGAAAGATGGGAAGGGCAGAGGGACAAGAGGCCTCACAGAGACAGACAAGATATAAAGACACCTGCCTCCCTGGCCAGAAACCAACTTCCAGGATTCAGGATTCAGGAGTAAAGTGTCCCAATAATTAGAAGGTTTCCTGGTCTCTCTCAAATTCAGTGCTCATTTGGCCAGGGATAAGGCCCTCACACCCTTTGCTTTGAGGATCCAAGCTTAGAATGTGGCTGTCTCTGGGACATTTCATGCTAAAGAAAGCCCAGCAAGTGTAGACAAAGAGTCTAGAGGGCACCAGCCACCCTTCCATGGAACTCTGTTCAAGGCAACTCTCTGTGTTCTGTTACTTATATTGGCCGCGTCTTCAGGAATTTAGCGAAATGGCCATGTTGTCTCTGAGTGGAAGTGAGGGGAGGCCACTGGGCAGTCAGAGATTTTGAATCCCTGTTTCCTTTCCCCCCATCTCAACCAGAGGCCACTTGTGAAAGCCCAAGAAAAAAAGACACGAATGTCAGAGGTGAATCCAGGCTCATGAACCCATTGTGGTCACGGGACTGAAGCCACGTGGCCCAACAGTAATGAAGTCTGTGAGGCCTTGGTAACCCCAAAGCTCTCCCCCAATTAGGAGCTGCCTCTCACTGCCATCAGGCACCCCAGGAGCTGGACATGTGGCATTCTTTGTCATGTCTGATGAGGAACTGGAGAGGTCCCAGAGCATATAGACCTTGATCGAATTGGAGCTAGAGTGGAGTCAGGCAAAACTCTGCATTGACTCAGAGGCACCTACATGTGAAATAAAGTCTCCACTCAGAGCTTCCATCAGAGCATCAGGCTCAGTAGCAATTCCTTTCTGCTGTTGCTGTATTTGCCCTGTGACAACTGGTGCTTGAAGGAAGGAGAAATCATTATGTGTGCAGGAAAGCACATGCAATTAGAAAACTGGGACATGATTCATAAGGCAGGAGGGACCCTTTTCTCTTTCGTGGTAGATGTGGGACTCCCTGTCATCTTTGTCCTGATGCCCCAAGTGCACAAGGTGAATTTTCCTGCTCTCAGTTGAGTGACCAACACTGGGAGCTGGAATTCAGAGAAACAGTGGCAGCCTCTCTCTCTCCATCCCCCATCCCAGTAAATCTAAGGCAAGGGCCTAGGGCTCTTGCACTTTATTTTCACCATGCATTTTCCTTCTCTGGTTAAGAAAATAACCAAATGGCCAGGCGTGGTGGCTCACACCTGTAATCCCAGCACTTCGGGAGGCTGAGGTGGGAGGAGCACCTGAGGTCAGGAGTTCGAGACCAGCCTGGCAAACATGATGAAACTCCATCTCTACCAAAAATGCAAAAATTAGCCAGATGTGGTGGCATGCACCTGTAATCCCAGCTACTCAGGAGGCTGAGGCATGAGGATCACTTGAACTCGGAAGGTGGAGGTTGCAGCCAGCTGAGATTGTGCCACTGCACTCCAGCCTGTGATAGAGTGAGACCCTGTCTCGACAACAACAACAACAACAACAACAACAACAACAAAAAGGAAATAAAAAAAGAGAAAATAACCAAATGTATAAAAATCAAGGTTGCAATTCTGCAATTCTTGTGGCACCCAGAATACTGGACTAGACCAAGGGTGCCAGGTGCTTGTCACTGCTCCACCACTCAACGGCTGTGACCTCAGGAGAATCTCTCCAAGTCCTGGTGCTTGTTAATTCATCTGTGAGTCATGGATAAACACATCCATTCTAGTGAGAATAAATGAAAACACATTTCATCCTTACTGAGATGCAGTGAGTGTCGCCCCAGTACTAAGGGGTAAATGCAGAGAGAAACATTAGTTTAGGATTTTTTTTTTTTTTTGAGATGGAGTTTCACTCTTGTTGCCCAGGCTGGAATGCAATTGCACGATCTCTGCTTACTGCAACCTCTCCCCACTGTGTTCAAGCAATTCACCTACCTCAGCCTCCCAAGTAGCTGGAACTATAGGCTTGTGCCACTATGCCCGGCTAATTTTTTTGTATTTTTAGTAGAGTTAGGGTTTCACCATTTTGGCCAGACTGGTCTTCAACTCCTGATCTCAGGTGATCCACCCGCCTCAGCCTCCCAAAGTGCTAGGATTACAGGTGTGAGCCACCGTGCCTGACCATCAGCTCGGGATTTTAAGAAACATGATCCTTAAAAGTAGGAAGAAAGCACATAATACCTGCAAAGCCCTGGGCAAAAATCCTCTTTTACTTCAGTAATGATTACAAAATAATTATTTCTCATAACTTCTAGAAAATTAGAGGAAAACTCATTCCTTCAACATCTCAAGAAACTTAAATACAGATGATGATTATATATCAGATTGGAACCACAAGCTTTGTTCTGAGTAAAACTGAAAAGAAATGGGGATATCTCCATTTTTGAGTGGTGACCATGGGACCCAAAGTGGTTTGTAAATGACCCTTTATCATCTACACTTGTCAAGTTTCAATTGATTCACTCAGTTCTTAGAAATCCCTGATAATTCATAATCTTGAAAAAATTTCATGTCCAGATACTAGGCAGGGTAATATGTTTGTTTTAATTTGCTAGGGCTGCCATAACAAAGTACCACACACTGGGTGACGTAAAGAACAGAAAAATTATTGTGCCACAGTTCCAGAGGCTGGAAGTCCAAGATCATGGTGTTGGCAGTGCACATTTCTTCTGAGGCTTCTTTCCTTGGCTTGTAGATGTGTTTTCCCTGTGTCTTTACATGGTCATTCCTCTGCATCTGTCTATGTCTAATCTTCTCTTTTTATAAGGACACTAGTCACATTGAATTAAGACCCACTCATATGACCTCATTTTACCTTAATGACCTCCTTAAAGACCTCTCCAAATGCAGTCACTTTCTCAGGTACTGGGGGTTAGGACACCAACATGCCAATTTTTGGAGGGATGCAATTTAGCCCATAACAGTCTGGATTAACCTGGAGACTCCTTTTCCTTCCTTCCTTCCTTCCTTCCTTCCTTCCTTCCTTTTTCTTTCTTTCTTTCTTTTTCTTTCTTCTCTTTCTTTTGTTTTCTTTTCTTTTATTGAGATGGAGCCTTGTTCTGTCACCCAGGCTGGAGTGCAGTGGCACGATCTCGGCTCACCGCAACCTCCGCTTCCCAGGTTCAAGCATTTCTCCTGTCTCAGTTTCCCGAGTAGCTGGGATTACAGATGCCTGCCACCACGCCCAGCTAATTTTTGTATTTTTAGTAGAGATGGGGTTTCACCATGTTGGCCAGGCTGGTCTCGTACTCCTGACCTTAGGTGATCTATTCACCTCGGCCTCCCAAAATGCTGGGATTACAGGCGCCAGCTACCGCTCCTGGCCGAGATTGCGTTTTCTAAAGAGTAAAACAGAGTAAATCTCTTCGGCTTAACTCTGTCTCTTAATACTCTGAAATTTTGTTCTTGCAGTGAGAACAAAAAAAAAAGACAGCCAAAGGTTGGTGTCACGCAGAAGGTGAGCCCTCCCTAACTCTGGCTGCCCCAAGACGCAGTGCTGTGTCATTCCTGAAAGTTTGCTCCATTCTAGTGATTCTGGCTCCAGCTTTTTCATTGGGAAGAGGATTCTCTCCCAGAGGAAAAACTTCTCCTGCTATGCAGGCTTATTTTCTTTATATTTGTAGGACAAAAAAGTTGATGTAATAAAAAGAATATATTTGTGAAATTTTTGTGGTAATCATTTTGATATCCTTATCGATACCCCATATTGTGATGAATATGTTGGCTTCATTTTGGCAGAAGGGACATGACACTGGACATTTTGAGCCACAATTTCTCTGGGCCTTTCCATGGGATTCAGTTTCAGCCCTGGTAGGTGAAGGGAGAGCTCTTGGTGTAGGGTTTGGTCTTTATAATAAACTATGCTTTTGGGGTAGCAGGTTTATCTCTGGAAGCATGAAGCTTAGTCAGGAGTGCGACCCTCCTCCCCATTCAAAAGGTCAAGGTAGAGCAGGTTCTTGTTCAGGGCGCAGTGAGCGAGAGAAGGGAAAGTGACAGAGCATTCTTTCACCTTTTTGTGACATGCATGCATCCAAGTCTCTGGTGTTTTAAATAACTGAAACTGAGACCTAGACCCACTTATCTGTAAAGTAGAACTGTGGAGAAGGAAGCATATCATCCCCGCCACTGGAGAGATCCCTGAAGAGAGATTTGTGAGCCCCCATTTTATCGAAAATGACACAAAATTTCATCAAAATAAAGTGAAATTGTGGCTGTAGATGGGGTTTTATTTAGAGCTTTGACTCCGCATCTGCTTCCTAAGACATGGTCCTTCCCCAGGATACTACAGAATCACAGGGCTTAGACTGGAGGGGTAAGGTGTGATGGTGTTCTTCCTTTCTGGCCGATAGGATGTTTTGGATTGTATGTATTTTCCAAAGACGGCTGCAAAAGTATCTTCCATCACACTTTGTTTTCTTTAGTTTGATCCACCATTCCCTCATCAAGAGGTAAGTTCTCTCCATCCCCTTAAACATGAGCAGATCTGATATCTGCGTTAGCCAATAAAATAGGGCAGAAACGTGGTTGTGTCAGTTCTGGGCACTGCTATTAACCATCCTGCCTGCATCTGGTTCCTTCCACTTCAATGCCTGAACCATGTTAAACTCCAAGGCCATCATCTGAGCCCAGCAAACACATAGAACCCTATGAGAAATCATTAAAAATTCTTAGTTACTATTTTCAGGAATATCCTTTTCCATCCTTTCATTTTCAACTTGTATGTGTCCTTAGATCCAAAGTGAGTATCTTGTAGCCAGCATATGGTTAGAATCTTTTTATTATATCCATTGTGATAATCTCAATTCTGATTGGGGAGTTTAATCCATTTACATTTAAAGTAATTACTGATGAAGAAGGACTTACCTCTGTAATTGTGATGGTTTTATGCATGTCTTATAGCTGTTTCATCCCTTATCTTCCTCATTCCAACCTTCCTTTGTGTTTAGTCGATTTTTTTTCTAGTGATATGTTTTAATTGCCTTCTCACTTTCTTTTGTGTATATTTTATGTATATTTTCTTTGTGATTACTATGGTATTGCACATAACAATACAACTATAACAATTTTGAATTGAAACCAGTATGAAACTCTGCTTCTTTACATCTTTTTCCACCCCTCATTTTACATTATTGATGTCACAAATTACTCCTCTGCAGGCTAGCAGGCTGGAAAGTCACAATGTTGCAGTCTTCAGTCTAAAATTTGTAAACCAGGCTGGCAGATTGGAAATCTAAACTGTAGTTGCTACTGTCATCTTGAGGCAGAATTTTTTCTTCTTTGAGAAGCCTCACATTTTGCCCAAAGGCCTTCAACTGATTCAAAAAGTCCCGCCCACATTTTTGAGGGTAATTTCCTTTTCATAAAATCAACTGACATAAGATTTTAACCACAAGTGCAAAACACCATCATAGCAACATATAAATTAGTGTTTGATTAAATAACTAGACACTATGGTTTAGTAAAATTGACACATAATACCCACCACCCGGGGGTCAGCCCCCCCGCCTGGCCAGCCGCCCTGTCCGGGAGGGAGGTGGGGGGGGTGAGCCCTCCGCCCGGCCAGCTGCCCCGTCTGGGAGGTGAGGGGCGCCTCTGCCCGGCCGCCCCTACTGGGAAGTGAGGAGTCCCTCTGCCCGGCCAGCCGCCCCGTCCGGGAGGGAGGTGGGGGGGGTCGGCCCCCCGCCCGGCCAGCCGCCCTGTCCGGGAGGGAGGTGGGGGGGTCAGCCCCCCGCCTGGCCAGCCGCCCCGTCCGGGAGGGAGGTGGGGGGGTGAGCCCTCCGCCCGGCCAGCCGCCCCGTCTGGGAGGTGAGGGGCGCCTCTGCCCGGCCGCCCCTACTGGGAAGTGAGGAGCCCCTCTGCCCGGCCAGCCGCCCCGTCTGGGAGGGAGGTGGGGGGGTCGGCCCCCCGCCCGGCCAGCCGCCCCGTCCGGGAGGGAGGTGGGGGGGTCAGCCCTCCGCCCGGCCAGCCGCCCCGTCTGGGAGGTGAGGGGCGCCTCTGCCCGGCCGCCCCTACTGGGAAGTGAGGAGCCCCTCTGCCCGGCCAGCCGCCCCGTCCGGGAGGGAGGTGGGGGGGTCGGCCCCCCGCCCGGCCAGCCGCCCCGTCCGGGAGGGAGGTGGGGAGGTCAGCCCTCCGCCCGGCCAGCCGCCCCGTCCGGGAGGGAGGTGGGGATGTCGGCCCCCCGCCCGGCCAGCCGCCCCGTCCGGGAGGGAGGTGGGGGGGTCGGCCCCCCGCCCGGCCAGCCGCCCCGTCCGGGAGGGAGGTGGGGGGGTCGGCCCCCCGCCCGGCCAGCCGCCCCGTCCGGGAGGGAGGTGGGGGGAGTCAGCCCCCCCGCCCGGCCAGCCGCCCCGTCCGGGAGGTGAGGGGCGCCTCTGCCCGGCCGCCCCTACTGGGAAGTGAGGAGCCCCTCTGCCCGGCCACCACCCCGTCTGGGAGGTGTGCCCAACAGCTCATTGAGAACGGGCCAGGATGACAATGGCGGCTTTGTGGAATAGAAAGGCGGGAAAGGTGGGGAAAAGATTGAGAAATCGGATGGTTGCCGTGTCTGTGTAGAAAGAAGTAGACATGGGAGACTTTTCATTTTGTTCTGCACTAAGAAAAATTCCTCTGCCTTGGGATCCTGTTGATCTGTGACCTTACCCCCAACCCTGTGCTCTCTGAAACATGTGCTGTGTCCACTCAGGATTAAATGGATTAAGGGCGGTGCAAGATGTGCTTTGTTAAACAGATGCTTGAAGGCAGCATGCTCGTTAAGAGTCATCACCAATCCCTAATCTCAAGTAATCAGGGACACAAACACTGCGGAAGGCCGCAGGGTCCTCTGCCTAGGAAAACCAGAGACCTTTGTTCACTTGTTTATCTGCTGACCTTCCCTCCACTATTGTCCCATGACCCTGCCAAATCCCCCTCTGTGAGAAACACCCAAGAATTATCAATAAAAAAATAAATTAAAAAAAAAAAAAAAAAAAAAAAAAAAAATACCCACCACCCTAGTCCATGCTTGTGAACTTGGCACCCATTAACGTTTTCTTAAACCATACTTAGTCTCCAAATAAAAACAATTATAAAGTCATACTTTTGCTAAAGATGATACAGCTATCTTGCATCCATCTAAAAACACTAACCATTTCCTCAGAAAAAAATTCAAACTCAATGCATGATAAGCATTTTTCTCTTCGATATACTGTAACCTAAACACCATGTTTAAAAAAAGTTGAACCATCATTAATAAAAGGGAACTATTATTAGCACATTTTATGTTTTATTACAAGATGATAAGGAAAAGATGAAAACAAAGGTATTTGCTTAGTACGTGTATGGGTACATACACACAGACATAAATATCATTGTAAAAACATAAGGAAGAAATGCTTATAACATTTACTGTCTTTATTTCTGCAACTGATCACATGGTTACAGCTGGTTATTTATTTATTTATTTATTTACTTATTTATTTGATACAGGGTCTTCTTCTGTTGCCAGGCTGGAGTGCAGTGGCATTACCTTGGCTCACTGCAAACTCCACCTCCTGGGCACAAGTGATCCTTCTACCTCAACCTCCTAAGTAGCTGGGACTGCAAGCACACCACCAAGTCTGACTAATTTTTTGTATGTATTTTCAGTAGAGATGGAATTTCAGCATGTTGCCCGGGTTGGTCTCACATTCCTCGACTTAAGGAATCCACCTGCCTCAGCCTCCCAAAGTGCTGGGGTTATAGGCATGAGCCACTGTGCTGGTCACAACTAGTGTAAATAGCTTTTTTTCACTAACCATCCCATAGTCCCACTGCCTTCAGCAAGTCCGTCAGCTGATCAGGTTTCTTTTCCTGCTTGGGTGACTCATACCTTCATTCCTGAAGGGCATGGGTCATTAGTAGTCCTGCCTGACTTGGGTTGTTGTAGTTTTTATTGACTTTAATTATAGAGCAGAGTATTACTAAGAGATGCTCTAAAAGATCTCCTGTATTTCAAACATAGTCTTATTTACTGCCATTGTGTAGTAGCAGACCAATTTCCCCCTGATGACCAGGACCAATCACCCCAGAAAGTGCAGTAACTCCTTCCTTTGTCTGTTGATTCAGTAACATGAGGAGCTGAAGGGCCCGGGTGGGTGTCTTAGCTTCCAGCTCAATGGAATAATTTCTGTGTCTCCTGAGGGAGTATTCCTCCCTTTGGTAAACCTCTAGATCCTGATCCTATTCCTCGTGACTGTGCAAGACCTCCCAACCAGGGTCTCCAGTACCTCCTACAGGTGTGTTTGGGCTGGCAACAGGTCTGTACTTTCCTGAGACAGAGCTCCCAAAGGAAAAGGCAGACTACCATCTTTGCTGTTATGTAGCTTTCACTGGTGATATCTCCAGTTACTGGAAAATCTGAGGCAACTGGGGACTGGAGCAGGCCCTCAGCAAACTGCAGCAGCCCTACAGAAAAGTGGTCAGACTATTGAAAGAGAAAACAAAAGAAGAGAAAAACAAAACCCATTCATAGATCAGCAACCTCAAAGAATGAAGATAGATAAGCCCACTAAGATGAGAATCAGCACAACAATGCTGAAAACTCAAAAAGCCAGCAAGGGTTTGGAACCAGGCTAAAGCTGAGATGACTGAAAGAGCAGAAGTAGAATTCAGAATATGGAGAGGGAAGAAGTTCACTGTGCTAAAGGAGTACAGTGTGACCCAATCCAAGGAAGCTAAAAATAATGATAAAACATTGCAGGAGCTGACAGACAAAACAGCCAGTATTATAGAAGAATGAAACCAACCTGATAAAGCTGAAAAACACACTAAAAGAATTTCATAGTGCACTCACAAGTATTAACAGCAGAATAGAACAAGTGGAGGAAAGACTCTCAGTGCTTGAAGACTGGCTTTCTAAAATAAGACAGGAAGACAAGAATAGAGAAAACAGAATGAAAAGGAACAAACAAAACCTCTGAGAAACATCAGATTATGTAAAGAAACTGAATCCATGAATTATTGGTATACCTGAAAGAGATGGGAATAATGGAATCAATTTGGAACACACTTCAAGATATCATCCATGAGAACTTTCCCAACCTAGCTAGACAGACCAACATTCAAATTCAGAAATGCAGAGGACACTAGTAAGTTACTCCATGAGAAGATCATCCCCAAGATACAATCATCAGATTCTCCATGGTTGAAATGAAAGAAAGAACGTTAAGGGCAGTCAGAGAGAAAGGCCAGGTCACCTACAAAGGGAAGCCCATTAGACTAACAGTGGACCTCCAAGTGGAAACCCTACACACCAGAAGAGATTGAGGGCCAGTATTGAACATTGTTAAAGAAAAGAATTTCCAACCCACAATTTCATATCCAGCCAAACTAAGCTTCATAAGCAAAAAAGAAATAAAATTCTTTTCAGACAAACAAATGCCAAGGGAATTCATTACCATCAGACCTGCATTACAAGAACTCCTAAAAGAAGCACTAAATATGGAAAGGAAAGACAGTTACCAGCCACTACAAAAACAAGCTGAAGTACATAGACCAGTGACGCAATAAAGCAACCACATAAGCAAGTCTGCAAAGTAACCAGCTAACACCATGATGACAGGATCAAATCCATACATATCAATACTAACCTTAAATGTAAATGGGCTAAATGCCACATTTAAAAGACACAGAAGGGCAAGCTGGATAAAGAACCAAGACCTATCAGTATGCTGCCTACAATACACTCATCTTACATTCAATGACACACATAGGCACAAAATAAAGAGATGGAGGAAAATTTTCCAAGCAAATGGAAAGCGGAAGAAAGCCAGGGTTGCAATCCTAGTTTCTGACAACACAGACTTTAAACCAAGAAAGATAAAAAAAGATAAAGGTGGGCATTACATAATGGTAAAGGGTTCAATTCAATGAAGAGATCTAACTATCCTAAATATGTATGCATCCAATAGAGGAACACCCAGATTTATAAGGCAGGTTCTTAGAGACCGTCAAAGAGATTTAGAACCTCACACAGTAGAAGTGGTGGACTTTAATACCCCACTGACAATATTAGACAGATCATCAAGACAGAAAATTAACAAAGATATTCAGGACCTGAATTCAGCCCTGGAGCAAATGGACCTGATAGATATTTACAGAACTCCGGACCCCAGAACAACAGAATATACATTTTTCTCATTGCCACATGGCGCTTACTCTAAAATCAATCACACAATCAGAAGTAAAACACTCCTCAGCAAATGCAAAAGAACTGAAATCATAACAAATAGTCTCTCAGACTACAGTGCAATCAAATTCAAAATCAAGAATAAGAAATTCACTAAAACCATATAATTACTTAGAAATTAAATAACCTGTTCTTGAATGACTTTTAGTAAATAATGAAATTAAGGTAGAAATCAAGAAGTTCTTTGAAACTAATGAGAAAAAAGATACAATGAACCAGAACCTCTGGGAAACAGCTAAGGCAGTGTTAAGAGGGAAATTTATAGCAGTAAATGCCCACATCAAAAAGTTAGAAAGATCTCAAGTCAACAACCTAAAATCAAACCTATAAGAACTTAAGAATGAAGAGCAAACATATCCCGAAGCTAGCAGAAGACAAGAAATAACAAAAAAAAATTAACAAAAGTATTGTCTCCTGAAGGAGACAGAGACACAAAAAACCATTTGAAGGATCAATAAATTCAGGAGGTTTTTTAAAAGAAATTAATAAAATAGACCACTAGCTAAGCTAATAAAGAAGAAAAGAGAGAAAATTCCAATAAACACAATCAGAAACAATAAGAGGAACATTACCTCTGACCCCACAGAAATACAAGCAACCACCAGAAAATATTATGAACACTTCTATGCGCATAAACTAGAAAATCTAGAAGAAATGGATAAATTCCTGGACACATACACCGCCCCCAAGACTGAACCAGGAAGAAATGCAATCTCTGAAAAAATAATGAGTTCTGAACTTGAGGCAGTAATGAAGAGCCTACCAAAAAAAAAAAAAAAAAGTGCAGGACCAGATGATTGACAGGTGAATTCTACTGGATGTACAAAGAAGAGATGGTACCATTCCTATTGAAACTATTCCCAAAAAATGAGGAGGAGAGACTCCTCCCTAACTCATTCTATTAGGCCAGCATCATCCTGATACCAAAATGTGGCAGAGATACAACAACAACAAACAAGAGAAAACATCAGGCCAGTATTCTTGATGAACATTAATGCAAAAATCTCCAACAAAATGCTGGCAAACCGAATCCTGCAGCACATCAAAAACCTTATCCATCACAATCAAGTAGGCTTCATCGCCAGGATGCAAGGTTAGTTCAACATATGCAAATCAATAAATGTGATTCATCACATAAACAGAACTAAAGACAAAAACTACATGATTGTCTCAGTTGATGAAGAAAAGGCTTTTCATAAAATTCAAACTCTATTCATGTTTTTAAAAAAACTCTCAATAAACTAGGTGTTCAAGGAATATACCTCAAAACAATAAAAGCCATCTATGACAAACCCACAGCCAACTTCATACTGAATGGGCAAAACTAGAAGCATTCTCCTTGAAATCAGCACAAGACAAGGATGCCTTCTCTCACTGCTCCTGTTCAACACAGTATTGGAAATTCTGACCAGGGCAATCAGGCAAGTGAAATTAAAAAAAAAAAAAAAAAAGAAGGATGTTCAAATAGGAAGAGAGGAATTCAAATGATTCCTGTTTGCAGATGACATGATTCTATAACTAGAAAAACCCATAGCCTCAGTCCAAAAGCTTCTTAAGCTGATAAACAACTTCAGCAAATTCTCAAGATACAAAATCAACGTGCAAAAATTACTAGCATTTCTACACACCGACAACAGGCAAGCCAAGAGCCAAAGCAGGAATGAACTCCCACTCACAATTGCCACAAAAGGAATACAATACCTAGGAATAATGCTAATTTGGGAGGTAAAAGATGTCTGCAAAGAGAACTACTGGTCCCAAAAAGTGTGCATTAATGTTAGCAGTAGCTATGATAGGCTGGGTGGAATGCCCATAGGTGGTGTTTGCAGGTAGGTGACAGCTAAGGTGATAGCACCCAACCTCAGTTACCCAGGAGGAGTTCTCAGGTGTCCACAGTGGTGGATTGGGTTGAGCAATTCCCAGGACCCTGGGCTGTGTTCTCTGTCTCAGTGGAAAAAGGAAATGAAGCTGTCTTTTCATCATTAAATGCTGTGCCAACTAGTCCCTTAATTTTCTTTTTGCCTGAAGGACTGAAAAACATTTATTATAGTTTAGATCTGCTAGTTATAACTTTTTTCACTCCCTATATAACTAAAATCTATTTTTCGATAGCTATATTCATGGTATGTTAATTGGTTAATTAGTTTGATTTAATCATTACACATGGTATACATATATCAGTACATCACAAAACATCTCATGAATGTATTATGATTTGTCAATTTAAATTATACATATATATGTTTTAGAAAGGTATTATTTTCTGGGAATAGAATCTAGTTTCACAGTATTTTCCTTTTAGGACTTTAAAGATGTTGCTCATCTGTCTTCTCATTTGCATTGTTTCCAGTGAAATAACGGCTGTCATCTTTATTATTATTCTCATGTCTTTTTTTTTACTTTCTGCTTATTCATTTTTCTCTCCTTCTGTTTTCAACAAATACATGTTTTTTTCACCCACAGTTATAGAATGAACTTGAGCAACAATCTATAGGAATGGCTTTTTGACTGTTGGTTGAAAATTTTTAGAAACAGTTGTTTGTTCCTTGTTTTATTAGGACAAAGGCTAATTTCCTCAGAATATTCTTAAATTGAAGAATGTCATAATTAATTTTATTTGTCATCTTGGCTGAACCACAATGCCCAGATAGGTGATCAAGCATTATTCTGGATGATTTGTGAGAATGTTTCTTGGATAACATTAATGCAAAATAACTAGACTTTGAGTAAAGTAGATTGATCTCTGTAATGTGGGTGGGCTTCATTCAATTCATTGAAGGTGTAAATTAAACAAAACATTGACCTTCTCTGAGCAAGATGGAACTCTGCAGCAGAAAGCGCTGGGATTTGAACTGCAATATCCGTCAACTGATCTCAAACAGCTGGTTGGTTTGTGTACAGCATTTGGAAGATGAATGGACAACATCCTGTTTGGAAGTCCACCGCTTTGATCGAAGAAGATAAAAACAGAACAACTCTTGTGGGCTGAATTGCAGGATGTTTCTCAGCAGTGGTGGAAGAATTGAACAATAATAAAGCTCCTATGTTTTAGTTTTTATTGACTTACAGGCAGTGACTAATGGCCTGGCCATATAATTAATCAGGAAAGCAAAGGAAAACTTGCCGATGAAAAGAGTGCCCAAATGAGACACAGTCCTATGGAAATCACGATGGTAATTTGAGAGGTTCATTAATGTAAGACACGTTGATGCCTGATATAGAGTGGATGTTGTTCTTGCCCGAATCTCATGTTGGATGGAATCCCCAGCATTAGAGGTGGGACCTGCAGGGAGATGATTGGATCACGGGGGCAGTTTCTCATGAATGGTTTAGCACCGTCCCCTCAGTGCCCATCAATGCCCATCAGAATAACTCCCTTCCAGGTTTGGAAGGTGATTGAAATAAACAAGCATTTATCTCCAAGTGTTTGCCAGGTGCACCTGTAATTCCAGCTATGAGAGCAGCTGAGGCAGAAGGATATCTTGAGTCCAGGAGTTAGAGTTTGGCCTGAGCAGCATTTGAGTTCAGCCAGAGAAAGATATCAAGACCACATCTAACAAAAATCCACGTTTGCTTGCGGTGATCACCTAGGTCCATGAAGTAAGTAGACACTGGGGCTGTAGCAATGCAGAGAGAGGTGGAATCAAGGCATATTCCTCTTGCATTCCCCACGTCACAGGCATAAAATACATATAAGTGTTTTCTTTAACAAAAAAAAAAAAGAGAGAGAGACAGAGATAGCATATGGCTATGTGGCAGATTCTCTTATGGGAAGATCTTGAAAATACAGAGCTGGCAAGTTACACTGATACCAGTAGACCCAGGAAGCAGCAAATGGGTCTTGGCAGCAATAGATATGCACCCTGGAGCTGGGCATTGCTCAGCTGGTGGTAGATGTGCTACCAAACTGAACTGGAGTCCACTCACCTGGGGCAGTAAAAACAAACATCCATACTGAGATTTTGTAGTGAGAGAAAGGAGGGCATTTATTTGTAGGGTGCCAAGCAAGGAGAATCAGCTAGCTTACAGTTAAGACCCAACCTTCTCAATGGCTCACAAGCAAGGTTTCTTAAAGACAGGGGTAAATTTCAGGAAAGCAGAGTTACAGGCAACATCATAAATCAATGCATAGAAGTTACACACTGGTTTGGCCTTAAAAGGAGGAATATCCTGATGAGGGAGCTTACAAGTCGTAGATAGAGATAAAAGATTCTCTGATTTGCGATTCATAAGGAAGCAAAGCTTCCTTACACAGTTGGGGGCAGTAGAGAGGAATGTTCAGGCCTGGCCTGTGGGCTTTACTCTCTCCAGGCCCCTCAGGAAGAAATTTAGAACAAAGAACAGTGGTCAGAGTTCAGTCCTCAGTTTCCCCTTATCTGAGGTCAGTGGATCTATTAGGTGGGAATCCGAGTTTCTGAAAAACAACTCAGGGACATATGTTAAGATGTTCTCTTTAGTTTCCATAGAGAATCCAACATCTTGTGACTCTAACTTCCTTGGCTATCGTTTTAAGCTATCATTACCTTCTTGTTTATAAGGTCACTCACTTAATTTTTAGGGCTGGCTAGGTGCCTGGAATTTCTTTTGAAGGAACTGAAGGTTTTTCTTTATTTCCATGTTGGGAGGCCCTGGCAGGCTTCTAAGAGAGGTCCCTGCTTTATCTCAGATGCAAATGCTTGGAGTGCTACTAAGAGCTTGAATGGGAGGTACTGCAACCATGTGGACCACTGAGTCACATTTCTTTACACCAGAAAATGCGCTTGCTCAAAATGTCAGAAAGACATCCTTCTCAGAGGAAGAGTTCCATAGAGAATTAAAATATTCCATTGAAACATTGGTTGTATAAAGCAAGAGTGGGGAAACAAGCATGAAGGGTGGGCTTACACACCTTCATGAGTGTGCTTACACTTGATATGAAAGTATCCTCTCTTTTCCTTGTGGATCAGGGGAAGGTGCTGGTGTGATCTATATACAATCCTTCCCAAGGTGGGAGGACACTGGAATGATGACTGTACTTTACCTCAACTTGCTTTTCTCATACCTGATGCAGTAGTCTCAGGACTAGGGATGCAAATAAAAGTCCAGAAACAGGAATTATTCCTAAGCAAGAAACTGTAAATATATTTTGTGTCCATTATGTAATGATTCCTAAGGGTCTGGAGAAGTAGGTTGTGCCTTCACTGCATCTGGCAAAGTTGGGGTTAACACTGAATGCAGCTGTATTGCCTAGGGTCAGATAGCCAACCAGTTCTCTACTGCATAACCCTACCCTCTATGAACTGGAATGGATGATGCAAGACAATTGCTAGAACAGTATTGGTCCCTGCAGTCTAGGTCAGCACAGCAGCAGAACCTCATGTCCCTTCCATAACTAGAAATGTTTGGTATAAATGAAGAGAAGGAGAAATAGTAGCTGAGGGTAAATGAATGAATAAATGGGTTATGCAATGAGGAAAATCCAATGTTACATGAACTACTCAAAAGAGATATAAGCAAGAGATGATATTGTCTCTTAACTCAATTTTACCAAATGCCTGAACGGGTGCAGCCATATGTTGCTGAGACTACTCCTGTTTTTGGGCTGCAACGGGACAATTTTTTTTATTATACTTTAAGTTCTAGGGTACATGTGCACAACATGCAGGTTGGTTACCTATGTGTACATGTGCCATGTCGGTGTGCTGCACCCATTAACTCGTCATTTGCATTAGGTATTTCTCCTAATGCTATCCCTCCCCCCTGTCCCCACCCCATGACAGGCCCTGGTGTGTGATGTTCCCCACCCTGAGTTCAAGTGTTCTGATTGTTCAATTCCCACCTATGAGTGAGAACATGCGGTGTTTGGTTTTCTATCCTTGTAATAGTTTGCTCAGAATGATGGTTTCCAGCTTCATCCACGTCCCTGCAAAGGACATGAACTCATCCTTTTTTATGGCTGCATAGTATTCCATGGTGTATTTGTGACACATTTTCTTTTTTTCTTTTCTTTTTTTTTTTTTTTTTTGAGATGGAGTCTTGCTCTGTCGCCCAGGCTGGAGTGCAGTGGCGCAATCTCGCTCACTGCAAGCTCTGCCTCCTGGGTTCATGCCATTCTCCTGCCTCAGCCTCCCAAGTAGCTGGGACTATAGGCACCCGCCACCATGACCAGCTAATTTTTTTGTATTTTTAGTAGAGACGGGGTTTCACTGTATTAGGCAGGATGGTCTCGATCTCCTGACCTCGTGATCCACCCACCTCAGTCTCCCAAAGTGCTGGGATTACAAGTGTGAGCCACTGCACCCGGCTTATGTGCCACATTTTCTTAATCCAGTCTATCACTGATGGACATTTGGGTTGGTTCCAAGTATTTGCTATTGTGAATAGTGCAGTAAACATACATGTGCATTTATAGTAGCATGATTTATAATCCTTTGGGTATATACCCAGTAATGGGATGGCTGGGTCAAATGGTATTTCTAGTTCTAGATCCTTGAGGAATTGCCACACTGTCTTCCACAGTGGTTGAACTAGCTTACACTCCCACCAACAGTGTAAAAGTGTTCCTATTTCTCCATATCCTCTCCAGCACCTGTGGTTTCCTGACTTTTTAATGATTGCCATTCTAACTGGTGTGAGATAGTATCTCCTTTTGGTTTTGATTTGCATTTCTTTGATGACCAGTGATGATGAGCATTTTTTCATGTGTCTGTTGGCTGCATAGATGTCTTCTTTTGAGAAGTGTCTGTTCATATCCTTTGCCTACTTTTTGATGGGGTTGTTTGATTTTTTCTTGTAAATTTGTTTAAGTTCTTTGTAGATTCTGGATATTAGTCCTTTGTCAGATGGGTAGATTACAAAAATTTTCTCCCATTCTGTAGGTTGCCTTTTCACTCTGATGGTAGTTTCTTTTGCTGTGCAGAAGCTCTTTAGTTTAATTAGATCCCATTTGTCAATTTTGGCTTTTGTTGCCATTGCTTTTGGTGTTTCAGTCATGAAGTCCTTGCCCATGTCTATGTCCTGAATGGTATTGCCTAGGTTTTCTTCTAGGGTTTTTATGGTTTTAGGTCTAACATTTAAGTCTTTAATCCATCTTGAATTAATTTTTGTATAAGGTATAAGGAAGGGATCCAGTTTCAGCTTTCTACTATGGCTAGCCAGTTTTCCCAGCACCATTTATTAAATAGGGAATCCTTTCCCCATTTCTTGTTTTTGTCAGGTTTGTCAAAGATCAGATACTTGTAGATGTGTGATATTATTTCTGAGGGCTCTGTTCTGTTCCATTGGTCTATATCTCTGTTTTGGTTCCAGTACCATGCTGTTTTTGTTACTGTAGACTTGTAATATAGTTTGAAGTCAGGTAGTGTGATGCCTCCAGCTTTGTTCTTTTGGCTTAGGATTGTCTTGGCAATGCAGGTTCTTTTTTGGTTCCATATGAACTTTAAAGTAGTTTTCTCCAATTCTGTGAAGAAAGTCATTGGTAGGTTGATGGGGATGGCATTGAATCTATAAATTACCATGGGCAGTATGGCCATTTTCACAACATTGATTCTTCCTATTCATGAGCATGGAATGTTCTTCCATTTGTTTATGTCCTCTTTTATTTCGTTGAGTAGTGGTTTGTAGTTCTCCTTGAAGAGGTCCTTCACATCCCTTGTAAGTTTTATTCCTAGGTATTTTATTCTCTTTGAAGCAATTGTGAATGGGAGTTCACTCATGATTTGGCTCTCTGTTTGTCTGTTATTGGTGTATAGGAATACTTGTGATTTTTGCACATTGATTTTGTATCCTGAGACTTTGCTGAAGTTGCTTATCAGCTTAAGGAGATTTTGGGCTGAGATGATGGGGTTTTCTAAACATCCAATCATGTCATCTGCAAACAGGGACAATTTGACTTCCTCTTTTCCTAATTGAATACCCTTTATTTCTTTCTCTTGTCTGATTGCCCTGGCCAGAATTTCCAACACTATGTTGAGTAGGAGTGGTGAGAGAGGGCATCCCTGTCTTGTGCCAGTTTTCAAAGGGAATGCTTCCAGTTTTTGCCCATTCAGTATGATATTGGCTGTGGGTTTGTCATAAATAGCTCTTATTATTTTGAGATATGTCCCATCAATACCTAGTTTATTGAGAGTTTTTGGCATGAAGGGCTGTGGAATTTTGTTGAAGGCATTTTCTGCATCTATTGAAATAATCATGTGGTTTTTGTCTTTGGTTCTGTTTATATGCTGGATTACGTTTATTGATTTGTGTATGTTGAACCAGCCTTGCATCCCAGGGATGAAGCCCACTTGATCATGGTGGATAACCTTTTTGATGTGCTGCTGGATTCGGTTTGCCAGTGTTTTATTGAGGATTTTTGCATCCATGTTCATCAGGGATATTGGTCTAAAATTCTCTTTTTTTTTGTTGTGTCTCTGCCAGGCTTTGGTATCAGGATGATGCCAACCTCATAAAATAAGTTAGGGAGGATTCCCTCGTTTTCTATTGATTGGAATAGTTTCAGAAGGAATGGTACCAGCTCCTCTTTGTACCTCTGTTAGAATTCGGCTGTGAATCCATCTGGTCCTGGACTTTTTTGGGTTGGTAGGCTATTAATTATTGCCTCAATTTCAGAGCCTATTATTGGTCTATTCAGGGATTCAACTTCTTCCTGGTTTAGTCTTGGGAGGGTGTATGTGTCCAGGAATTTATCCATTTCTTCTAGATTTTCTAGATTATTTGCATAGAGATATTTACAGTATTCTCTGATGGTAGTTTGTATTTCTGTGGGATCGGTGGTGATATCCCCTTTATCATTTTTTATTGTGTCTATTTGATTCTTCTCTCTTTTTTTCTTTATTAGTCTTGCTAATGGTCTATCAATTTTGTTGATCTTTCCAAAAAACCAGCTGCTGGATTCATTGATTTTTTGAAGGGTTTTTTGTGTCTCTATCTTCTTCAGTTCTGCTCTAATCTTAGTTATTTCTTGTCTTCTGCTAGCTTTTGAATGTGATTGCTCTTGCTTCTCCAGTTCTTTTAATTGTGATGTTAGGCTGTCGATTTTAGATCTTTCCTGCTTTTTCTTGCAGGCATTTAGTGCTACAAATTTCCCTCTACACACTGCTTTAAATGTGTCCCAGAGATTCTGGTATGTTGTGTCTTTGTTCTCATTGGTTTCAAAGAATATCTTTATTTCTACCTTCATTTCGTTATGTACCCAGTAGTCATTCAGGAGCAGGTTGTTCAGTTTCCATGTAGTTGAGTGGTTTTGAGTGAGTTTCTTAATCCTGAGTTCTAATTTGATTGCACTGTGGTCTGAGAGACAGTTTGTTATAATTTCTATTCTTTTACATCTGCTAAGGAGTGCTTTACTTCCAACTATGTGGTCAATTTTGGAATAAGTGCGATGTGGTGCTGAGAAGAAGGTATTTTCTGTTGATTTGGGGTGGAGAGTTCTGTCGATGTCTATTAGGTCTGCCTGGTGCAGAGCTGAGTTCAAGTCCTGGATATCCTTGTTAACTTTCTGTCTCGTTGATCTGTCTAATGTTGACAGTGGGGTGTTAAAGTCTCCCATTATTATTGTGTGGGAGTCTAAGTCTTTTTGTAGGTCTCTAAGGACTTGCTTTATGAATCTGGGTGCTCCTGTATTGGGTGCATATATATTTAGGATAGTTAGCTCTTCCTGTTGAATTGATTCCTTTACCATTATGTAATGGCCTTCTTTGTCTCTTTTGATGTTTGTTGGTTTAAAGTCTGTTTTATCAGAGACTAGGATTGCAACCCCTGCTTTTTTTGTTTTCCATTTGCTTGGTAGATCTTCCTCCATTCCTTTATTTTGAGCCTATGTGTGTCTCTGCACATGAGATGGGTTTCCTGAATACAGCACACTGATGGGTCTTGACTCTTTATCCAATTTGCCAGTCTGTGTCTTCTAATTGGGACATTTAGCCCATTTACATTTAAGGTTAATATTGTTATGTGTGAATTTGACCCTATCGTTATGATGTTAGCTGGTTATTTTGCCTGTTAGTTGATGCAGTTTCTTCCTAGCATCGATAGTCTTTACAATTTGGCATATTTTTGCAGTGGCTGGTACTGGTTGTTCCTTTCCATGTTAGTGCTTCCTTCAGGAGCTCTTGTAAGGCAGGCCTGGTGGTGACAAAACCTCTCAGCATTTGCTTGTCTGTAAAGGCTCTTATTTCTCCTTTACTTATGAAGCTTAGTTTGGCTGGATATGAAATTCTGGGTTGAAAATTCTTTTCTTTAAGAATGTTGAATATTGGCCCCCACTCGCTTCTGGCTTGTAGAGTTTCTGCCAAGAGATCCACTGTTAGTCTGATGGGCTTCCCTTTGTGGGTAACCTGACCTTTCTCTCTGGCTGCCCTTAACATTTTTTCCTTCATTTCAACCTTATTGAATCTGACAATTATATGTCTTTGGGTTGCTCTTCTTGAGGAGTATCTTTGTGGTGTTCTCTGTATTTCACAAATTTGAAGTTTGGCCTGCCTTGCTAGGTTGGGGAAGTTCTCCTGGATAATATCCTGAAGAGTGTTTTCCAACTTGGTTCCATTCTCTC
Organism: Homo sapiens; assembly: GCF_000001405.40. Taxonomy (NCBI): domain Eukaryota; kingdom Metazoa; phylum Chordata; class Mammalia; order Primates; family Hominidae; genus Homo; species Homo sapiens. The sequence continues at coordinate 31,259,099 of NC_000006.12, forward strand.
GGTCATTTTCAGGTACACCAATCAAATGTAGATTTGGTCTTTTCACATAGTCCCATATTTCTTGGAGGCTTTGTTCATTTCTTTTTACTCTTTTTTCTCTCAACTTCTCTGCTCGCTTCATTTCATTCATTTGATCTTCAATCACCGATACCCTTTCTTCCACTTGATCGAATTGGTTACTGAAGCTTGTGCATGCGTCATGTAGTTCTCATGCCATGGTTTTCAGCTCCATCAGGTCATTTAAGGTCTTCTCTATGCTGTTTATTGTAGTTAACCATTCATCTAATCTTTTTTCAAGGTTTTTAGCTTCCTTGCAATGGGTTCGAACATCCTCCTTTAGCTCGGAGAAGTTTGTTATTACCAATCTTCTGAAGCCTATTTCTGTCAGCTTGTCAAAGTCATTCTCCATCCAGCTTTGTTCCATTGCTAGGGAGGAGTTGCGATCTTTTGGAGGAGAACAGGTGCTCTGATTTTTAGAATTTTTAGCTTTTCTGCTCTGGTTTCTCCCCATCTTTGTGGTTTTATCTACCTTTGGTCTTTGATGATGGTGACCTACAGATGGGGTTTTGGTGTAGATGTCCTTTTTGTTGATGTTATTCTTTCTGTTTGTTAGTTTTCCTTCTAACAGTCAGGACCCTCAGCTGCAGGTCTATTGGAGTTTGCTGGAGGTCCACTCCAGACCCTGTTTGCCTGGGTAACACCAGCAGAGGCTGCAGAACAGCAAATATTGCAGAACAGCAAATGTTGCTGCCTGATCCTTCCTCTGGAAGTTTCGTCTCAGAGGGGCACCCGGCCGTATGAGGTGTCATTCGGTCCCTACTGGGAGGTGTCTCCCAGGTAGGCTACTCAGAGGTCAGCGACGCACTTGAGGAGGCAATCTGTCCGTTCTCAGATCTCAAACTCCATGCTGGTAGAACCACTGCTCTCTTCAAAGCTGTCAGACTGGGACATTTAAGTCTGCAGAAGTTTCTGCTGCCTTTTGTTCAGCTATGCCCTGCCCCCAGAGGTGGAGTCTACAGAGGCAGGCAGGCCTTGTTGAGCTGCAGTGGGCTCCACCTAGTTTGAGCTTCCTGCCACTTTGTTTACCTAGTCAAGCCTCAGCAATGGCAGACGCCCCTCCCCCAGCCTCACTGTCACCTCCCAGTTCAATTTTGGACTGCTGTGTTAGCAGTGAGCAAGGCTCCATGGGTGTGAGACCCACTGAGCCAGGCGTGGGATATAATCTCCTAGTGTGCCATTCACTACAACTGTTGGAAAAGCACAGTATTAGGGTGGGAGTGTCCCGATTTTCCAGGTACAATCTCTCATGTTTTCCCTTGGCTAGGAAAGGGAATTCCCCGAGCCCTTGTGCTTCCCTGGTGAGGCAATGCCTTGCCCTGCTTCAGCTCACACTCTGTGGGCAGCACCCACTGTGTGACAAGTCCCAATGAGATGAACCCAGTACCTCAGTTAGAAATGCAGAAATCACCCGTCTTCTGCACCGCTCACGCTGGGAGCTGTAGACTGGAGCGGTTCCTATTTGGTTATCTTGGAATGATCTCCCCTGGGATAATTGTTCATGACCAAAAAGGATTCTGGTAATGTACCAGGATCTTCTCACTGTTATGATTCTTCTGGTATAGGAGATCTGTGATTGGCCAGGCACAGTGGCTCAGACTTGTAATTCCATCAGTTTCGGAGGCCATGGTAGGAGGATTGTTTAAGGCCAGGAGTTTGAGACCAACCAGGGCAAAATAGTGAGACCCCATTCCTACAAAATCTTTAAAAAATTAGTTGGGCATGCTGGTGTGCACCTGTAATGCTATTGCTCAGGAGGCTGAGGCAGGAGGATAACTTGAGCCCAGGAATTCAAGGTTACAATGAGCTATGATTGTGCCACTGCATTCTACCCTGGGCAACAGAGCAAGACCTTGTCTCTGAAATAAATAAATATTATAAAAAGAGATAATGTGGTCAAAGACCAGGGTGTGATCTGTGGCCCAATCAAAATATTTGGTCTTTTTCCCTGTTTCCTGACAAGCAGGTTCCAAAACATTTGCAATCTCCTCAGTGATAAGTATGACTTTAATATGCCAATGAGATGACTATGGGGTGAGGGGCTCCTAAATAGCTTCAGGATGGGGGCTGGTTGCCAGAAACATGAAGCTGTGATTAGAGGATTGGAACTTTCAGCACCATCTCTTACCTCTGAGAAGCAAAGAGGGGCTGGAAGTTGAGTTCAGTCACCAGTGGCCATTGATTTAATTAATCTTGCGTACACAATGAAACTTCCATAGAAACCTCTAGAGATTGGGTTTCGGAGAGCTTCCCAACTGGTGAGTACATCCGTGTGTCCATGTGCTGGGAGGATGGTGAACCTCATCTCCATGGGGACAGAGGCTCCTGTGCTCAGAGCCCTTCCAGGCCTCACCCTATGCACCTCTTCATCTGGCTGCTCATTTGTACCCTTTATAACTGCTATGGTTTGAATGTTTCCCTAGAAAAGCATCTGTTGGATAATTCATCCTGAATGCAACATTTTTAAGAGGTGGGACCTTCGAGAGGTGATTGGACCATCAGAGCTCTGCCCCCATTAATGAATTAAGTCTGATCATAAAAGGACCTGAGGCTGTGAGTTTGACCTCTTATTCCCCCTACCTCTCACCCTCTCTTGCCCTTTTGCTTTCTACCAGGTACAGTCCTTGGTCTTGGAATTCCCATCCTCAACAACCATGAACAAAATAAATTTCTGTTCATTTTAAGTTATCCAGTCTCAGGTGTTCTACTATAGTGGCATAATTTAAACCAAGAGTCTGTAACCCCCGGCTGTGGACTGGTACAGGTTCCTGGCTTGGCAGGAACCAGACCGCACAGCAGGTCACTAGTGGGTGAGAGAGCATGAGCATGACCACCTGAGCTCCGCCTCCTGTCAGATCAGTGGCGGAATTAGATTCTCATAAGAGCATGAACCCTATTGTGAACTCTGCATGCGAGGGATCTAGGTTGCATGCTCCATATGAAACAGTAATGCCTGATCATCTGAGGTGGAACAGTTTCATCCTCAATGCATTCCCCCCTATTCCCTGCTACCTCTGCTGGTCCATGGAAAAATTGTCTTCCATGAAATTGGTCCCTGGTGCCAAAAAGTTGGGGACCACTGATTTAAGCTATAACAATAATAAACTACGATACTGAGTGTGAAAGAAAAATAAAATTTAGGGACACCAAATTCACTATACCAAAGGGACAAGTTAAGTTTGGTAACTGAGTGATGGAAAAACTGCCTTTCTTTTGTTCCTAAACAAATAACTGCAAAGATTGAGGACCACATATCTCCCCAGGTGGCCTCCCTCACAAATTGTTCACAAGATAATTCCTTGTGGGCCCCAACATCTTTACTCTAAAACAGAGTTTTGTTGAATTTCACCCTAACAATGTAAATTAACAGCTTATCTTCACAGGTACAGGACAAAGACAAGACCAGAAATCATCCCTCCACTCGCCTGGAGACAAATGTGTATTTGACTTCTCTACCCAACATTTACTTTGTCTTATGTAAAATGCAGATTTACTGAGCACTCGATGAAAGCATAGTTGCCTGTTCCTTTTTCCTCTCCTGCCTGCTCTTTCTCCTGTAAATATTGAAGTCCTCAAAACCCTCTTAGTAAAAAGCATGGGCCACAGATGCTACAATAATTTGTGTCTCTGTTTCCAAGGTACATCTTCAGCTTGGCAAAATAAACTTCTAAACTGATTGATACCTGTCTCAGATGTTTTTTGGTTTACATGGCTATAGGAACTTCCTGAGTTCTTTGAGTTAGTTTAAGAATTCCCAAACCTTGGGAGGTGAGAAACCCCTGACTTTGCAGCCATGATAGACAGAAGTGCAGGTAACCTGGAACCCAATAACTTGTGACTTGCATCTGAAGTGAGGACAGACTTGTGGGACTGAGTCCTTAAACCTGTGGAGTCTGAGGCTAACTCCAGGTAGTTAGTGTCAGAATTGAGTCAAATTCTAGGACTCCCAGTTGCTGTTGGAGAATCAGAAAATTATTTGGCTGGAGGAAAACCCCATCACCATCCCACAGAGAGAAACTTACAGTATATTGGGGGAACCCACCCCCAATATTTCAACGTAGGTTCTTTCTATTTTCCATAAGTGTCAGCCAGCTGAGAAATAAAGAAAGACAGTACAAAGAGAGGAATTTTACAGTTGGGCCACCAGGGGTGACATCACATATCAGTAGGACTGTGATGTCCGCTTGAGTCTCAGACAAACAAGTTTTTGTTAAGGGTTTCAAAAGGGGAGGGGGTGTAAGAACAAGGAGTAGGTAAAAAATCACACGCTTCTGAGTGCAAAAAGCAGAACTACTAATAGGGGTCTAACAAAGATCACATGCTTCTGAGGGAACAAGACAAAGGGCAAAAGCAGAACCACTGATAAGGGTCTATGTTTAGCAGTGCACGTATTGTCTTGGTAAACATCTTAAACAACAGAAAACAGGGTTTGAGAGCAGAGAAGTGGTCTGACCACAAGTTTACCAGGGCAGAGTTTTTCCCCACCCTAGTAAGCCTGAGGGTTCTGCAAGAGACCAGGGCATATCTCAGTCCTTATCTCAACTGCATAAGACAGACATTCCCAGAGCAGCCGTTTATAGACCTCCCCCAGGAATGAATTCTTTCCCCAGTGTATTAATATTAATATTCCTTGCTAGGAAAAAAATTTAGTGATATCTCTCCTACTTGCACGTCTGTTTATAGGCTCTGGGCAAGAAGAAAAAATATGGCTCTTTTTGCCCAACCTCGCAGGCAGTCAGACCTTATGGTTGTCTTTCCTTGTTCCATAAAAATTGCTGTTATTCTCTTCTTTTTCAAGGTGCACTGATTTCATATTGTTCAAACACACGTTTTACAATCAAATTGTAACACAATTATCACAGTGGTCCTAAGGTGATGTACATCCTCAGCTTATGAAGATAACAGGATTAAGAGATTAAAGTAAAGACAGGCATAAGAAATTATAAAAGTATTATTTGGGAACTGTTAAATGTCCATATTAAAATGAAATCTTCACAATTTATGTTCCTCTGCCGCAGCTCCAGCCAGTCCCTCCGTTCAGGGTCCTTGACTTCCCGCAACAACAGTAAGAGTAAGCAAGTAAACCTCTACCTTCTTCGGTCCCAGAGGAAAAGATAAAAAAAAATTAAGCATTTATTTCATGTCCCTAAGTCTGCTAAACACAGGTTTCTACCAGCTATTCATTGTCCAGACATGGAGTGGCCCTACCTCTAACCTAGAAGTTAGGATTTTTTAGGCCTTTGAGGGGGTCACATAAAAACTAATAAGTGTCAGAGATTCTCTCCCCAGAAATATTTCCACACACAAGAAAATATAAATATTAATATAAAACATCAGTGTGCAACCAGATCCTCTGAGATCTTACAAACCTGGGTGTTTTAATCCTAGTAAGAGACAATGCCAAGCACACAATGCCACTCCAATAATCTGGAGTATGAACTGGGATAGACAAAAACTTGATGTAATAACTTATTTTCAATGGAATGGGTGGAAAGATGTTATTTATTAGTCACTGGTTCATTCAGACACTCTGAATCCCTACCAGATACAAGATAAATTTCTTGTCTTGGAGCACTGCTCCAATAATTAAAATTTATCATTCTTTTCCCACCCTTCACACTCCAGCACTTCAACCCTCTTACTACATCAGAATTCCACACTGTCAATGAAAAGAGGCAAACTTCATAAAATATTTGAAGAGATTTATTCTGAGCCAAATACGAGTGACCACAGCCCATGACACTTCCCTCAGGAGACCCTGAGAACATGTACTCAATGTGGTTGGGGTACAGGTTGGTTTTATACATTTTAGGAAGATATGAGACACTAATAATATGTATTTAAGATATACATTGGATCAGTCCAGAAAAGCAGAACAATTTGAAGCAAGCGGGGGTTGGGGGTTACTGCTTCTAGGTTATAGGTAGATTTTAAAATGTTCTGATTGGCAATTGGTTGAGTTATTATCAATAAAAAGGAACGTCTGGGTTATGATAAGAGGTTGTGGAGTCCAAAATTTTATCATGCAGTTGAAGCCTCCAGGTGCCAGGCTTCAGAGAGAATAGATTATAATGTTTCTGATCAGACTTAAGGTCTGTGTTGATGTTAATTGCTGGTCAGCTTTTCCTGAATTCCAAAAGGGAAGAGGCCATAATGAGGCATGTTCAACACCTGCTTCCCATGGTGGCTTGAGCCAGTCTTTCAAGTTAACTTTTGAGCACCCTGGCTGAGGAGGGTGTCCATTAAGATGGTTGGGAGAGGGTGGGTTTGAAGTTTATTTTTGGTTTACAACATGTAAAATGTTAAGAGGAGATAGAAACCACCCGCATCCCTAGAATAGCACAACACTCCAGTCACCCCTGCAGTTGATAATGGACATGAGTCTTAAACTCCATCAGTCAGATGACCACCTGCTGAAGCGGCATTGTTGTCTCAGGTAAATACTCAGGGTTCATTGTATCTTGCCAAGAAGATTAAGGACAGTGACACACAAGGAGTGAGTTTATTGGCCGGTGCTATGTTGCCTGCTCTTTACTGAACACATGGCTGGCAAAAAGAAGGGAAGATGGAGCCATCATTGTGAACACGTCTAGTCCTAGGTGTCCTTTTCCTATTGGCACAGCTGCCAGCATTCACTCGTGCAAGCTTCCAGCTTGCTTGTCTATGTCTGAAGCTTGATTTTACAGGCTGGTCTTTGTCAGAAAAGAAAATGATTTGGGGCCTGCTTTCCATTAAAAAGAAAACCTTACTGAGACTTCTGTACCCTCACTACCTGCCTAAATAATTTCTTCTTAAATCCTATATCACTGCCAGACTCTGAGCTAGTATGAGGTGACACAGAAAGGCTGGGATTGTGCAGAATGCATTTTAGTAAACATGGCTGAGTGTCAGTAGTGATGTCCAGTTGCCAGGTGCAGCAGTGACATCTATCCTAGCCTTGGGGTCCAGTGTCCAGCACCAGGATGTCAGAGGTGTGAGCAGTGGTGTCTGTGCTCAGCAGCAGGGGCAGTTGTTCCTAGGAGGGACCTGATCCAGGGGCGTGGGCTATGGATTCTGTTCCGGGATGTGTAGTTTTCAGCCTGGTTCTGTGGCCTTCCCCACAATAAAATTAACCCCCAATACCAGATATACTACTTTATGTGTAAATTACAGAAATTTGTTTTCCATAGTTTTCTCCAAGAGGTGAGTGAGAAATGAATCTATGGACCAGGGTCAGAGAGCAGCATTCGGAGGTGTTCCTTGTGTGACAGCCACATCCTGAATTGTCTACCTGGCCTCTACCTCATGGTGGAGAGATCAACAGGGAATATCACATCTCTTAACTGATGATATACATCCTCCCTTTCCTTTCTGCAAGAAAAATCCTCTTTTAAACAGGGTTTGAAAACCCACCCCACCCCACCCACTCACCCACCCTGGGCACTCTCTGATCTCTGAGGTTCCTGATCCGGCTGAGCAACAAGATTTCTGGTGGAGGCTTAGAAAATACTCAGGCCACTCCTCAGAACCCCTGTCTCACAATATTATGCACAAGACCAAGGAATCATTTACATAACAAGCCTTACAGGCGAGGCTGATGCAGACATGTGGGATCCTGGTGTTCTGGCTGCTCCAAGTGTGATCAGGAGACCAGTAACGTGAGCTCCAGCCTTGTCATAAATCCAGAATCTCTTGCTCGACTCCAGACTTCCTGGATCTCAGCACCACATACAGGTGATCCTGGTGCACATGGGGGTTCCTTGTCTGAGTGTCCTCTAGACGTGGGGCCAGAACTGTGCAGTCTGCTCTGTGGTCTGATCAGATCCCTTACAACTGGAGGTCCAGGGTTCAGTCCTTGCACTCATTCTTTTCCATAGTCAATCACTCCCTTGGTGCTTCATCCATGCTTGAGGTTTTAAGTATCCTTTATGTGGTGTGACCTCTTAAATCTATTTCTCCAGCCCAGTCCTTTCCCCTGAACTGTGGAGTTGTCTGCCCAACTGCCACCCCAGCTCCCCCACCTGCATTCCTAGTAGCCATGTCCTCCACTGAGTGCCTGTGATGCCCCCTCCTCAGGACGCTCCTGCCAGAGTCTCCCCATCTCCACTGACAGCAGCTCCACCCTTCCTTCTACTCACTCATTTTACAACTATGGGTGTCCTTGATTCGTCTTTCTCACACCACAGATACAATCCATTGGCAAATGCTGTGAGTCTATCTTCAAATGTATCCAGAATCCCCTCACGTCCCACTATTTCCTGTGCTCACACCCCAGTCAAGGTAACCGACATCTCCAGCCTGGAATACTGCACTCGATTCCTGTTTTCCCTTCTGCCTCCCTCGTCCCTCGCCTCTCAATTCTGTCCTCAGCACAGCCATCAGAGATCCTTTTAAGAAAGAAGTCATATCATGGCCCTCTTCTGCTCAAAACTGTCCTCTAACTCCCCATCCCACTCAGAGCAAAGGTCAGATGCAACCCCACTCCCCTCAAGCCCACCTGTTCTGGCCACACCTCTGACCTCATCTAGTTTCTCTGTCCAGCCCTCCTGGCCTCCTTGCTCTTCTGGGAACACAGACACCTTCCTGCCATTGTGCATTTGGACTGGAGTTTCCTTGCCTAGAAAGAACTTCCCCAGACATCCTCATATCCCTCAAATCTTTCCTGAAAGGTCATCTTTGCAACAAGGCACACATTGACCACTCCTGTCCAACAGCCACCTTCCCTGTCCCCACTGCCCATACCCGGATCACCTGCCTCATGGCACTTACCACCTTCCATCACTTTCTTTTCTTACTCTGGTTATAGTGTATGTATCGTCTGCCTCTTACCACTGGAGCATATGCTCAGATATTTTTCTGATTTTACTTCAATGGCGTTCCCCAGATGCAGAACTTTTCTGTCCTATGTCTGGCTGACAACAAAGGTCAGTTGAATGATCAGTGTAGAGCACCTCCTATTCTAAAGCCAGTATCTTTATTAACATAGCCTCAGGCCAAGTGCTGTTTTGTGGCAGCTGCAGCACAAGGTCCCCTCACACTGACACCGAGGCCGCCTGTACTTTTCTCAGCAGGGCTGCTTGTGTGTCCTCCCTCCCCTATCCCTCCTCCCACACCAACCGCCCTGCACACTGCAGCACACGATCAGGTTTCTCTCTTCAGGAAGGAACAATTCTAGACTATGGACCCAATTTTACAAACAAATACAAATCTAAATTAGGCTCTGCTTTAGATTCATGAGTTGGGATTGGAGTCAGCACGAAGATCACTGGAATCAGGGAAGGGAGAGAGGGCAGGAGACCAAAGCAGAAGAGGAGCCCTAGAAGGAGGGCAGGAGCTGAATGGGTCTGAAAATTTGTCTCAGAAAGCACAGGGACTCCCGTGTGCAGGGGCTGCCCTGGGCGATGGGTGAGCCTCTGTGGTCACAGCTTCCGCTGGACAAGTTTCCACTGAAGGGACAAGGACAATGGAGCAGTGAAGGTGACCCAGCTGAGGACTGACCACATAAAGCCCATGAAGAACTGAACAGCAACTAGGCACAGGCCCCGTCCACACTCGGCTCCTCACAGCCTTCCCCACCCCCACCTGCAACAGACTCAGCACAGCGAACATGCAAATTCTGGAAGGTTCTCAGGTCTTTATTTGCTCTCTCAACTTCTAGGAATTGACTTATTTAATTAATCCATCAACGCTTCATAGCAAATATTTGAGAACACAAATTTATATTCAGGTTCTTAACTTCATTAGGGAAGTAAGAAGTTGCAGCTCAGTGCACCATGAATTTGAGACAGAGATGGAGACATCCAGCCCCACCTCTCTGGAACAGGAAAGATGATCGGGGAGGGAACACAGGTCAGTGTGGGGACAGGGGTCACGGTGGACACGGGGGTGGGCTGTCTCTCCACCTCCTCACATTATGCTAACAGGAACGCAGACACATTCAGGTGCCTTTGCAGAAAGAGATGCCAGAGGCTCTTGAAGTCACAAAGGAGAGGTGTGAAGAAATCCTGCATCTCAGTCCCACACAGGCAGCTGTCTCAGGCTACAGAACACAATAGTCATGAACAAATTCAGGTCAGTCATGGTAAGCGATGACACTCTGAACGGCCCACCACACACTCGAAACGTCCCAATCAAAGAATCCCCATTACCCAGGCCTTTTCCCTCTGCCCCACCCCCGACCACTTCAGCTCCCCAGAATCTCACCTTTACAAGTGATGAGAGACTCATCAGAGCCCTGGGCACTGTTGCTGCCTGGGGTAGAACAAAAAAAAAGACCTGGTCAGAGCCCGCAGGAGATGTGGGACAAGAGGAATTATGGAGTAGGTGAGCTCCTCCACACGCCCGCCGCCATCACTTACACGCAGCCTGAGAGCAGCTCCCTCCTTTTCCACCTGTGGGAAGAAAATGCCCTATGAGGGGACTGGGAGGAGGCAGGGCCATGTGATCTTAGGGGAACCTCCTAGTCTTGGACCCAAGAGAAGTTTCCAGAACTACGACTGCAGACCCAGGGCAGGATCAGGAAACATGGGGAAAGCAGTTGTGGGTTCTGGACCAACTGCCCTCCTAAGGTCTGTCCTTAGCAGGGACCTTCCCCTGACTCATGAATGCTGGAATCAGGACCCCAACACCATAATCATCAAGGTGATACATCCGTCCTTCATTGTCACATGTGCTTCACAAAAGAGTAAGTGCTGGCACACAGGGTCCCAGGCTGGGATGGCCCATGTGTGGATGGTGCTTCCAGTAACAAGGCGGGGCACACTTCTACCTGGGGCTTGAAACTCCCAGTGGGACAAGAAAACCCAGACCCCGCTCTTCACCCCTTCCCTACCTGAGCTCTTCCTCCTACACATCATAGCGGTGACCACAGCTCCAAGGACAGCTAGGACAACCAGGACAGCCAGGCCAGCAACGATGCCCATGATGGGGATGGTGGGCTGGGAAGATGGCTCTGGGAAAGGAGGAGAAGGTGAGGGGCCCTGACCCCCAAGCCTCAGCCCTGACCCGGCTGAAGGGCTCCAGAAGGACTTCTGCTTTCTCTGATAAGAGATGTGACCCCCCATTCCCCTCCTTACCCCAGCTCAGGGTGAGGGGCTCTTGCAGCCCCTCGTGCTGCATATGGCACGTGTATCTCTGCTCTTGTCCAGAAGGCACCACCACAGCTGCCCACTTCTGGAAGGTTCCATCTCCTGCTGGCCTGGTCTCCACAAGCTCGGTGTCCTGGGTCTGGTCCTCCCCATCCCGCTGCCAGGTCAGTGTGATCTCCGCAGGGTAGAAGCCCAGGGCCCAGCACCTCAGGGTGGCCTCATGGTCAGAGAGGGGGTGGTGGGTCACGTGTGTCTTTGGGGGTTCTGACGGGAAGAGTCAGAAAATTCAGACACTTTGCATCTCTCTTGGGACACTCCAGCAGCGCCCATGTGACCATCCTGAGAATGGACAGGACACCTGGGGTGGGGAAGGCGGCAGAGAACCCAGACGCCAGCCTGGACACAGGCACCTGGGATAATCTCCTATTCATTGGAAAGTTCTAGTCTCTGAGGGAGGAACAGCGACTTCTGGTCCTGACCTGAGTGGAGGCTGCAGGACTCAGAAAAGCTGGAATCAAACCTTCAGACACATTGAGTGTGAGGCAGAGAACAAGGCCTGAGAGAAAGGTCAGCAGCCTGACCACAGCTGCTGCAGTGGTCAAAGTGGTCAAAGGAGACCCCTGATCAGTATTCCAGGGACTGTCTTCCCCTCCATTTCCTCAGAGACTTCATCCCTTAATTGTCCTAGAGAGCAGAGGGGGCCCTCAGAGGAAACTCAGGAAAACTCATGCCATTCTCCATTCAAGGGAGGGCGATATTCCAGTGCTGATCCCATTTTCCTCCCCTCCTCGTGGGAGGCCATCCCGGGAGATCTATAGGAGATGGGGAAGGCTCCCCACTGCCCCTGGTACCTGCGCGCTGCAGCGTCTCCTTCCCGTTCTCCAGGTATCTGCGGAGCCACTCCACGCACGTGCCCTCCAGGTAGGCTCTCAGCTGCTCCGCCGCACGGGCCGCCTCCAACTTGCGCTGGGTGATCTGAGCCGCGGTGTCCGCGGCGGTCCAGGAGCGCAGGTCCTCGTTCAGGGCGATGTAATCCTTGCCGTCGTAGGCGGACTGGTCATACCCGCGGAGGAGGCGCCCGTCGGGCCCCAGGTCGCAGCCAGACATCCTCTGGAGGGTGTGAGACCCTGGCCCCGCCCCCGCGGTCAGCCCAGTCCCCCGAGCCCCGCCCCGCCCCGACCAACCCGCGGGGATTTTGGCCTAAACCGAAAATGAAACCGGGTAAAGGCGACTGGGGCTCTCTCCGGTCGAGGGTCTGGGCGGGTTCCGCAGATCCACCTTGGGGTGGATCTCAGACGGGGAGACTCTGGGCGACCCGGGCCGTCCGTGGGGGATGGGGAGGGGTCGTGACCTGCGCCCCGGGCCGGGGTCACTCACCGTCCTCGCTCTGGTTGTAGTAGCCGCGCAGGTTCCGCAGGCTCACTCGGTCAGCCTGTGCCTGGCGCTTGTACTTCTGTGTCTCCCGGTCCCAATACTCCGGCCCCTCCTGCTCCACCCACGGCGCCCGCGGCTCCCCTCTCGGACTCGCGGCGTCGCTGTCGAACCGCACGAACTGCGTGTCGTCCACGTAGCCCACTGAGATGAAGCGGGGCTCTCCGCGGCCGGGCCGGGACACGGCGGTGTCGAAATACCTCATGGAGTGGGAGCCTGGGGGCGAGGAGGGGCTGAGACCCGCCCGACCCACCTCCCTGCGCGGCTCCCCGGGTCCTGCGCCCTCGCCGGGAGGGCCCCTCGCTCCTCTCCGCAGAGGCCGCTTCCCTCCCAACCCCGCACTCACAGGCCCAGGTCTCGGTCAGGGCCAGGCCTCCCGAGAGCAGCAGGAGGAGGGCTCGGGGCGCCATGACCCGCATCTCGGCCTCTGGGGAGAATGTGAGTCCGGGTGGGTGACTGGGGACTTTAG